>NC_000004.12:186194108-186497138 GCF_000001405.40 Homo sapiens | reverse complement strand
CTACATTTTCTGAGCCCTCCCCATCCCTGCGGAACTGGGAGTCAATTAAACCTCTTTCTTTTATGAATTATCCAGTCTAGAATATGTCTTTATTAACAGCATGAGAAGAGGCTAATACAGGTGGTAACTGGCAAGGAATGTGCCTCATTAGGTTTAAGATGGAGTTGATTTTAAAGTGGTGTCACCCTGACTCTCCTAGGCTCCTGTTTCCCTAACAGGAGGGTATGCATTCATACGTATTGTTAGATATCCGTTGTGTCACTTGAGCAATCTTGAAGGTCTTTCCCTATCAACATAGACAGCTACTGTATTTCCCAGTGAACACCTACCTTTTTCATTGTATGGATATTCCATGATTTTAAACCAATCCTTTACAAACAAAACTTTAGATTTTTTCTGGTTTTTACAATGACTAAAAATGACACAGTGACTTTGCTTGTCCATATTCCTTTCCTAGTTGCGAGTGTATATGTAAGATAAATGTGCTGAAGTAAAGTGGTATTTGAATTGAAAATGATAGTTTTATTCAACATTATATTCAAGTTTCTAGTTTTACACCTTTGCCCACACATCAATCTTTTCAGTTTTCGATGATGTGATCTGCAAAGAGGTTTTAACGGCAAAAACCACAATTACTTTTGCACCAACTGAATACATTGTTTTCATTTTTCTAAATTTACACAGAATCCTTCCACATATTAATTAGCCATTTTCATGCCTTTTAATTTTCTGTTGAATTTTACCTCTCTAAATTAACACTTTCCTGTCACGTGTTTCAAATTTGAGAGCAATGTTATGTTTTGCTTTATTTTGTATCTTGTCTGTCCTCCATATCTTTTCCTTTCAATGTCTTTAATCTTTTTCTTCTTCCTCTTTGCTAGCATTTCAGATCTTCCCTTGCTGACACTGACTTGCTGGCAGCTGATCATTCTGTTCCTGGGTGTTTCTAATGGTGTTTTGTCCTTCCTTTGCTTTATTTTCTCTCCAATTTCTCTTTTGACCTATTTTATCTTTAATTTTTGTTTGATTCCATGTTCTGTTTAATTTCTTCTAGAGCACAAAACATGTGTTGAATATATAATTCTTTGCTCCTTTGTATGTTCCTTCCTGAATGTTTTTAAGCGCTAATTTGTATATGTTATTCCCTCCTGCAATGTGTTCACATATATACTAGAAACAATGACTGTCTTGTCCTGCTAGTGCTTTAAACCCAGCAGCACAGCAAAATTGCCTTGGAAGAATATTTATTTATTTATTGAGACGAGATCTTGCTATGTTGCTCAGGCTGTTCTCAAACTCCTGGCCTCCAGCCATCCTCCCATTTCAGCCTCCCAAAGTGCTGGGATTACAAGAGCCACCATGCCCGGCCACCTGGGAAGAGTTTTAAAAATGCCAGTATCCAGGGCCCATTCCAAACCTCAACCTGATCGGGCATCGCCTGTAGCTGAGTTCCTTCTAGGGACTGAAGCACAGAGAGATTTGAGAAGTTTGCCTTGGCACCATGGCTATGCTACTACCTTGCCAGCCCCATAGTGCCATGACACTGTGCAGGTAAATCTTGTGTCATTCATTTGCAGTTTAGTTTTATGGATATGTTTTCATTTTGGGTTGGGGGGGGGAAATACTTAGAAAAGGAGTATCTATCTGGCTTGTGTGGTAAGAGTATTTTTAACCTAATAATAAACTGCTTATTTTGCTCCCCCAAATTATTACATCATTTTACACCTCGTTTTGCTTAACAAAGATTTTTCTTTTTTCATTCTAGAAGATTTTATAGTTTTAGGTGTGATATTATGCCTGGCGTCTATTTTGAACTAAATTTTGGATATAGTGCAGGTAAAGTCCGTGTAGACTTTGGAATCACCTTTGCTATTTTCTACCAAAAAAAGCCTTACTTGGATTTTCATTGGATTTCCATTGAACCTATAGCTCACTTTGGGAAGAATTAAAAGTTTAACCATACTGAGTCTTCCTATTCATGACATGGTAGTTTGCTTTATTTTTTATGTGTGCTTTAATTTCCATCATCAATATTCTGTAATTTTCACAGTATTTCTTACACATTTTTGTTAGATTTATCTCCAAATATTTCATGCTTTTGATACTAGGGTAAATGATGTTTCCTAAAATTTGAATTTCCAATTGTTCATTGCTAGTATATAAAAAGACATTTGATTTTTATATATTGGCCTTAACTTCCACAACCTTGTTAGATTCACTTACTCCAATAGCATTTAAAAAAGATTATTTGGAATTTTTATGCAGTCAGGTAATGAATGTAGTTTTGTTTTTTTAAGTCTGTGTGCCTTTTTTTTTCTGGCTCTTGCCTTATTTCACTGTTTAAGATTTTAAATACATTTTACATAGAAGTGATGAGAGTTGATCTTTTTGTCCTGTGCTAATCATGGTTATTTTAAAATTCCTGTTTGATTGTTTTAGCATCTTGTTCATCTCTGGGCCTTATTCTGTTGATTGCTTTATCCCTTGATAGTAAGTTGGATGTTTTCTTGCTTTACACATCATACGTATATGTATTTCTAAAAATTGACCATCAGACATTGTGTGTAGAAGAACAATAGTAATAAAGGGACTTTTAAAATATTTTATGTCCAGAAATGGGCATACTTCTTCTGCCAGGCCACTTGTGTGGAAGTCTGGTTTGAGTTGGGTTTGGGTTTTGTTGCTGCTATAATCACAGTTAGTTCAAACTTTAAGTTCTTCCAGTCGTGGGCTCTGATACCTTGTATTAGTGAAGGACCTGGTGTGCTGGAGAGTTTTTGTCAATGTTACTGTTTCACCTTCATCTTTTGGTAGACCCTGAATGCCTGTACACAAAAGATGTCTCTCTTTTCATTTGATTCCTCCCTCCCAAGAGTAAACAACTGTTGTTGCTTATTTTCCCATGAAAGACTTAAGGTGTGGAAGGGGCATTTTTTAATTCTCCTGGTCCAGCCTCAATCTTAGGCTATCCCTGTTAGCCTGGACCTCATGTATGGGGTTTTCTCAGTATTTCTGCCTTTGTCTCATAGTCAAACTCTGCTTGTATCTGTGGGGTTCTTTGGAGAAAGCTTCCTGCTCCTGGCTCACTGGTAGCAGACCTCGGTTTTATATGGGGCATGATCCAGGGGCAGATGGCTTTTGCTTTTAACCACCCTACCACTAACAAACAAACAAACAACAGAAGATCTTTCCACAAGCCTTGGGGGACAAAAGGATTACCTGCCCATCCACAGTGGCCTCATGCTTTTGTGTTGTGTGAAGGAAAGGCCCAGAAAGGAGGTGGGGATCTATGTCTGTGTGCTGCCACATGAAGCTCTCTCTCTCTGCTTTTCTGCTGTGTACCATTCTTCTCTATGGGCATCCAGTGGAGGCCCATTGGGAAGACCCTGGGAATGCAGACTCCTCATGTATATGGGCTCTGTTCACACTAATGCAAGGCAACAATTCTAAAGGTGGGTAACATCAACCCCAGCACTTTGGGAAGCTGAAGAGGATTGTTTGACGTCAGGAGCTTGAGGCCAGCCTGCAACAGAGTGAGACCTCGTCTCTACAAAATTAAACAGGTTAGTTGGGCATGATGGTGTGCACCTGTAGTCCTAGCTACTTGGGAGGCTGAAGTGGGAGGATCACTTGAGCCCAGGAGGTTGAGGCTGCAATGAGCAATGATCGATGGTGCCACTGCATTCCAGCCTGGGCAACAGAGCAAGACCCTGTCTATAAAAATAAATCAATACAAATAAAAATAGGTGATATTCATTTTGTACTTATGATAGTTACTATTCAAAGGCTTTATCTGTATTAGCTCATTTAATTCTCACAGTAACCATATGGATTAGGCGTTATTGTCTTCAATTCCCTGTCTGGATTTAGGCCAAACCGCAGGTTAAGGGCACAGTTCTTTACAAGACTTCCTTCACGGCAGACACCAGCTGCAAGTTTGGAGGCCTCCGGAGCCACCCTAACTTCTAACCAGCTGGCTACCAATTCAGGGGTCCCTACAGACTCCCTGAGGTTCAACAATTTTCTAGAACAGCTCACAGAACTCAGGAAGGCACTATACTTATGATGGCAGTTTTATTGCAGTAAAAGGATGTAATTCAGAAGCAGTGAAAGGGAGAGATGCACAGAAGGGGATCTATGAGGGTTCTAGCTGCGAAGCTGCCCTTGTCCTCAGGACGTGCTACCCTTCCGGCACTTCAGTGTATGGCAACGCACAGAGGAAATTGCCAACCAGGGAAGCTCCCCTGAGTCCTTGTGAGTTTTATTGGGGTTTCATTACATAGGCATGATTCATCGAATCATTGCCCATGTGTCTCAGTCTTTGGCCCCTCTCCTCCTCAGAGTCAGGCCACTAAAATATGGTTCAAAGCCCTCGACTCCCTAATCACATGGTGGGTCTTTCCGTCTTGACCAGCCTCCATTCCAAGTCATATGTTCACATAGACTACCAAGTGTGGTCCAAGGAGCCCCCTGTGAATAACAAAGATACCCCTAGAGCACGGGAAATGGCAGGGGTTTAGAGGTTACTTCCCAAAACCTGGGGACAAAGGCCAGCCACATTCTTAATAATACACTTCCCAGATGAGGAAATGGAGTCACAGAGCTATGCAGTAATTTACCTAAGGCACTCTTCTAGCAAATAGTAGAATTGTGATTCAGTCCACACCATCTGGCTTTAGAGTATGTGCTTGTAAGTGGTACAGCCTCCAGTGAAGGCAGAGAATAAGTAAAATGGAGAAATATAGGTTGACTCTCAGTTTTTGGACTTGCTCCAAATAGGGAGGTGAAAATTTCATTAACTAGAGTAGGACAGATAATAGGAGAAGGACTGGGAGGAAACATAATGAGCTCAGTTCCCGAGCCTTTTGAGTTTGAGGAGCCCGTCATAGAGCTGAGTGTGCAAGAGAACGTCTCCAGGCTAGAGACGGATGTCAGTTTCATCAGGTTTTCAAGCAGTGAGCATGCTCAAGGAAGCCTCTAGAAAGAGAAGGGAAGAGTGTGTAAATGACAAAGTCCTGTGGAACACGAATATTTCAAAGATAGTTGGGGAAATGGAGGAGTGACAAAGAATAAAACCAAGTAGGAGTGGCAGGAGGAGTCTCAGGGGAGTGTGGGTCCTACAAGCCACATGGGAGGACAGTATTTAGAACTAAATGCCAAGGAGAGTTGATCTGCCTTAAAGACCTCCCTCCTCTGCACCCAGTTTCCCATTATTTCTCCATCCTGGCATTTGTTATGCTGTAATTCAATTGGTTATTCTTATTATTATCATTTTATAGACAAGGTCTCACTCTGTCGCCCAGGCTGGAGTGCAGTAGCGTGATCATGGCTCACTGCAGGTCTCACTCTGTCGCCCAGGCTGGAGTGCAGTAGCGTGATCATGGCTCACTGCAACCTCAAACTCCCCAGCTCAAATGATCCTCCTGTTTAAGCCTCCCAAATAGCTGGACCACAGGCATGCGCCACCACGCCTGGCTAATTTTTTTTATTTTGCAGCGATGAGATCTCCCTGTGTTATCCAGGTTGGTCTGTAATTGATTATCTTCTTGCTTTCTTTACCACGGACTGCGTGCTCCATAAGGGTAAAGGCCATTTGTATCTTGTTCATTGTCGTATCGCCAATGCCAGCTCAGTGGTGGAAGTGGTGGCTGCTTCCTAAGTATAAACCCTCCTTAATGAGGGAACGAAAAAGGGGTTTGGCTGCCAGAAGATTATTTACAACAGTTGCAAAAGAGCTTCAGGAAAATATGGGGGCTGAAAATATAATTTTGTGATAATGCATAAAATAAGCATGTAGGTAAAGATGGTGAATTAAATATTTAAGGAGAAAAAATGGTTGGAAGTAGACGTAGACACAGGATGGAGAAAGAAGGATTTATTAAGAAAGGTTTATGGGGAGGCCTGGGGCGAACAAGCCAGAAGAGACGAGGGAAAGGGTTAATGCATTGAGTATGATCCTGGAGGGTGGTAAGAGCACGGGAGGGTAAACAAGGGCGGGGACCGTGGAGACAAAGGAGGGGAAGGAGAACGCAGGGCAGCAGCGGGAAGATCTCTCTGACCTTCTCCCAGTGTTCTCCTCCAAAGCAGGTCCTAAAATAATTATTTGGCCTCCCTCTAAAGTAGGTCATTAGACGCTCATTCCAGAGGTTCCTCCTCCCTGTACCTAGAGAAGAGGAATGAAGACCCAGCGATGCCAAGCGGAATCTGAACAAATTGGCCTTGCTAAGTTCTCCCCAGGTTATTCTCATTAGCTCATCTTCCCTTTGTCCAACCATCCTACAGGACTGTCCACTCTTTATCCATCCTAAGCATAAAAATACAGTGTTCCCTGTTTCTTTGGGCCTTCATGTCTGAAGGCTCCTGGGTCATGTAAAACTTTCGTTAGATAAATTTGCATGATTTTCTTTTGCTAATCAGTCTTTTGTTAGGGGGTCTCAGCCATGAATGTTGCGGTGGGTTAAGAGAAGATATAAGCTGAGCAAGAACAGATGAACGAAGTCGGGGGCGAAGGCCTGTCCAAGGTGAACACCACAAACAGAAGGGCTTTCAGGACAGCTGTGGGCTCCTGGCCTGCTTTGCGCAGCACAGTCAGTAACTCCAGGCTTCATCTCCATTGCGCGGGTCTGAGAAGCCTGGGAGGCCTGTTAGGGCAATAGGGGCTGGGGGCAGTAGTGAAAAAGTGGTTCAAATATGGGGTAGGCAAGACAGTGTAGTCAGACAAAAACTAAAATGTCAGGGACAGTGGAGTAGATTAAAGTTTTTAGAGAAGTAGAAGAGAGAATTAATGACATGAGAAAACTGTGAGAAAAAAGAGCGTTGCAATTTTAGATTTCACTAGGGGGCCAGGCGTGGTGGTTCATACCTGTAATCCCAGCACTTTGGGAGGCTGAGGTAGGGGGATCACCTGATCCCAGGAGTTTGAAACCAGCCTGGGCAACATGGCACGACATTGGCTCTACAGAAAAAAAAAAAGAAAAGAAAAACAGTAGGAAAATGGTTACTGAAACACCAGGGGTTTGATCTCAGTCCTGCTGCTCACCGCACAGAAAGCCAATCGCTGAGATGATGAGTATTGCCAAGGAAGAAGGCTTTAATAGGGTGCTGCAGCTGAGTCTCAAATCCATCTCCCTGACTGATCAAAACCAGGAGTTTATATAGCAGGCAAGAAATATAACAATGTATAAGAAAACAGGGCCAGGCGCGGTGGCTCAGGCTGGTTGCGGTGGCTTACACCTGTAATCTCAGCATTTTGGGAGGCAGAGGTGGGCAGATAACAAGGTCAGGAGTTTGAGACCAGTCTGGCTAAGAAATCCCGTCTCTACTAAAAATACAAAAATTAGCTGGGCGTGGTGGCGTGCACCTGTAGTCCCAGCTACTCACGAGGCTGAGACAGAAGCATCACTTGAACCCGGGAGGCAGAGGTCGCAGTGAGCTGAGATCGCACCACTGCACTCCAGCCTGGGGCAAGGAAGCGATCATGGTGAATGAGGGGTCAGGCATCTGGTGTGGTGATCTAGTTTCAGTTCTTTGACACTTTTTGTGAGAGGCCTGAAGGTCATTTCCTGAGGAATTACAAGCTCTCTAAGTGATCTTGATGCCTGCCAGTGGTATGGGAAACACTGCCTTAGCAGAAGGACACGCGATGCCTTGATCCCAACATATCTGCTGACTGGACCTCGGGCACCTGTGCAGCCTTAGGGCCCAGGGCCTGTGCAGGAAGACTCTGGCCTACGTAGGGAGGCCTGGTCATTCCAGAAGATAGACCCGTGTGCCAAAGCTACTAATGACTTGCGGACCACGGCCACCCATAAGCAGGTCACCATCTTTAGGCAGATAGTGCTGGGTTCCTGCTGCCTTTGCCATGGACCAGCTGTGTGCTGTGTTTGGTAAATCATTGACTTCCCCAGTCGGGGGTGGGGAGAGGGACTTACATGAAGAGGTAGTCACAGGTTTCACAAGGTTTTCGGGAGGGTATCTAGATGTCCAGATCATCCTTTTCATTGCAATAAGCAAAGCTATAGTTGAATCATTACTGTTTGTGTAGCTATATTTCATTGGTGATAATCTTAATCAAAGATTACATGATTAATTTATTAACTTAATTGAATGTATTTATTCTGAACACAGCATGCTAACAGCTTCTTCCTCTAAAAATAGATGAAGCCCTAAATTCTTTGTGGATAATTTCTACATTTTTTTGGTAGATCGTAGGGAATATTTGCTTAGCTATAAATTTTGTTAAATACATTTGAAATATATACATTTTTAATCTGTATATATTTCAAGGCAACTTCTCCACCCCTGCTCCCAACAAAAATACCACTCCATATATTCTGAGACCCTGGCTTCTTTACTGAACGTACCCAAAGGCGAATGTACCAGGTTCAGGGGATGCGGTTGGACCTCAAGGCCACACTGGGTAAGACAGGGTTTTCTGTTCAGGGGATGCGGTTGGGCCTTGAGGCCACACTGGATAAGACAGGGTTTTCTTTGGATTTGTCTTGTCAATTTTGCTTTTAGGAAATTTTTAAACATTTCCCTTCATCAAGGATTAAAATCTGAAAGCAGATCTTTTATGAGCTGGCTTTGCTTGTATTTGGGCTTGGAGATCACTTGTCTTTATTAAGCCCCTCCTTGTTAAGCCAACTAGGTCAGAATCCTAGCTCCATAATATAATAGCTCTCCAACCTCGCGCTGGTGCCTTAAATTCTGATTCCTTTCTACAAGAACCGCAATGAAGATTAAATGAGATCTTACATAAAAGCATTTTTTAAATCACTTAAGGCTAACCTTGTCTAAATCAATTGTCACTGCTTTAAATTGCAAAAACCTACCTTTTGCTGAAAGTCAACTTTGGGCTGATGTAGAAGCCACTTCTAGTCACAATCCTGTTGACTCTTCTCCGAGGATTGTGTGTGGCCAAGGATCTGCTTTCTCCTTCCACTGGGAATGCTCATTCTTTAGACTGGGAGGAAATGAGATTATCTTCTCTCCTCCCCTTCAACACAGAGCTGCTCTCCAGCCTTGTACCATGTCCCCGTGGGGTCGATGAGTCCTCCAGGAGATTCTTAAAGGATGGCTCCTCCGTCTTCCAGTGGCTCCAGGTGCAGGGGACGGGGTGAGGGTGGGCCAGGGAGGAGGAGTGAGGCTGTCACTGCTCTCTTAGAAGCTCCACCTCTGCTCTCAGTACCTACGGGCTGCCCTTTCTGGAGACAGGCACATTCATCAGTGCAGAGGAACACACACTTGCTCCGGTAGGGGCAGAACACGAGTTTTCTCTCTGCCCTCCAACCTTCTTAGCTGAGACTCCCTGTAACAAAGACCGAGTAAGAAGAGAAAAACAAACAGAAGTTTATTAGTATGTGTAGCTCGTGTGCACTTGGGAGGCACCCAGAGAACTGAGTATGTCTCTGGAGTTGATCTCAAACAGGTAGTTTAAACTTCAGGCTTAGAAACCTTCTCCATGGTTCAGGAGTCTAGAGATCTAGTCGTTCTTCTCTCTCTGGTGCAGAGAGGAAGGCACCCTTACAAATGGACAGTTCCTTTATTGACGGACATTTCCTTTACAAAATGGTAAGTTTCTGTTTTTAAAGGTTCTCCTGCATCTGCAGTTTCTCAAAATAACCAGCTCCAAATGATCCTTAAGACAAAGAGGCATGTGTGGGAGGCATGGTCTGGTTAGTCTCTGACAGTCATATTTTGGGGTGATATAGTCTGGTCTCTGAGTCATATTTTGGGGTGGTATAGTCTGGTCTCTGACAGTCGTATTTTGGGGTGGTATAGTCTGGTCTCTGACAGTCATATTTTGGGGTGATATAGTCTGGTCTCTGGCAGTCATATTTTGGGGTGGTATAATCTGGTCTCTGACAGTCGTATTTTGGGGTGATATAGTCTGGTCTCTGAGTCGTATTTTGGGGTGTTATAGTCTGGTCTCTGACAGTCATATTTTGGGGTGGTATAATCTGGTCTCTGACAGTCATATTTTGGGGTGATATAGTCTGGTCTCTGAGTCATATTTTGGGGTGTTATAGTCTAGTCTCTGACAGTCATATTTTGGGGTGATATAGTCTGGTCTCTGAGTCGTATTTTGGGGTAGTATAGTCTGGTCTCTGACAGTCATATTTTGGGGTGGTATAATCTGGTCTCTGACAGTCGCATTTTGGGGTGATATAGTCTGATCTCTGAGTCGTATTTTGGGGTGGTATAGTGTGGTCTCAGACAGTCATATTTTGGGGTGGTATAGTCTGGTCTCAGACAGTCATATTTTAGGATGGCATATTCAGAGGCCTGTCAGTTTCCTGTTTCCAAGATGCTGCCATCAGCGGATCCAATCTTCACTGCCTGTGGCAGAGTGGAAACTAGCCTGGGCGTGAGGGCATGCAGGCAGGGCAGCACAGAAGTGAGGGGAGGGAAGATCCGGGCGGAATGCACCCTCCCCCCGCCCCACTGCGTCCTGCACCATCCTCACAGCACTTCTAAAATGAACGCTTTCCCTGCCTTCTTCTTCATCCTAAATGACATACTGAGCACTGCTTCGTCTTTATAAAACAGATCTTTCTTTAAGTCTTGTTCGTGCTGCAGATACAAAGCAACTTTTATGCGTGACCTACCCTAGTGGCCGCCTACGCACAGCCCTGTGCGACTCTGGAGATGGCGTGCACGCCCCCCGTGTCTGCTCTGGACCCCTGGCTCACGCCACTCGGCTCAGACCCCATGCTCTGCTCAGTCCATCCAGCCTAAGCCAATTCTGTGGCAGCCAGCCATGAAAACGGAACCCTCTGCAGCCTGTGTCTTGCAGGAAGGCTGTTTACTCTTTCTGCAAAAATCCACACAAGTGGCACATTGGCTTTCTTTGTGGTCAGACCCTTCATTGCCAAAATCTTCAGCATTTTTCTGGCTTCCCTTGTATTCTTTATTTCACTTGAAAAGGGGGTGGGAGTGGTGAGACATTAATACAACACTGTAGCCTTTTTCTTAGAGTTTCAAATTGCTAAAAAAGGAAAGAACTCCTGATTTCTTCCTTTCACTTAAAACCTGTGAGCCAGTCCCTGTGTGTGTGTGTGTGTGTGTGTGAGCCAGTCCCTGTGTGTGTGTGTGTGTGTGTGTGTGTGTGAGCCAGTCCCTGTGTGTGTGTGTGTGTGTGTGTGTGTGTGAGCCAGTCCCTGTGTGTGTGTGAGCCAGTCCCTGTAGGGTTTCTCCTGCCATCACCACTTTACAGCTGGTCCCGGGCTGCCCAGGAGCGCCGTGCTGGTTACCGGGTTGACAGTATCCCCAGCTGGAGCTTCTCCAGGGACTGGAGACCGCTGTGCCCCCAGGGGGCAGGAAGGTGGCCCTGGATCTTCAAGGTGGAAAGCGTCCATGTGCTTGTGCCTGTCTGGCTTCCTCGTGACTCGTTCCCTATGTGACATTGCCTTCAGAGGCGCTGCGGCCAGGCTCCAGAAGCTGTGGGCAGCCACCCAGGTCTGTGCAGCCTCCCTCGCATCGCACATAAGGGCTTTTCCTTGCCTCAGAACTTTCTGCTCCAGAAAGTTGCCACAATTCTGTCTTTCGCTTTCCCGGAGTCTCCTCAAGAAAAGAAAAGAAAGGAAAGGGGAAAGGGGAAAGGGGAAGAAAGGAAAGGAAGCGGAAGGGAAGGAGAAGGGAGAGGAGGGGAGGGGAGGGGAGAAGACAGATGGGAGGGGAGGGGAATGGAGGGGAAGGGAGAAAAGAAAAGAGGGGAGGGGGAGGGAACGGGGGGAAGGGAGGGGAGGGGAGGGGAACTTTTGTCTGAGGAATGCAAGTCCTTTGAATTGTCAGACTCAGAGAGATGGTAAAATGAGATGGCAACTGCAGCCTGCTGCCCCTTTTGATCTCGCAATTCATCTCTCGAAACTGCTTGCTGTTGCCACAGAAGCTATACATGTACCTAAGGATGCCATGCCCGGACACTATGACCCACCATAATCAATGTTATTTCTGTAGACCAGTGAGGATTCCTGAGGAGCCACTTCGTGTCAGCACGCTCTCCGTCCCCCTGTCAGCACGCTCTCCGTCCCCCTTTATCACCTTTAAAAATCCACCCGGCCGGGCGCGGTGGCTCACGCCTGTAATCCCAGCACTTTGGGAAGCTGAGGTGGGTGGATCACAAAGTCAGGAGATCGAGACCATCCTGGCCAACATGGTGAAACCCCGTCTCTACTAAAAATACAAAAATTAGCTGGGCGTGGTGGTGTGTGCCTATAATCCCAGCTACTTGGGAGGCTGAGGCAGGAGAATCACTTGAACCAGGAAGTCGGAGGTTGCAGTGAGCCAAGATGGCACCACTACACTCCAGCCTGGCAGCAGAACGAGACTTCGAAAAAAAAAAATCCACCTATGCAGGGCACAGTGGCTCATGCTTATAATCCCGACACTTTGGGAGGCTGAGGAGTATCACTTAAGGCCAGGCGTTTGAGACCACCCTGGGCAAAATAGTGATACCCTGTCTCTACAAAAACATAAAAAAATACAAAAAATCAGCTAGGCACGGTGGCATGTGTCTGTGGTCCTAGCTACCCGTGAGGCTGAGGCAGGAGGATCACTTAAGCTTAGGAGTTTGAGGCTGCACTCCAGCCTGGGGGACAGAGCCAGACCCTGTAAAAAAAAAAGAAAAAATCAACTGGGCGCGGTGGCTCACATCTGTAATCCTTGCACTTTGGGAGGCCAAGGCAGGTGGATCATGAGGTCAGGAGATCTAGACCATCCTGGCCAACATGGTGAAACCCCATCTCTACTAAAATTACAAAAATTAGCCAACTGTGGTGGCGCATGCCTGTAATCCCAGCTACTTGGGAGGCTGAGGCAGGAGAATTGCTTGAACCCGGGAGGCGGAGGTTGCAGTGAGCTGAGATTGTGCCATTGCACTCCACCCTGGCAACAGAGCGAGATTCTGTCAAAAAAAAAAAAAATCCACTTACAACATCTGCTAATTGGGATGTATATTCAGGGCAACTTGAATCTATGCTCCCAGATTGCAGTCCTCAAGCTTAGCCCAAATAAACTCTCTACTACATTAATTTTGTTTCAGCTTCTTCCTTTTAGGTTGACATTGCTAGTGGGAAAAACCAAACTCTGTAAAATATTTTAAAGAGTTTATTCTGAGCCAATATGAGTGACCACAGCCCAGGGAAACAGTCTCAAGGGGTCCTGAGCAAGTGCTCCTCAGGTGGCTGGATTACGTTGTGGTCCTAGTGCTCCTGAGGTGGCCGCGTTACTGGGTGGTCCTAGTGCTCCTGAGGTGGCCGCGTTACGGGGTGGTCCTAGTGCTCCTGAGGTGGCCGCGTTACGTGGTGTTCTTAGTGCTGCTGAGGTGACTCGGTTACGGGGTGGTCCTAGTGCTCCTGAGGTGGCCGCGTTACGGGGTGGTCTTAGTGCTCCTGACGTGGCCGGGTCACAGTGTGGTCTTAGTGCTGCTGAGGTGGCTGGGTCACAGTGTGGTCTTACACATTTTGAGAAGGCAAAACACAAATCCGTACCTGGAAGGTATGCATTGGCCCGGCCAGGAAGCGCAGGACATCTTGAAATGGGGGCTTACAGGTCACAGGTGGATTCCGAGATTCTTTAATGTGTAGTTGGTGAAAGGAACAAAACTTTGTCTAAAAATTTGGAGTTAGCAGAATGGACTGTTGAAGTTAAGATAGGGATGCTTAGGACTTGCCCTGTGGAGCATAAAAAAAGGAAAAAAAGATAAGGATGCTGTGTCAGAGTCAGCCACAATATGACCTGTTCAGCAAGACTGCCGGCTTTACATCCTGTTTAAGATCTGTCTTTTTTTTTTTTTTTTTTTTTTTGAGATGGAGTCTCGCGCTGTTGCCCAGGCTGGAGTGCAATGGTGTGATCTCGGCTCACTGCAGCCTCCGCCTCCCGGGTTCAAGCAATCCTCCTGCCTCAGCTTCCCAAGTAGCTGGGACTACAAGCACCCACCACCACGCCCAGCTAATTTTTTGTATTTTTAGTAGAGATGGGGTTTCACCATGTTGGCCAGGATGGTCTCGATCTCCTGACTTTGTGATCCACCCACCTCAGCTTCCCAAAGTGCTGGGATTACAGGCATGAGCCACCGCTCCCGGCCTAGAATTTGGCTTCCTGTTACGACAGAGAGTCTGTTTTGTTAGCCTCCTGATCTTTGTTTTTACAGGAATGCTGGTCAGTTGTCGTGTCTAAGCTCCAAAAGAAAGCGGGTATGAGGAGACGTGCCTGACCTCCCTTCCAG
Organism: Homo sapiens; assembly: GCF_000001405.40. NCBI lineage: Eukaryota > Metazoa > Chordata > Mammalia > Primates > Hominidae > Homo > Homo sapiens. The sequence goes on along the minus strand of NC_000004.12, from coordinate 186,482,908 downwards.
TGATGGCCTGGAACTCAGTTTTAGGCTTTCTCTGGAGTTCCCTTGGCCAAGAGGGGGTCTGATCAGTGGGGGCCTTAAGATTTTATTTTTCGTTCGCCACACGAATAATGCAAATTTTTCTGACAGGGGTAACACTGGTGTTTTAATCCCAAATGTAAGCTGCCTCCTCAGATGCTTTTCGGAGGTTTAGGGTCGGCTTGGAGCTGGCAGGAAGCTGTGAAAGCCACCATGGGAGGTGCAGGCAGTGACCAGGACATCTGCTTGCTGTAGCCTCCTGCCTGGGGTTGGCTCCGCCTCCAGGAGCTGGGAGAGAGGGTTCTGCCAGGAGGACAGATTTGGGGAAAGTTCACTACTGGCCACTGAGGGGCTCTCCCCGGTCTGTTCCTTCTCTCTTCCCTTCTCTTCCTGTCGCCTGTCCACTCCTCACACATTCATCCTCCTAGCTCTGCCACCCTCAGTCTTGCCAGCAGCCTCCTTGCTCAAGCCAGATGCTTTTGTCCTTGTTTCTGGAATCCCTGCTGTTACCAAAGCCACTGTAGAGAGACAAAAGAGTGATCCAAGAATAATTATAATGATTCTGTACAGAGGGTGGTGCTTCACTCAAAGAATTGTGGAAGAAATGCATATGGAAGTGTATTCTGTTCTGGTCCTCAGAGCCCTCGGCTGCCTTGGTGGAGTGCAGCAGTTCCACTGCAGCTGGGCAGGAGGCACTGCGATGGTTTCTGAGGATGCTCACAGCGTCCCTACCCCTCTCCCCGCCGTGCCTTCCCTTGCCACTTCTAATGAGAGAAGGAGCAGGGCTGCACGGGGTTGGGGCAGGCTGAGGCAGCGGCAGCTGGCAGGTGCTTTCACCTCTTCACCAGGGTGACTGTCATGGCTGTCCTTTGTGGTGTGTGTGCTGTATTGAAAAGTCTTGAGTTTTGGTGAGGCACAGAGGCTCACACCTGCAATCCCAGTACTTTGGGAGGCTGAGGCAGGAAGATCCTTTGAGAGCAGGAGTTCAAGACCAGGCTGGGCAACACAGCAAGACCCCATCTCTACAAAAAATTTGAAAACAAAACTAGCTGGGCGTAGTGGTATGCGCCTATAGTCCCATCTACTTGGGAGGCTGAGGAGAGAGGATGGCTTAAGCCCAGGAGTTTGAGGTTGCAGTGAGCTATGATCATGCTACCACCCTCCAGCCTGGGTGACAGGGCCGGACCCTGTCTTGAAAAAATAAAAATAAAAATGAACTAAAATCTTTAGCTTTGTTTTGAAAATCTTTTAAAACCCCTAAAACTGACTATTTGCCTGGAGTGGTGCTTTCCAAACCTTTCTGGTTATAAACATCACTTGCGGTTCTTTGGTTCTTTGTAAATACCAGGACTCCAGCCTGCATGTCAGCCGTGTTGAATCAGTATCTGGAGTGGGGTCTTATGAGAAGGGAAGTTGGGAAAAGCTGGCTAAAGAATTGTCAAGTGGCAGAATATTGAATATAAAACCTGTGCTCTGCTAGACTGTCATAAAAGTAAAATCTTAATTATCATAGCTACTGGGATAAGTACCCAGAGTTGATCTGAATATGAATATGTGGCCCACGCCATTAAATTTTTAATAAGGAAAAAGTGCCAGGACAAATGTCCATGCAAAAAGCCTTTCTCACAGGCATTTTTCTGGACCCAATTCCATAGAAAAGAAAAATAACATTTCTTTCTTGTATAGCCGTTGTATTCCTGTATGTCAGCTGCAAAGTAGGTTATTAGCTGAAACACAGAGCTGTGTGACTGAAAGTCCACTTTCAAAAGAGTGTTCAACTGGTAAGAAAATGGATAGAAAAAGCTTTTCTTGATGTGACTATTACAAGGATTAAATTAAAGTTTGGAAAAAAAAGTAATTCAAGAAGACTATGTTTTCAGTGACCTATATTTTTGCCTTCTTGAACAAGTTATAAAATGCTTGTTCAATTTTGTGTATATAGTCTCTGAGGAAAAAATGAAATAGAGCTATACGACTCAAGTTCTTTTTTGAAAAATACCTTTCTGAGCCTTGAGCCCTGTAGAGGAGAAAAAGTAATCTCTTTTTTTCACCCATTCAGTTCGTGGCTGACACTTCCGTAACATGGGACAGATTAACAGGAGAAAACCTGAACAAATATATTTAATGAAAGCTTCACATGTCACAAGAGCCTTCAGGAATGAAGGCCCAAGAACCAGGGAAAACTGTGTATTTTTATGCTAAGTCTGATGAAAAAAAGTAGATAGTTGTAGAGAATCATGACTGGATGAAAGGGAGTGTGATCTAATGATAATAAACTTGGGGGAACTCCTTTAGGCCTGTTTGTTCCGATTCTTTTTGTGTCTATGAATTCATTCCCCCGCCCCAGGTGTAGGACACAATACCTGCCACATGAGGGTCTTCAGTGGAGTAGTGAGGAGCTCAGAGAGTGATGTTCCTGAGTTTGATGGCTTGCTTCAGGGGAGGTGAATTCTAGATTCTACAACCTGCTTTAGAGGGCAAAGGGGATTAGGAGAAAGGAGGGCAGGAGAAGATTGGAGAGACCTTCTTGCTTCTGTGACCCTCTCAACCTGCTTCTGTGACCCTCTCAACCTCCTTCTGCTCAAAACACTCAGCATGCCGAGGTGCCTAGAATTGCCTGGTGTCAAAAGCGGCTGATGGTGCAGGTGACGTTGTCTACCTGGAGCTGCAGATGGATTGCTGTAGAGTTATTTACAGTTTCTTAGCTAGGGAGGGCTGTGTACTCTAACTCTGGGGCGTGACAAAGACTTTCTCCTTAACTGGACTGTGGCCATGCTCCTCTGAGCCCTCTTCTTCATCAGGTGTCCTCCGTGGTCTTCCGTGTTCATCTTTGCTGAGTTCAGTTTTATCACAAATTCTGCTATGTCAGTTTAGAGTGGTGGAGTTCAGGACACACTGACTTGGTATATTGAATATTTTAGCTGAAGGAATTGGTGAAATGATTTTCTGACCTTCCCCTGAAGCGGATTATCCAACCCTTATGTAAGGGGTGATCTCTTTATACCCAGAGGGAAGGAGTGTCCTTGACTTTAAAGATGGAGGGGGTCAGGTGCAGTACCTCGCACTTGCAATCCCAACACTTTGGGAGGCCGAGGCGGGTAGACCACCTGAGGTCAGGAGTTCGAGACCAGCCTGACCAACATGGAAAAACCCCGTCTCTACTAAAAATACAAAATTAGCCGGGCGTGGTGGTGCATGCCTGTAATCCCAGCTACTTGGGAGGCTGAGGCAGGAGAATCGCTTGAACCCAGTAGTTGGAGGTTGCAGTGAGCCAAGATCATGCCATTGCACTCCAGCCTGGGCAACATGAGTGAAACTCCATCTCAAAAAAAAAGATGGAGGGATGCTGAGAGGAATCTGAGTGAATGAGACTTGCTAAATTTTCCCCAGTTGACTATATGGAGCTCCCGCTCTGTCCTCAGACATTTTTTCAGAACTCTCCACTCTTCATCCATTCTAGCATAAAAACACTAAGGTTTAACCGTTTCTTTGGATCTTTGTTTTCTTATGAAGGCTCCTGTGTCTTGTGAAACTTATATTAAATACATTTCTATGCTTTTCTCTTGTTAATCTGTCTTTTATTACGGGGTCCCCAGCCACAAACTCTGAAGGGTAGGAGAAAAGATATTTTTCCTCCCCTACAAAAGAATTCCCAACTCTTGATATCCCATCCTGCCGGCCTGCTCTCAGCAAGGACCCTGTTGAGTCAGTTTCTCAAGAACCTACTACCCTTGATGTTTCCTCTTAGTGACTGTCCACCCACTGATGCCCCCATCCTGCTGTTTAGTGATAAATTCCCACTTATCCTTGTATTCAAATTGAGCTCAGTTCTGTGCTGAAGTCTCTTTTCCCCTATTACAGCAGTTTAGTTTCTCCCTAAAATTCAGCTCCACCACTTTAACTGGTGTCCAGTTCTAATTCTCATTGACAGGCAGTAATGGTAAATGTGTGTTACTTGAGTGTCAAGCCACATTTGGTGGTGGTTGTCTGGAATGCTATGTTGAGAAGGACTCTGAGACTACACCCAAGCTCAGCAGGAAGGAGAGCTGTGATCAATGAATGGTGGAAGGAGAGCTGTGATCAATGAATGGTGGAAGGAGAACTGTAATCGATGAACGGTGGAAGGAGAGCTGTGATCACTGAATGGTGGAAGGAGAGCTGTGATCAATGAATGGGGGAAGGAGAGCTGTGATCAATGAATGGTGGAAGGAGAGCTGTGATCAATGAATGGGAGAAGGAGAGCTGTGATCACTGAATGGGGGAAGGAGAGCTGTGATCACTGAATGGTGGAAGGAGAGCTGTGATCACTGAATGGTGGAAGGAGAGCTGTGATCGATGAATGGTGGAATGAGAGCTGTGATCACTGAATGGTGGAAGGAGAGCTGTGATCACTGAATGGTGGAAGGAGAGCTGTGATCAATGAATGGTGGAAGGAGAGCTGTGATCAATGAATGGTGGAAGGAGAGCTGTGATCACTGAATGGTGGAAGGAGAGCTGTGATCGATGAATGGGGGAAGGAGAGCTGTGATCACTGAATGGTGGAAGGAGAGCTGTGATCACTGAATGGTGGAAGGAGAGCTGTGATCGATGAATGGGGGAAGGAGAGCTGTGATCACTGAATGGTGGAAGGAGAGCTGTGATCAATGAATGGGGGAAGGACAGCTGTGATCGATGAATGGTGGAAGGAGAGCTGTGATCGATGAATGGTGGAAGGAGAGCTGTGATCAATGAATGGGGGAAGGACAGCTGTGATCGATGAATGGTGGAAGGAGAGCTGTGATCAATGAATGGGGGAAGGAGAGCTGTGATCACTGCATGGTGGAAGGAGAGCTGTGATCAATGAATGGTGGAAGGAGAGCTGTGATCGATGAATGGGGGAAGGACAGCTGTGATCGATGAATGGGGGAAGGAGAGCTGTGATCAATGAATGGGAGAAGGAGAGCTGTGATCAATGAATGGAAGAAGGAGAGCTGTGATCAATGAATGGGGGAAGGAGAGCTGTGATCACTGAATGGTGGAAGGAGAGCTGTGATCACTGAATGGTGGAAGGAGAGCTGTGATCACTGAATGGTGGAAGGAGAGCTGTGATCACTGAATGGTGGAAGGAGAGCTGTGATCGATGAATGGGGGAAGGAGAGCTGTGATCACTGAATGGTGGAAGGAGAGCTGTGATCGATGAATGGGGGAAGGAGAGCTGTGATCAATGAATGGGGGAAGGAGAGCTGTGATCACTGAATGGTGGAAGGAGAGCTGTGATCACTGCATGGTGGAAGGAGAGCTGTGATCACTGAATGGTGGAAGGAGAGCTGTGATCACTGAATGGTGGAAGGAGAGCTGTGATCGATGAATGGGGGAAGGAGAGCTGTGATCACTGAATGGTGGAAGGAGAGCTGTGATCAATGAATGGGGGAAGGAGAGCTGTGATCAATGAATGGTGGAAGGAGAGCTGTGATCAATGAATGGTGGAAGGAGAGCTGTGATCAATGAATGGGGGAAGGAGAGCTGTGATCACTGAATGGTGGAAGGAGAGCTGTGATCACTGAATGGGGGAAGGAGAGCTGTGATCACTGAATGGTGGAAGGAGAGCTGTGATCACTGAGTGGTGGAAGGAGAGCTGTGATCAATGAATGGGGGAAGGAGAGCTGTGATCACTGAATGGTGGAAGGAGAGCTGTGATCAATGAATGGGGGAAGGAGAGCTGTGATCACTGAATGGTGGAAGGAGAGCTGTGATCACTGAATGGTGGAAGGAGAGCTGTGATCACTGAATGGTGGAAGGAGAGCTGTGATCAATGAGTGGGGGAAGGAGAGCTGTGATCACTGAATGGTGGAAGGAGAGCTGTGATCAATGAGTGGTGGAAGGAGAGCTGTGATCAATGAGTGGTGGAAGGAGAGCTGTGATCGATGAATGGGGGAAGGAGAGCTGTGATCACTGCATGGGGGAAGGAGAGCTGTGATCACTGCATGGTGGAAGGAGAGCTGTGATCAATGAATGGTGGAAGGAGAGCTTTGATCGATGAATGGGGGAAGGAGAGCTGTGATCGATGAATGGTGGAAGGAGAGCTGTGATCGATGAATGGGAGAAGGAGAGCTGTGATCAATGAATGGAAGAAGGAGAGCTGTGATCACTGAATGGGGGAAGGAGAGCTGTGATCACTGAATGGTGGAAGGAGAGCTGTGATCACTGAATGGTGGAAGGAGAGCTGTGATCACTGAATGGTGGAAGGAGAGCTGTGATCACTGAATGGTGGAAGGAGAGCTGTGATCACTGAATGGTGGAAGGAGAGCTGTGATCGATGAATGGTGGAAGGAGAGCTGTGATCGATGAGTGGTGGAAGGAGAGCTGTGATCAATGAGTGGTGGAAGGAGAGCTGTGATCGATGAATGGGGTCTGCGGGGGCTGCAGGGGATGGGTGTATTTGTCACTCCTTCCAAGGCTTGCTTCACTCCCAGTGTCAGTTTTGAGAAAGATCACAGCTGGAAGACTGGAAGACCTGAGCATGGAGGTGTTGGTTGCAGAAATGAAGACATGGCACAGGGCGCTGTGGCTCATGCCTGTAATCCCAGCACTTTGGGAGGCCGAGGCAGGCAGATCACGAGGTCAGGAGATTGAGACCTTCCTGGCTAATGAAGTAAAACCCCTTCTTTACTAAAAATACAAAAAATTAGCTGGGTGTGGTGGCATGCGCCTGTAGTCCCAGCTACTCCAGAGGCTGAGACAAGAGAATTGCTTAAACCCAGGAGGCAGAGGTTGCCGTGAGCCGAGATTGCACCACTGCACTCCAGCGAGACTCCATCTCAAAAAAAAAAAAAAAGAAAAAGCAAAAAACAAAAAAGAAATGGAGACATGACAGCAGTGGCCTAGATAAGTGCATTCTTTGATCTTTACAGCATGTAGGTGGTGCACACGGCTTCCTGGAGGCAAAAGGAGACCAGGCTAGTGCGACTGAGCCTATAGTATAAAAACCCTAGGCCGGGCGCGGTGGCTCAAGCCTGTAATCCCAGCACTTTGGGAGGCCAAGGTGGACGGATCACCTGAGGTTGGGAGTTCAAGACCAGCCTGACCAACATGTAGAAACCCTGTCTCTACCAAAAATACAAAATTAGCTGGGCGTGGTGGTGCATGCCTGTAATCCCAGCTACTCAGGAGGCTGAGACAGGAGAATCACTTGAACCTGGGGGTGGGGTGGGGAGGGCGCGGGCGGAGGTTGCAGTGAGCCAAGATCGCACCATTGCACTCCAGCCTGGGCAACAAGAGTGAAGCTCCGTCTCAAAAAAACAAAAACAAACAAACAAACAAAAACCCTAAGGTGTTTGCTTTGCTTATTTTCCTCTCTCTGTTTTGCTTATTTTCCTCTCTCTTTGTCCTCTCCTCTCCCTGTGCACACTTGCTGGCATGAAGTCATTCTGGTGGAGGGGAGTTGCTAATAATTGATTACCTTCATATCCTAACCCTCCAGGGTCTGCCTGCGAGATTGATGAACTTGTTTTCCTTCCTTCCTTCCTTCCTTCCTTCCTTCCTTTCTTTCTTTCTTTCTTTCTTTTTCTTTCTTTCTTTTTCCTTTCTTTCTTTCTTGCTTGCTTGCTTGCTTTCTTTCTCTCTCTCTTTCTTTTCCTTCCTTCCTTCCTTCTTTCTTTCTTCCTTTCTTTTCTCTCTCTTTTCCTTCCTTCCTTCCTTCCTTCCTTCCTTCCTTCCTTCCTTCCTTCCTTCCTTCCTTCTTTCTTTCTTTCTTTTTTTTGGAGTCTCACTCTGTGGCCAAGGCTGGAGTGCAGTGGCGCAATCCCAGCTCACTGCAACCTCTGCCTCCCGGGTTCAAGCGATTCTCCTGCCGCAGCCTCCCAAGTAGCTGAAATTACAGGCGCATGCCACCGCACCTGGCTAATTTTTGTATTTTTAGTAGAGATGGGGTTTCTCTATGTTAGCCAGGCTGGTCTCAATCTCCTGACTTCAAGTGATCTGCCTGCCTTGGCCTCCCGAAATGTTGGGATTACAGGCATAAGCCACCACGCCCGGCTTTGTTTATCTTTAAAGAACAAGATCCTTTGGTCAGATAGACATCCTTGAAGGCATCCAGAAGTTTCATCTGGCCAAGGGACCGAGGGAGGCAAGCAGCTTTGGTCATGGGATCGCCACTCCCGCATCCCCACCTTCCTCATAAAGCCTCAATTATGTCCAAAGGCAGGTCAGAATTGCGAGATTTTGTCTCCCGCCCTCTGGCCTTGGCCAAATCTTATAAACCTTTCGCTGCTCTCAGAGGTTCTACAACACTAGCACCCTGAAAAAAGTGCCCAGCCAAGCCTAGGTTAGGCCTCGACTAAAAACAAAAGCAAACTTGAAGTTTCACAACTTGGTCCAACTCTACTCACTCTTAGAACTAGGCGTGGCTATTATGTGGCTATTACGGGTGACTATGGTGCTACTGGGGTCCAGGCACCCAGAAGGGCTGCATATTTCTGTGCACACTACGTCTGCTTACCATGGCCTTTCTTACCAAGAAAACTACGTCTAAGTAAAAAATAGTAGAATGAGAGTTAGAATGAATAAGAAGTAAAATGAGAATGAGAATAGCTACCAAACCTAGTCAGAAGCCTGGATTAGAATACCCAAAATGGACCTGCCAGCCGACAAAGCACCTCCTGTGGCCACCAGGAGAAGAAGAAAGATAAGTTGGGAATGCAAATGAACACGAAACAGGTGTGTCCTCCCAGGCATAGAAGAGGTGGAACTTAAGACAGTGTTATAGACAGTCCTGCCCCTAAGGAGACAGAGTCAGCCCCGCCCCAGCAAAGTGTACGGCAGGCAGTGGAAGGAGAGCCAGGCATGAGCATAAACAACAGGCGAGCTGGAGTTTTTGTCTCTCAAACTGAGTAGTAAGGAGACTTTCAGGGTCAGCTTTTTGTTTTGTTCCCCTCCTCCCCCACACACACCTTTTTTTTTTTTTGAGACGGGGTCTCACTCTGTCGCCCAGGCTGGAGTGCAGTGGCACGATCTCCGCTCACTGCAAACTCCGCCTCCCAGGTTCAAGCAATTCTCCTGCCTCAGCCTCCCGAGTAGCTGGGACTACAGCTGCCCATGCCTGGCTAATTTTTGTATTTTTAGTAGAGAAGGGGTTTTGCCATGTTGGCCAGGCTGGTCTCAAACTCCTGACCTCAAGCGATCTGCCTGTCCCGGCCTCCCAGAGGGCTGGGATTACAGATGTGAGCCACCGTGCCCTGCTATTTCCCCTTTTTTTTTTTTCAAAATTTAACTGGAACTCATCCCCTTTATCCAATGGTCTCAGGCAGACATCTGTGAATACACCCTTCTCACCTCCAGTTGTAAACAGTCAATTAGTTCTCAACTGATAAATTGTGTTTTTGAAAGACCCAGAGAGGAATTTTGTCTTCATTTAGCTCTCAATTTTGCTTTTGTATACTTATTTGTGCAGTATATTAATTTGCTAAATTAATGTTCATTTGGGGGAATTATATGATCAGCTGTTTCACCATAGCCAAATAAAAATTTATCTTAAACTAGTGGTCACTAACGTTTCTTGAGGGAAACTGAGCTTGGCTTTCTGAAATATTCCACATGACCACCCAGTGGGCTAGGAAGGAAACCTGATATCCACTGAAAGGACCAGCCTCACCGGTGGTAAAACCAGCCTGTTCTGGAAGCCAGGGGGTGCGAATTGTTCATCTGGCCCCACCATTGGCCAACCATGTAACTGCATTAACTCACCCAACCTCTGTCACCTCGGATTCCTTAACGCATAAAAATACAGGAGTTAAACTCCTGCCTGATCCTGTCATTCCCTAAATCTGTTTTTGGGATTTGGACTCAGTTATAGGTGAATTTGTACTCCCTCTACTGGTGGATGAAAGCAAAACAGTAATAAATAAGGTGAATTTACTTCATGATACAATGTATTAATTTGGAGAACCATTGCAATTTTGGATTCTAGAAAGTGAGTTCAACTAATTGTTATCATCATAAGGAGAGTCTTTGGAATGATGATTAAGGCAGGATCCAGCACTTCTGGAACTAGTGGTTCCTTCATGAACCCTCTCATCTGCTGGTTCCTCAGCCTGAGAAGAAAGAGAAGCACTAATAATACCACTCCACTGATGTAATGCAGTAATATATTAGACACTACGGAAAGTACTCCATACTTGTTAGCCATTATTGCTGATATTTTGCTGGGGTAATATAAATTGAAGAGTTTCTGTAGAACTCAGCATCTGTTTTATCATACAGAGTATGTTTTATTTCATAAGAATTATAATGCTGTAATAGTGCATAATACATTTACTAATGCTATAACAGTGCATAAGAAATGAAATAAAATTCAATAATTTCAGGCACAACTCTGACCAAGCCTCACGACTTAGATTGAAAAGCTGTCATGTAGGTACACTGCTTGTTTGGAGTGGCTTATATTGGCTTCTAGCATGTTTACACTGACAGTGTCTTTGATAGTCCCTATGTAATATATAATTAAAGCCTGGGCAACATGGCAAAACCACATCTCTACCAAAAAAACAAAAAAAACAAACACACAAAAACTAGCCAGGTGTGGTGGCGAGCACCTGTAGTTCTAGCTACTTGAGGGCCGAGGTGGGAGGATCACTTGAGCCCAGGAGGTTGAGGCTGCAGAGAGCCATGATTGCACCACTGCACTCTAGACAGAGCAAGACCCTGTCTCAAAATAAATAAATAAATAAATAAATAAAATGAATAAAAACCAAAACACCCCAAAACAAAAAACCAAACTATAAAATATATAATTAAGATGAACTAAAATATCTCTATTATTTTCTTTATAGCAATAATTTAGGTTTTTAATAAGTAGCATCCTAGGTTAGAAAAGAACATAATTTACATATTTTATATTCAATTTTTAGATTAAAAAAATCCTTCAGATGCATAGATTCTAAAAACTTGCATTTTTATATGAAAACTTCAATTATTTAATTCACTATAACTGTAATATTTTTCAGTTTACTTTTAATTACAGTAGAGATTTTTTAACTTCTTCATTGTGGAATTTTAGACAGCAGGAGAGAAAATAATCTTATGAATCCCCATACATCTGAAGAACACCAGAATATTTCACCCCGAAATATGCTTCTTTGGCAAGTGGAAAGTAAAGTTACAGGAAAGGGCTGTCTGAGCTGCCCTTTCTTACCTAAGGCAGGCCATAAAAATTGCTGTGAAAAAATGCGGAGAAGCTTCTGCCTCCCCTATCTGCCTGAAGACAGAGATGTAAGTAGTGGTTCACTTATCAGTGCAGGGGCTGGCGCCAGCAGGGCCAGAGGAATCTGGGAGCAGGCTTTATTACCTTTCCATAGTTGTCCCACTTTTGGGAGCCTGGAGCTGCTTGGTCCTTTGTCCTGTCACTTCTGAATATATTGTTCTTTGCTAGATGTGCTATGTAAGCCAGGGCCCTAAGCCACCTTACTTTTGAACTCAGCTTTCTCCCCATGGGATAGACACACACGTAAATAAAAATGCTTTTTTTTCTCTCTCTTGTTAATCTGTCTTCTGCTAACAGGAATCTGTCCCACTAATGAACTTACAAGGATTGAGAAAAGAAATTATTTTTTCTCCTATGAAAGGAAGACAAAATCTTGGGAGCCCAAATTCGCTATGCCAAAATGGAAAAGTTAAGCTTGAAAACTGAGTCATGAAAAAACCAAAAAACCCTGCCTTTCCTTTTGCTCCTAAACTAATAGCTACAGATAGAAGGCCACATGTTTCCACAGGGGCCTCCCTCACTCTGACCATGTAAATTAACAGTTTATCTTCAAGAGTACGGGACGAGAGGAGCCTAGAAATTGTCCCGCTGCGCACCCTGAGACGAATGCATATTCAGTTGCTTCCTCTACTGAAGTTCACCTTATCTTATGTAGAGTACAGATGTACTGAGCAGGAGATGAATGCAGAATTGACGGTTCATCTACCCGCTCCTTTTCATGTGGATTCTAAAGAACGTGACCAGCCCTCCCTCTCCTTTTCCTTCTTTTCCCCTCCTGCCTCCTTTTCCCCTTTTCATATTGTAGCCCTCAAAATCCTCTTCAGAAAAAGGGGGTGCCACAGATCCTACAGTGGCTTGTGTCTCTGTTTGCCAGGTGCTTCCTCAACCTTGGCAAAATAAACCTCTAAATGGATTAAAATCACCTCCGTCAGGCCAGGCGCGGTGGCTCACGCCTGTAATCCCAGCACTTTGAGAGGCTGAGGTGGGCAGATCATGAGGTCAAGAGATTCATCTTGGCCAACATGGTGAAACCCTGTCTCTACTAAAAATACAAAAATTAGCTGGACGTGGTGGCACACGCCTGTAGTCCCAACTACTCAGGAGGCCAAGGCAGGAGAATCACTTGAACCCAGAGGCAGAGGTTGCAGTAAGCCAAGATCAGGCCACTATACTCCAGCCTGGGCAACAGAGAGAGACTCCGTCTCAAAAAAAAAAAAAAGAAAAAAAAAATCACCTCCATCATTTTCTTCAGTTCACCCACCCTGCACAGCCATCACCCACCTTCAACAATCACTGCCGTTTGTCTGCTGTTATTTCATCTGTTTCTTTTCCACCCACCCTCCCACCTCCCAAATTATTTAAAGGAAATTCCAGACATCATATCATTTCATCCAGAAACACTCCAACATATATTTCTAAAACATAAGGATTCTTTCTTTAACATAAACACAATATTATTAATAGCCCTAAAATCGACAATAATGTTAATATAATCCAGTATCTGGTGAGTGTGCAGATTTTCTCAATTCTCAGAAATGTTTGTTTTATATTTGGTTTGTTTGCATTGGGATCTAAACAAGGACCACATATCACATTGGCTTCATATGTATCACCTTTCTTTAATCTGTGATTTCCCTCCGTCTTCTTTTTTCCTTGCTATTTGTTGAAGAAACCTAATAATTTACATCTAGAAATTTCCAATTCTAGATTTTGTTGATTATGTCCCCATGGCATCATTTTCCTTCATCACCTACATGTGTATTTTTTACCAGACGAGCTCTCACTGTGTTGCCCAGGCTGGAGTGCAGTGACTGTACACAGGCGTGATTGTAGCCATCTTCCCACCTCAGCTTCCAGAGTAGCTGAGACTACAGACATGGGCTACTGCACCCAGCTCTCATTGGTATTTTTTGAAACCAGTTATTAGATCCAAGTCCTTGATTAGATTCAGATAATTTTTGTCTTTTGGGTACATATACTTCACAGGTAGTGTGTCTCTTTCTAGGGTATCAAGGTTATCCAGGTCCTGGCTGTCTCTGCCATCCATCTGCGTGTAGTACATGGCCGGTTGTTGCCTACTCTTAGCCTCGTCTATGGTGTAGGAAAAGAGTCCATTTCCACTTCCCACAATTGAACATTTCAGATAGCAAGATGGTCAGTCAACAAGGCTGCCTCTCTAGAATTTCCTTCTTATTTATTTGAATTCTGTCCTTTGTAAATTATAACTCAGTCAGTACAGTCAAATATTATGTAATAGCTTTTTTATCCCTACAGTGTCAACAAAAACAGCCAAACTCTGTATTTGAAGAGTTTTATTTTGAGCCAAATATGAGTGACCATGGCCGGAGGCGTGGCCTCAAGAGATCCTGAGAACGTGTGTCCAAGGTGGTTGGGCTGCAGCTTGGTTTTATATGTTTTGGGGAGACATATACAATACACATGAGGTTTAGTCCGAAAAGGCAGAACAACTCCAAGAGGGAGCTTCCAGGTTGTAGATGGAGTCAAGGATTTTCTGATTGGCAATTGGTTAAAAGAGTTATTATCTAAATAGAATAATAGAGGCAATAGAAAGGAGTGTCTGGGTTAACATAAGGGGCTGTGGACACTGAGGTTCTTATGAAATCTTATAGGTGGCTGCCCTTAGATACAATAGATGGTGAATGTCTCCTCTTCAAACCTTTAAAAGGTGCTGGACTCTTGATTGCTTGAGCCCAGGATGCACAGGTTGCAGTGAGCTGAGATCCCTCCACTGGACTCCAGCCTGTGGAGTGACAGAGTGAGATCCTGTCTCAAAAAACACAAACATAAAAATAAAAATAAAAAATAGAAATAGAAATAGATTCTCAATTAATCTCTTCAGGATTGGGAGGGCCTGGAAGGGGAAGATTTAGTTGTGTTAACAGAGATTCTTCACGGACAAAAATTTCCCCCACAAAAGACTCTGCAGGGCCATTTTAAAATATGGCGAAAAGCCCTACATATTTTTTGGGGTAAAATATTTTGATTTCTTTCTTTATCTTTCATGTGATGTTATGCCAGTGTTGGGTTGGAAAGTGAGCCACATTATATAGGGTGAAATAAAGCCCACCTGATGAGATGTTTTGGTTTGTAGTCGTGGTTTGTAGTCGTGACTCCGCAGGCCCCTTAGATAGGAATATGGGCAAGAGAGAAAAAAGGTCAGAGTTTACTTCTCAGTGAGAAACATCTCATAAATACATTAATGTTTACTTTTGTCCAGAAAAATACCTATATTTTCTCAAATATCCTGTCATTTTCTACACCAGATCGTTATTTTTCCCAGCGAGTGTTCACAATCTTATATTATTATCTTGGCTCAAGGTACATATCAAAATTATTTATTTAATATATCCGTCTTCAGATCTCCTGCCTTGCGAGGCCAATAGTGTTTGCTGTTAAAGTTGGCTTTGAAAAGATGAAGTGATAGGAACAGTAAATATTTCCATTATCTCAATTTTATATTGATATACTTTAAACATTTATTTATATAAGACATCATATAAGAGGAGACTTGGAAATACTTGGCCTTGAGAAAAAGAGCACATACCATAGTTAACTGAATGTCTGAAGACTATTGGGGAAGAAGGAGAGTGGGGAAGGAGAGGAAGACATGTCAGACCATGAGAATAAGAACACCTGGTTGAGCTCAATGGTGGTTTTTAGTTCTTAATAGGTTAATGAGAACCTTTTCAGTCATGTGACATGTTTTACATGGAAAACAAAATTGCAAGGATAACATGGATGTGTATTTTGTAAGACAATTACAAAATCATTTTCAAGTTCATCGCCTTAATCTTACTTCTTTGAAAGATGTTTCAGCATTGTGATGCGTTGCCCTTCACTGATGTTTATATTTACTGACTTACATGTACACAGACACAAAACAGTTTTCTTAGAAAGCAGTCTTGGAGACTGAGATTTGGGTACAGAAAGTTTATGGGAGAGTGCGCTAGAAATCAATGCCTTTGATGGGGTTCAGGGCAACCCCAAAATATGGCACCTTGGCATAGTGAATATGTTAAGCTGAAGGAATTCGAGAAATGGCAAGAAGGTCTCTCCAACCTGCCTCTGTCCTTCTTTCCTGAAGCAGGCGATAAGACCCTCATGTGAGAGGTGCCTTCCTAGACCTGGAGGACAACATTCTTATCTCCAAAGACAGAGGGGTATTGAGAGTAATTAGAACAAATGAGCCCTGCCAAGTGTCCCCCCGTTTACCCCTCTTAGCCCATACTCTTAGCCCGTGCTCTTAGCCCATATTCTGTCCTGTCACATTTCCCCAGGACTTTCCACTCTTCATCAAACAGCAGAAACACACCCCAGTTTAACCCTTTCTTTGTGTCTTCATTTTCTCATGGACATCTCCATGCCATGTAAAACTTATATTAATTAAATTTCTATGCTTTTTCTCTTATTAATCTGTCTTTTGTGAAGGGGTTCCCAGCTGAGAACTTACAAGGGTAGATGGAAGATATTTTTCCTCTCTTGCACCTGAGAGAGGCTGGAGGAAGCAGAACTGAACCCGTTGACCCTCCCAGCAGCTGTGGGAATGAGTGCTTGGGGTGAATCTGGGATTCCCTTTTCCAGTTTCACTGTTACTTTTTAGGAAACGAGCTGAGCTTCACTAGTTCTGTTTCTTTTATTTATATATTTGTAATTTCTTTTTTTGTTTGTTTGTTTTTGAGATGGAGGCTTACTCTGTCACTCAGGCTGGAGTGCAGTGGCACCATCTTGGTTCACTGCAACTTCCACCTCCCAGGTTCAAGTGATCCTCCTGCCTCAGCCTCCTGAGTAGCTGGAATTACAGGCACGTGCCACCGTGCCTGGCTAATTTTTGTATTTTTAATAGAGATGGGGTTTTGCCATGTTGCCCAGGCTAGTCTCGAACTCCTGACCTCAAGTGATCTGCCAGCCTTGGCCTCCCAAAGTTCTGGGATTACAGGTGGCCTTATTTATATATTTGTAACTAAAATTATTCTTTAAAAAGCACACGTCATGTTTAATTGTGACCTTGAGATAGATCACAATCTTAATTTGATAAGAAATAGTAAATTATATTTGCCATATTGTACTTTGGCCAAAAAAAAGGTGTTGATATGTCTGAGAAAGTTGATTTAAGAATGAGAATACAAATCAAAATAGATTTCTGTTTATGTTTCACTAACCAAAAACTATAGCCAGTATGTCTTCTAGATCTAGTTTATGATTCAGAATCCCCTCTTCTCATGTGAACCAGAAGAAAAGAGTGAGAGCAGAAAAAGCAGCAAGGTGTAATTTGGTTACCAGGCCCTCTTCTCACTGTTCTGGGAGGAGCAGTTTGCTTCAGGTAGACTGAGTGACTTATACATAGGGCCACCTGCATGACTGGAGCCCGAGGCAGTGGCGATGCTCTCTTTCCTTATGAAGAGATGGCCTCCAGTAGCAACAGATCATCTGTTGTCTCCAAACTTGGTTTCTCCTAGGTTTGTTTTTCTTTTCTTTAACAGAAGAGACCACTGTTCTTTTTTTATTCTTTTTTTTGGCGGGTGGGGGGAGGGGGGTGCGGTTAGGGGAGTGAGGTGGTTGAACTCTGAATCTGTATGAGCTTTTCAGATATTAGTATGATACATTGATAGTCACAATGTGAAGATGAATTTCTTTTAAAAAAACTGTCTGGCTAGGCACAGTGGCTCATACCTATAATCCCAGCACTTTCGGAGGCTGAGGCAAGAGGATCGCCTGAGCCCAGGAGTTCAAGACCAGCCTGGGCAACAAAACAAGGCCCTGTCTCTACCAAAACACCTACATATATATATTCCTCTCTCTCTAGGGGAAGTCTTTAATAAGTCTTTATCAAGTACATTCTGAGGGGCCACATTTTCTACATTTGCATTAGGAGACTGAAAGTAGGTTTATAACTTTTAAAGATCAAATTACTTCTATGCATTTTATGTGCCCCAATTTCAAGTGTAAAGGGCACATACAAAACTATGAAGAGGGACAGATGGCAACTGGACTTTACATAATGCTTGAAATAGACACACCGATGATCCTAAACACATTTTTAGATATCTAAAGACAAAAATCATCATTGAAATAGAATTTAAGTGAAACAAGATGATTTTAAATATATGTGTACTAAATATATATAATATATATTTAATTTAAAATTTTCTTGTTTCACTTAAATTCTATTTCAATGATGATTTTTGTCTTTAGATATCTAAAAATGTGTTTAGGATCATCAGTGTGTCTATTTCAAGCATTATGTAAAGTCCAGTTGCCATCTGTCCCTCTTCATAGTTTTGTATGTGCCCTTTACACTTGAAATTGGGGCACATAAAATGCATAGAAGTAATTTGATCTTTAAAAGTTATAAACCTGCTTTCAATCTCCTAATGCAAATGTAGAAAATGTGGCCCCTCAGAATGCACTTGATAAAGACTTATTAAAGACTTCCCCTAGAGAGAGAGCCTAACGAAAAGGAGTCCCAAAGCACTGACATGGAATTAGATTTTAAATGCTGTGTTTACATTTTCCAGTCTTTTGCTTTTTATCAGCACTGACTCTACCATTAAAGAATGTCATCTGAGCTAATTAACATGGTCCCATGGTTCATTTCCCAGTGAAATAACTAACTTTCAAAAGATTTTATAGACCCTCATGCAGCTTTTCTCCTATCTTCCATGCATAAAAATTTTGGCATATCGAGAATCTTCAATAAATATTTCTGGAGGAATGACTTTCCAATGATGTTCTGCCAGACTTAATGCAATAAAGAATAAATTCTATCATACTCTCTCTGATGTCATGCAGAAAAATTGAAATTCTGGGACATGTTGAGGTGAATTACTTCCATTCAAACTCATAAATAAAACCTAAGTTAGATTTAGTAGATACTGGCAATACTTATGGAGTGTTAATTAAGATAATTGATTTTTACCAAATGAATGAATTGGATATCAGTAAGCCACACACTGGATTGTGTAGCATCTCCGTGGTACCAAGACAAAGCTGCCTGTTAACATTTAGAATTCTATAACTTGTCTTTCATTCCATCATTAGAGAAAAGGTTCCCCATGAAACATTCATAATAGCGAATGACTGACTGGTCTCAAGTAAGGAACCAAGAGCAGATCCTAATGGTCAAGAGCTGTTGCCCAAAGGGATATGGGGCTCTGAAAGGGAGGGTGGAGAAAGGTACCAGAATATGCCACCCCAAAATACACTTCTTAGGCATAGGGATTCTTTTGACTAAGTAATTGAGAGCCAGCAGATGAAGGAAAAGCTCTTTACCTTCCCTGTCTGCGTGAAAAATCAACCTCCCCTTTTATAAAGGAAATTTACACTTACGAAGGTAACTTCCATTGGGAGAGGGGCCTCTGTACCTGGAAGACAGCTACTCCTGGAGAAAACCCCCCTCCTTTTTCTTAAAGACAGGGTCTTGCTCTGTTGCCCAGTCTGGAGTGTAGTGGTGCAATCTCAGCTCACTGCAGCTTTGGCCTCCTGGGATCAAGTGATCCTCCCACCTCAGCCTCTGGAGTAGCTGAGACTACAGGAGCACGTCACCACGCCTGGCTAATTTTTTAATTTTAATTTTTGTAGAGACAGAATCTGTTTATGTTGCCCAGGCTGGTCTCAAATTCCTAGGCTCAAGTAATCTTCCTGCTTCAGCCTCCTAAAGTGCTGGAATTACAAATAATTTTTATTTATTTATATTTTTATTTTTAGTGAGAAGATCTTCCTCTGTTACTAAAGAGTGGAGAGGAGTGGCACCCTCCTAGCTCACTGTAACCTCCAATTCCTGGTCTCTGGTGGTCTTCCTGCCTTAGCCTCCTGAGTAGCTGGGACTACAGGCACACACCACCACATCTGGCTAATTTTTTTCTTTCTTGTAGCGACAGTTTGTCACTGTTATCCAGGCTGGTCTTGCACTCCTAGGCTCAAGCAGTCCTCCCGCCTTGGCCTCCCAAAGGCTGGATTACTGGCATAGCCACTGCACCTGGCCACAGAGACAACTCTTTCCACCTCAGACTCTCACCTGCATAGCAAGACAGGCCGCATTTACCTGCATTTCCTCATTCTCTTTTCCATAACTTGCCTTCCCTCACTCAGAAGCCCCAAACCTCTTTTGCTTTGTTTGGCCTAAAGTGTACGTAAGCCTCAATTATCTGACCACCTCCTTGAGTTCATTTCTTTGTGAAACATCCATACATATGTGTGTAACTAAAACTTTGTTTTTCTTTTATTAATCTGTCAGTTTGATTTGCAGGTCCAGCCAGAGAATTTAGGGGAGTAGAGGAATAAAGGTTTTTTTCTCCCTTTCAATGGAAATCTCCAAGATAAATTTTTCTTTATAATTTTAATGCACCTAAATGAAGGGGAAATTTATGTCTAAGTAGACCAACAATTATATAGATAACAGGCAAATATAAACATCTCTTGACCATATAGAACTATTTTTGGTGTCTGTCTATGCTAATGAGAGTTGCCTTTAGGTAAGAGCACCCTTTTAACTTTTTTTTAATTTTTTTTATTTATTTTTTGAGACAGAGTTTCACTCTTGTCGCCCAGGCTGGAGTGCAATGGCACAATCTCAGCTCACTGCAACCTCCGCCTCCTGGGTTCAAGCAATTATCCTACCTCAGCCTCCCAAGCTGGGATTACAGGTGCCCACCACCATGCTTGGCTAATTTTTGTATTTTTAGTAGAGACAGGGTTTCACCACATTGGCCAGGCTGGTCTCCAACTTCTGACCTCAGATGATCCACCCGCCTGGGATTATGGGCGTGAGCCACCGCGCCCGGCAAGCACCCTTTTATTAATGCCACCCTTATATTAACTTTATTAACATGTTAATTCATCAGGAACACTCAGTTGAACTTGGTGCCCGACAACAGTGCTGATCAAATCCTCAGGGAGCCTCTTGTGACATCCTCATAGAAAAATGATGAGGCCGTACGCTTGTCAGGAGAGAGATCACCATGTTCCTACTACTTTCTGTAGCTCTGAGACCCCTTGAAGATTTTATTTTGCTTTAGGCTTCAGCCAGTCATGTTTTCTGTGAGATTTTTCATTAAGTTAGCTGGCTGTGAATATTCACCCTTCCCACTTGCAGGGGATAAGACAAAATTTCCCCTTTGTCCTCTTAAGGTTCCCTGGAAAATCAATTGACAAAGGGAAGATTAACTGGAAAAATGGCATACCAGTTTATTAACATGTGCACAGGGGAGATTCACAGGATGACTGCCCAATATCCCACTGGAGTCCAGATACCTGTATGGCCTCATTTCAGGGGACGGGTGGATAGGGAATATACGTGACTGTTGAGGGGCAATAAATGATTACCTGGAAGAATGAATGGATTGGGCAATGGAGATTAACCTGTAAATGGTTCCCTTTGGAAGCTGAATAAACCCAAGAGACAGATAATAGCTTATGGAGTCAGTTCAGGTGTGGTTTCATTCTTAATCTTTTCTGCGATAGATAATGAGATAGCAGGAGGAGAGGTTAAAAAAAAATGCTCTTGTTGGTAGGTTCATCTGGTCTTGATATAGATGGGAGAAAAGCCTCTTCCAATGTCTGTTGATCTCTGAGGGCCTTTAATTCAAAATACTTGTGATATCAGGGAGCCATATTTTGGGGTGAGGGTTTACCTTCACACTCTACAGAGGAAAAACTCAGTGGGGGGTGGTTCTTCATATATTTGCAAAAATTGAGAGTGCACAGAAGTCAGTCATGTACATCTCCAAATGGTTGAACTCTAAATGGAACATTGTGGTAGTCACCTTTTCAGAGAATCTGAAATTTCTTGCCTGAGTATTCAAGAGTCATTTCCTATAAGTCCAGGCAACCAGTTCTTGACAAATAGCTGTATCAGTTTCTGGTGGAAACCCAAGTCTGATTATCAAAGGGATCAAATTCCTTTTGAATATGAATTATTTCATTGTACTTTACACCCGGAGTCAGGGATTATGTTTTTCTCCCTTGCTTTGAAGGAGTTCAGAATGTGCCACCCCAAAATATGCCACTTTGAAATAGGATTATTTTGAGCTGAAAGCAATTAAAAAGAACAGATGCAAGAAAAACTCTCTGACCTCCCCCTCTCTACCGGGAAGGGCAGGATAACTCTCAATGGCCAGAGGTAACTCTCTAGAGACCCTTCCCAGCCCAGAGAATCTGTGTAAGAGAGGAATCTACAGAATGAACCATACTAATAGCCCTTGTCTTCCCTTGTTTTCCTTCATCGATTTACCTTTCCACAATTTGCTGGCCTTAGAACTGAAGGCCCCTTTCCCTTGTGTTGCTACTTCTCTACAAAATTCTTGTTCTTTTGTTAAGATGGTAAAATATAAACCCAGGTTCTAGCCACCTGTTTGACCTATTCGTTACCGAGTACTCCTGTGTGTATGGGCAATGCACTCGTTAATGAATTTCTGTTTGTTTATCTCTTGCTAATCTATCTTTTGTCTGTCTAATTGGCAGTCCCTAACCCATGAAACTAAGATGGGTAGAAAGTCAGAGAATGTTTTTCTCCCCTACACTTTATACTGGCAGCCCTGAGAACAGTGCATGCCCAGTACAAGCTTGCTTGAAGAATGGAGAATGTTTTTCAGAAGTACTGTACTCATTAGGACAAAGTTTTGATGAACTTTTATATCTAAATTCATGATAAATATCTTCGTTTTTCAGTTTCCATGAAGCCCTTACACAAACAGTATTATATTAAGGACCATAGACAAAGATATGCCCCACTCTTCCCCTAATGTTTCTAAAAGTTGGTCACAATCAATTTGTTTTGAAAGAACTACTAAAACAATAAACACCAGATAAAGGAAAAGCTGCCAAGTAGAAATGAAAAACATTTAAACATTGAAGAAAATAGTTCCATATGAGTGATAGCAGCAGGAGGCAGTCACATGCCTAGCCAATAGGGGCAGGTCCCGGTGAAACCTCACCTCCAAGCTGAAGACAGTTTAAAGCCTAAAAGCCAAGCACAAGTTCAATCTTCAAACCGGACTGAGAACTTGTCTTCCCATTTGGCATACTTTCCTCTGATTAATCCCCACCCTTTACCTATTTTACATATACCTACCCTTTCCTAATTGGTTCTCTGCACTGTCACGCCCACCTTTGAGTGATGTCTTTGCTTTAACCTTTTTTGCATACTCACAAACCAATCAGCATGCACTCCCCTATTCTGAGTCCATACAAAGCTCTGGACCCAGCCACAGAAGAACTACCCGACTGTGGGGGTCGGGGACGACTCCCGCGTCCCCTCTCTGCTGAGAGCTGCTCCATCACTCAATAAAATTCTTCTCCGCCCTCCTTGCACTTCAGTGTCCAGCATATCCTCATTTTTCTCGAGCACAATACAAGAGCTCGGGAACTGCCAAACGCAGGTACAAGCTATAACACAGGTGAGCTGGAGCGTTGCCTGCTGGGGATCCTCGGCTGGCAAAGTGACCGAGAAGAAAAATCCTATATCATGAGGGCTTGAGAATATGCTTTTACGTCCTGTTAATATCTTGGGGCAGTGTAGGGGAGGAGCAAACCATTTCCCTCTGCTCTCCTAGGTACTCTGGCTGGGGCCCAGGAAATTAAACTGAAAAATGACATATCAACAAGAGAAAAAAGGTTTAATTATATATGTGGGCACGGGAGTTTCACAAAAAATTGACACTTAAGGAAGTGGTCAGATGACTGAGGTTTCTATACCATTTTAGGCTTAAAAAAAGAATATGGGGCTTTGGAGGGGTGGGAGGAGGAATTCTGGAAGGTAAAGAGAGGAAATTCATGGTAAATTAGTGCGGTCTTGCTGTGCAGATAAGTGTTGTTTCCAGGTAATAGGAAGAAACTCTCTTCCTGATACAGCGACACTTTTAGAGACAAAAATGTCCTTTATAAATGGAAATTTCTGTTACAAAAGGGGGAAATGTATACTCTGTTTTCAGGCAGTTGGGAGAAGGTAAAGGGCCTTTCCTTCCTCTGTTGGTTCTCAGTTGCCTTTGGCTCAATATCATCCACATGCCAATGAGGCATATTTTGGGATGGCATATTCTGATACCTTCCAGCTGCAAGAAATAGGGGTTAAGACTGCAGCTGTTGATAGCTATTTTATTTTCGAGAACATTTCAGGACAACCTTTGAAAAGAGGAGTCTGGCTGTAGTGGCTCATGCCTGTAGTCCCAGCACTTTGGGAATCTGAGGTATGTGGATCGCTTGAGCCCAGGAGTTCAAGACCAGCCTGGGCAACATGGCAAAACCTTGTCTCTGCAAATACAAAAAAATTAGCCAGACGTGGTGGTGCACACCTGTAGTCCCAGCTACCTGGGAGGCAGAGGTGGGAGGAGCACTTGAGCCCAAGAGGTTGAGGCTGCAGTGAGCTGAGATTGTACCACTGCACTTTAGCCAGGGTGACGGAGTGAGACCCTGTCAGAAAGAAAGAGAGAGAGAGAGAGAGAGAGAGAGAGAGAGAGAAAGAAAGAAGAGAAGAGAAGAAAAGGAGAGAGGAAAATGTGTTGACTGAGGATGGGTTATCTCTAGGATCTCTTTGGATTCCTCAATGTGTTGCAGAACAATAGAAAAGCAGAGTAGGATGGGAGTCATAAGGGCTCTCCCACTAGGGCAGGCATCCAGAGTGAGCAGCAGATGCTAACAAGGTTTATCTCAGTGTCAGGGCTCCTTAATAACTGATATCATAAATATATTATACTTTGAAAAAAGTATTCACAGTAATAACAAAGATGGGAATGTCAGAAGCATTGGAACCAGAGCGACTCCATCTTGAACAGGAGCTGGGTAAAATAAGGCTGAGATCTTCTGGGCTGCATTCCCAGGAGGAATAGTCACAGGATGAGAGGGGAGGTCGACACAAGATACAGGTTACAAAGATCCAGCTGATAAAACAGGACACAGTAAAGAAGCCAGCCACAACCCACCAAAACCAAGATGGCAATGAAAGTGACCTCCGGATTGAGATGATGTCTTTGGAACTGGAGGCTATCATTCTTAGCAAACTAACACAGGAACAGAAACCAAACACTGCATGTTGTCACTTGTAAATGGAGCTAAGTGATAAGAACTTATGTAATAATAATAAAAAAAAGAACTTATGAACACACAGAAGGAAACAGCAGACACCAGGATCTACTTGTGGGGGGAGGGAGGGACGAGGGAGCGGAGCGGAAAAGGTAACTACTGGGCACTCAGCTTAATACCTGAGTGATGTAATATTATGCACAACAGACCCCCATGTCACGTGCTTATCTGTGTAACAAACCTTCACATGTACCCCCAAACCTACAATGAAAACTAAAAACCAAGAAAGTCATCTCAGTCATCCTCAGTATATGCTAATTGTAATGAGTTAGCATGCTAAAAGACATTGCCACCGGCGCCAGACTGTTTACAAATGCCATGGCAATGTCTGGAAGTTACCTTATAAGGTCAAAGAGGGGAGGGACCCTCAGTTCTGGGGCAAATCCCCACCTATTTCCAGGAAAACTCATGAATAATCCACCTCTTGTTTAGCATATGGTCAAGAAATAACTGTAAGTATACCCAGTGGAGCTGCGCATGCTGCTGCTCTGCCTATGAAGGAGACGTTCTTCATTCTTTTTTTTTTTTTTTTTTTTTGAGACGGAGTCTCACTCTGTCTCCCAGGCTGGAGTGCAGTGGTACAATCTCGGCTCACTACAACCTCTGCCTCCCAGGTTCAAGCCATTCTCGTGCCTCAGCCTCTCGAGTAGCTGGGATTACAGGCGTGCGCTGCCACGCCCAGCTAATTTTTGTATTTTTAGTAGAGATGGGGTTTCGCTATGTTGGTCAGGCTGGTCTCGAACTCCTGACCCGATGATCTGCCCACCTTGGTCTCTTTATTCCTTTACTTTCCTAACAAACTTACATTCACTTTCCTCTATGGACTCACTCCCAATTCTTTCCTGGGCAAGGTCTAAGAACCCTCTCTTGGAGTCTGGCTCGGGACCCCCTTCCGGTAACAGGAATGGTGCCCCAGGCTGACTACTGGGTTCCATGGCGTCACAGGGACCAGGATATGCTCTGGCGGGATCTGTGGTCTTAACAGGTAACCCAGGTAGCAAGTACTTTGTTCTACTTCTTCACTGGCCCCTGAAAACCCACAGGAAATGTTTCCCATCACGAGATTGCCCTGCCAAACTGAGAATGAGAGATAGCTTTCCTCCTCGGTAAAGAGAGTTAGGTCTGCAGATTTTGTGTGTAGAGAATATGTTTGAAATACTTTCCACTCACTGGTCAAACTTTTGGAAGAAAACGTCTTCTAAAATGGTTTTTCTTTGATCCAGGAACTCTGTTTTTGTTTATGAGAATATTATTGTCATGAAAACTTTAAAACGTAGAGAGAATAATATGATGAACACCCACCAATCTAAGTCATATTATTTTCTGTATCTAAAAGCCAGATTACTACCTATATGTTGCAATCTAGCTATATGTTGCTTCATATAAATAAAATATTACAGATACAGTCAAACTCTCCTTTTTCTTATTCCCAAAATGATTACCTTCCCTTCTGCACCACAGGTAATGGTAATTGCACACTGGTGGATATGCTTCCTATTGTTATTTGTTTTTATTTTTATTTTTTTTTTTTTAGAGATGGAGTGTCACTCTGTTGCTCCAGCTAGAGTTCAGTGGGGCAATCACAGCTCACTGCAGTCTTGAACTCCTGGGATCTTCCCACCTCAGCTTCCTGAGTAGCTGAGACATCAGGCACACACAATCAGCTATTTTTTTTTTTTTTTTTTTTTTTAGGGACAAGGTCTCCGTGCATTTCTCAGGCTGGTCTCGAACTCCTGGACTCAAGTGATCCTCCCACCTTAGTGTCCTAAAGCACTGGGATTACAGACATGAGCCATCATGCTGGCCCTATTGTTATTTTTATATATTTACTATTTTTACATATAACCATACATAATATATTTAGTATCTTCAATTTTATGAAAACAAAATCATACTTCTATTATCTGCAACTATGTTTTCATTGAATATTATGTTTTTGAGATTACTCATTTTGACACATAGTGTGCTAATTTATTTATTTAACTGCTGTATATTAGTGCATTGTATTATTTTATGATAATTCATTCTTCTACAAATGGATATTTAAAGTACTTATATTTTTCACTATTACAAACAATGCTATAATGAACATTGCTGGGGAAATTTAATTTAAACCAAAATCTTCTCCCAACCTAGAAAACCTCTTCACAAAGGTAGCAGAGAAAGAAAACAGTTTTTAAAAATTGAATAGGCATTAAATCAGAATGTGCTATATATCACAGACAACCCACAAAGAGATTGCAAAGACAGAAAGAAATCTCACCCCTTCGTATAACCAAGCAGATACAATTCATTACATACATGCTCTCAAGGTATATAATAACTAGTCCTCAAGTGAGAGAATGTGATAGCACCATTTATTACACACAGTTCATCCTAAATTCACCTGGTAATCACTTTTAAATGAGGGAAAAATAAACATTTATTTTTATGACAAGAGGTAGTTTTGCAACTAGGAGCAAGGCATCCCCCAAAGACAGGCTCTTACTCTCCCCCAGAAACTGGGCCACAGAGGCACTGTCTCACTCGATGTTTACAAAGAGGTGATTTCCAGGTGCTTGAGAAAGCCATTCCTGGGTCGTAAAGCTGGCAAGAGGCTTATTGGGCTTGGAAAAAGATTTAGAGA
Organism: Homo sapiens; assembly: GCF_000001405.40. Classification (NCBI taxonomy): domain Eukaryota; kingdom Metazoa; phylum Chordata; class Mammalia; order Primates; family Hominidae; genus Homo; species Homo sapiens. Next base: position 186,455,936 of record NC_000004.12, on the reverse strand, counting down.
CAGAAAAGGAACTTACAATTACAAATCTTCTAAAGTAAATGTTCTAAGAAAAGAGAGAGGGAGAAGTTTCTTACCTTATTTTCAAACGGAAGAATTCGGCTATCATTTTTAATCTTTTTTATTTTTATTTTTATTTTTTATTTTATTTTATTTTATTTTATTTTTTTTGAGATGGAATCTTGCTCTGTCACCCAGGCTGGAGTGCAATGGCGTGGTCTCAGCTCACTGCAACCTCCGCCTGCCAGGTTCAAGCAATTCTCCTGCCTCAGCCTCCCAAGTAGCTGGAATTACAGGCACCCACCACCACGCCTGGCTAATTTTTGTATTTTTAGTAGAGACAGAGTTTCACCATGTTGGCCAGGCTGGTCTCGAACTGCTGACCTCATGATCTGCCCGCCTCGGCCTCCCAAAGTGCTGGGATTACAGGCGTGAACCACTGTGCCAGGCCCACTTTTAATCTTTATTTGTCCTTAAAATATTATTTTACATGTCTCACTGCAGATGTGTAAGGTATTAATATAATGCACGTAACAAGTAAAATTGCTCTTTTGTAGAACTTGTACTTTTGGGGGGTAGCTTTCATAGACATAATCAAAATACTTTCAGGATGGTTTTTCAAGTTTATACCCACACTAATGACGGATGAGTATTTCCATTTTTCAAAATTTTCACAATACTTGATAATGTTAGACTTTATAATTTTTTTCTTTTTTAGCATCAGGTTGGTGAAAACAGGTTTCATAATGTGTACAAAATGGATGGGTGAAAATGGTGTCAGCTTTAGTTTAACTTTTTATTTCCCGGGTTATTAGTGAAGTTTTGGTATCTCTTCACTGGCCACTTGTGTTTTTTTTCTGTGATTTGCCTATTTGTTTTCTTTGAGAATTTTTCTGTTCAGTTATCTTTTTAATATATTTTTCAAACTCTTACAAATCCTGAACATTATCCCTCTATTAATTAGATGCTTTGCAAATGGTCTGCTGATCTGTGGTTTGTCTTTTTGAGGAAAGCCTAAATAATTTTCAATGTGATTATTATACTTAATACAATAAGGCTGTCCTGACAGTGTTAACAAGAATTCTGGACAGAAATGTTGTTGTAATTAAGCAATAATCAGGCTGCGCTTTGACCCACTTCCTTGTAACTGAAAGGGCTGTTGCACCCGGCACTGAGCACTCACGTCCGCACTGTTCCTATAGGGAGGATTTCTGACCTTAGAATCATAAGGCTTGTGTTTAAGAAGTGCTTAAGCAGATTCTGAATTCCAGGAGAATAGTTGATGCCACCAGTTTGAAGACCCCACAGAGGAGCCAAATCAACGTGGGAATGCTGTTTCTTCATCTTCTTGTCCCAGTATTTCACCCTGCACTCTTTGACCAATCCATGATCTTCACACTTCAGCCTACTCCAAAATTCTTTAAAAACCCCACCCTCCTACTCCCCAGGGAGATGAATTTGGGGTTTCCTCTCATCTCCTCATTCAGCAGCCCTATGATGAAACCCCTTTCTCTGCTGCAGCCCCATATCTCAGTATGTTGACTTGCTGTGTGAGTTGGGCAACAGACCTATTATGGTTACAAGTGTTATAATAAACTGAGAAACTATGTCATGTTAAACATATATACTAGGACTCCTCCAAGCATACTCACACGGTTGTTGGCAAGCATCGAGCCCTTTCTCTGTGGGTCTCTTCAGAGAAACTGCCTCATGGCGTGGCTGCCGACCTCCCCCACAGGAAGGAGACCAAAAGAGAACATCAGAGAGTGCCCGCGATGGAGGCCACAGTCTTCTTATAGCCTAACATTAGAGCAGTGTCCCATAACTCCTCCAATACTCCATTCATTAGACGTAAGTCACTAAGTCCAACTCATACTCAGTGGGAGGAGATCCTATAAGGGCATCAATGCTAGGAGGTCGGGACATTTGGGGTCATCTTAGAAGCTGTCTACTGCAGTAGATTTTTGAGTATTTACCTGTCTATGAATGTTATAATCCCATTCTCACATTGGATTAATAGTTGGGTTAATTATAAAATTCTAGGTTGCAAGTCATTTTTCTTCATAAATGTAAGGAATTTCTCCAAAGTTGTTGAGAAGGTGGCCATCCTCCTGATTTGTGATGTGACTTGTTTTTCTTTATGGAAGTTTTTAGCAGCATCTCTCTATTTTTACGTTTTTACAATGAGGTCCTTCACTTTGGGAACTTTTTCTTGAACTTTTTCTTTGATTATTTTTTCTTCCCTTTTCTTATCTTTAAATTTCCTATTGGAGAGATATTGGCTGTCTTCTTCTTTTCTTCTCATGTGATCTCATTGTATCTTTTTCCTCTTCGTTTTGGTCTATCTTTCATGCTGGAAGATTTTTCACGTGTCTGGTGATTGATCCTTGGCTGTCCATTCATGGTTGAAAATGAACCACTAAAAAGCTGGTTGGATGCTCTGTAGGTAAGAGCTGAATTTGAGGGCTTGAGGATTTCATTGAGAAGGCCACAATATAGTGAACTGGTAGTGTCAGAGTCCTGGGGGAAAAAAAGGCAGTGTTTAAATTAGGACAATTTTTAGGAAAATTGAGTGAAATGACAACTTACAATGATGTAGACAGAATTGAAACTACCTTTGCAAGGATTATGACAGCAAGGTAAGTCTAGCATGGCTGATTCCATCTTGCTTCTAGCCCCACAGGCTGGCTGTCCTCACTTATTCCTAGGCATGGGCCAAGATAACTGATATGGTTTAGCTCTGTGTCCCTACTCAAATCTCATCTTGTAGCTCCCATGATTCCCACGTGTTGTGGGAGGGTCTGATGTGAGATGATTGAATCACGGGGGCAGATCTTTCCCCTGCTGTTCTTGTGATAGCAAATAAAATCTCACGAGATCTGACAGTATTTTAAGGGAGAGTTTCCCTGCACAAGCTCTCTTTGCCTGCCGCCATCCACATAAGATGTGACTTGTCCCTCCTTACCTTCTGCCATGATTGTGAGGCCTCCCCAGCCCTGTGGAACTGTGAGTCCAATTAAACCTCTTTCTTTTGTAAATTGCCCAGTCTTGGGTATGTCTTTATCAGCAGCATGCAAATGGACTAATACAATAACTATGGGAGGAATTTAGTTTCTGGTTTAACTTTAAAGCAAGGATGATAACAGTTCCCCCCTAAAACTGACTCCCTCCTTATTTGGGGACTGAAACTGCCTTTGTAAGACTAATGAAAGGCCACTGTCTGAGAACTGAAGCCACCATTGTAAGATAAAGGAATGGCCACAAGATTAGGATGATGGGAGGGGCCTGAACTCTTCTAAGATGTAGGTGTAGTTAAATGATATCCAGCCATTGTCCCCTAGATTTCTTTCCTATGATATCTTGCTGCTCAGTAGTCATGTGGCCAGAGGTCACAAGATTTGTGACTTCTCCAGTTACTCCTGTAAATAACATCACTATTGTAGAACCTACAATTGGTGTTTTGAGATGTTTTTTAGACTTTTGCATTCTGGTAACAGACTGACCCCAACCAGACCCATGACTCATGACTCAGCTGGTCCTGTGACCCCCACCTGGAGGCTGACTCTGCCCACGAGGAGCATTTTCTACACCCCTATGGTTTCCTCCCCAACCAATCAGCAGCACCCATTCCCTAGCTCCCTGCCTGCCAAAGTATCCATAAAAATCCTAGTCTCTGAGTTCTCAGGGAGGCTGACTTGGGTAGTTAACTCCCATCATACCACTTGTCTAGCCCTGTGAGCATTAAGCTCTTTCTCTACTGCAATACTGTTGTCTCAGTGAGTTGGCTTTTTCTGTGCAGCAGGCAAAAAGAACCTGTTGGGCATTTATAGAGTGTTGAAAACACGCAAGGAATTGGGAATTACTCTGAGTTTATTGCCACTCCTGGGCTCAAAGGGATGGAGGGAAGAAGTGATTACCAGAGCTTAGAAAATGAGAGTCTTGGAAGAGAAACCAAGATGCCTGATCAACAGCTCAGTCAGCAGAAAGCAATCCTGTATGTAGGGGAACCAGTGCATAAGTGCTCATGACATATTCTCCTTCTACCCTTACATCTATTGCTGGGCTCCCTAGTAGTTGAACCAAGTAAAAAGCCAGAGGGCAATGAGGATCACTTATGTAGCCTTTACAGCTCAGATTCCTAGGGCAGAGAAGAGGGTGCAGAAGAGAGAATGAATTTAGGGGAACACTGGAAATCTGGCATGCTGACTTTTCCATTGGGAGCATCTAAATGTCTTTTTTTCTTGAGCTCCTCAGTTTTCTCAAGAGGAGTCTCCCAGTTTCCTGTTGCTGTTGCAGAGGTGGGGTGGGTGGAGGTATGTTAGAAGCCTAAGACCAGTATTCTAAGAGCCAAGTAGGAGAAGTGAGCTGGGGGTGGAAGACCTCTCCATTTGGTATGCAGATGTCTACCTAACATCCCTGTTTTCAGGACATCATTTTAACAGACCCTCAGCGGAGACTGGTATCCCTCCAAGGCCAGACCTACTATGGTTGAGCCTCTTCAGAAATTAAGCCACTCTTTTTTGGCTTGTGTTTGGGATATAAGGTGCCTGCACTTAGTTTATAAACTTTGTCCCAGCCCCACTCCACACACCATCCTCCAGAAATTCATTGTGCCCCAAATGTTTTAACTTTTTAGGGTTCTGTCACATGTTGGCTTACTTCTTGTTACTTTCCTTCTTGCAGAGTCATGTCTCTGCCTTAATAAGTCCATTCACTTTCCAACTTCAAAAATGTTGTTGATGTCTTTCACTATGCCTTTAAAAATTGTTTTTTCATTATTTTAGTGAGCAGAGAATGCAGAGGAAGATATGTGTTAAATTTACCAGATTTAACTAGAAGTACTGCCGCCCGAGTTCGTGCCATTCTCCTGCCTCAGCCCTCCCAAGTAGCTGGGACTACAGGTGCCCACCACCACGCCTGGCTAATTTTTTGTATTTTTAGTAGAGACGGGGTTTCACTGTGTTGGCCAGGATGGTCTCGATCTCCTGACCTCTTGATCCACCCTGACCTCGTGATCCACCCTCCTCGGCCTCCCAAAGTGCTGGGATTACAGGCATGAGCCACCGCCACCACGCCCAGCTGATCCCATGGATTTTGCAGTAGCTTCCCCCCTGCACCCCCGCAGCAGCCTGTAATATGTGAGACAGAAGGAAGAGGAATGCCGTGACCATGGAGCCGTGGTACAGACGATTGGGAGGCAGGAACACTGAATGTAATCAGAGCAAGTCTCTTTTTTGGAAGGAACTTTTAAATCAAGACTTAAAGAAACAGAAGGAGCCAACCACACAAGGATGGTTTGGAATTGAGTTCCAGGCAGACGGAACATCTCAAAGGTTCCAAGTCAGGAAAGAGTGAGTTAAGTTCAAGGTACTGAGAAGAGCAGAGCGGCTGGAACACGGAAGAGCGAAGGACTGCTTCCAAGTGAGGCTGAGAGGGAGGCAGGACTACATCCCCTGGGGTGTTGTTGACCACGACAATCACAGCTTCATTTTTTTTTCAACTTTTATTTTAGGTTCAGGGGGTATCAACACGCAGTGTAAACCCACTGAAGTGCTTTCTTTAGGCACAGAACGGGGCAAGTAGAAAGCAAGTCAGAAGAATACTATAATATGTCAGGGAGAGGAGGTGGTGATTTGGCCGAGGGTAGGATCTGTGGACATCAAGGAAGGTAGTAAATTAGTAAAAAAAAAATAGAAAAATTAGTATTAAAAATAGACATTCGAGTTAGACTGCAAAGGATTTAGTGACGACTATGATGGCGGGGAAGAAGGAGAGGTTGTGGTTGCGTAATCCATGTGCAGTCTATACAACTGGGTGGTTTGTGATGAAAAATACTGAGAAGGGGAAGACTGGAGAAGGAGTCTGGCGGGGAAAGACAGGCTCAGTGTCAGTTTGGGAAATATACAGTCTAGTCCTTTGTTGGGCGTGCTGGACCTCCTGCAATCTGCTCCTTGCTTTGCTGCATACGTCCATCACTACATTTCTGAATATTTCGTCCACACCAAACAAACTGTCCCTTAATACAGTGCCCACTTTTTTCAGTTCAGTTCGGTTCTAGTTTATTTATTTTGTAAATGTTGATTTATTTGAAAATATACACATACAAATGTTGAGAAATTTAAAGAGTACATAAAAGTTTACACAAAAAATGTTAGGTTTCTACTAAGATCCCATGATTATTCCCTGACCTCCCACTATTGATGACCATTAATACTAAGTTCTTGTTTGTTTTTCCAGAAATATTCTGTATGTTTAAAAGTATACAGAGAAAACATTTTGCAAATCACAGAGGATAACACAGAGATACCATTCTGTAGCTTTCTCTTATTTATTTTTATTTATTTATTTATTTTTGAGGTGAAGTCTCGCTCTGTTGCCCAGGCTGGAGTGTAGCGGCATGATCTCGGCTCATTGCAACCTCCGCCTCCCAGGTTCAAGTGATTCTCCTGCCTCAGCCTCCCTAGTAGCTGGGATTACAGGGGCATGCCACTCTTTTACTGTTAAGATTTTAAAATGGAAATAAGACACAGAAGCACACAAATCATAACTGCACATTTCTATGAATCTGTCACAAAGTAGGCACATCATTGTAACTACGATGTTACAGTGTAACTCTTGGCCTAAGAAGGCTAAGAAATAGCACATTTTCAGCACTCTCGTGTCTCTTCCAGATATATCCCTCTCTCTCCTCTACCAAAGCAACCACTTTGGTGAAATGATTTCTAAAACCTTATATTAGTTTAGGAGCTTACCACAAGCAAGGAATCATGCCATGAGGGAAAAGAACAACCACATACAAAGGGGGAAGCTGAGCCTGCCTACCTAAGAAACCTGGGCGCTGCGGCTCTGAATTCTCCAGCTGACTCTGCTCCAGGGAGCAGGGTTAAGGGATAAATCAGGTGATTACATATCCATCTTGTCACAGTCATCTGTTATTGCGACTTGAAAAGAAGCCCCAGAAATCAGGGACTCTGGGCCCGGTGTGGTGGCTCACACCTGTAATCCTAGAGCTTTGGGAGGCTGAGGCAGGTGGATCACTTGTGCCAGGAGCTTGAGACCAGCCTGGGCAACAAAGCAAGACCCCATCTCCACAAAAAGTTAGTAAATTAGCCAGGCATGGTGGTGTGCACCTGTAGTCCTAGCTCCTCAGAAGGCTGAGGCAGGAGGACTGTTTGAGCACAGGAAGTCCAGGCTGCAGTGAGCCATGATTGTGCCACTGTGCTCCAGCCTGGGTGACACAGTGCAACCCTGTTTCTAAATTAGAAAACAACAACAACAAAAAAAAGCAGAAAAGAAATCAGGGGACTCTGGCTGCCTGGGAAAAACAGGATGCTCAAGACTCAAAGAAACTAGGTGGCTAGTGGAGCGCTGATCCTGCTCAAACCACAACCCCAGAGGCTGGGCCTACCTCAGGGTGAGCAGAGAACAGGGATGCAACTCTAAATACCAAAAAATACTTTGGGAAAACAAGCATTAATCTGTTTAGTGTGACTAATGTTGATCCAATTTATATTTTTCAGTAATAAATTTCTTTATCTTCTTTCCCACCCATCATCTCTGTGAGGACAGGTTAAAAGTTCCTTTTCTCTTTTAGTTAATTTCTTACCACTAAAGCCTCTCTAGAAGGAAGAATGATGGTCAGCGGATGGTATCTTAAAGTGATAATAGAGCTGTGTGAATTGTTGAATGTACAGTAACATAGTGAATTAATCTTTATCTTTTCTTACTGGCTGAGAATTTCTTTTTAAATTTTGATATTTATCCCCCCAGCATGTTGGCCTAGCAGAGATCAAAGAAGCTTATAAAATTGAAGGCAGTTTTTATACATGGTAAAACTACTGGGAATTATTCAAAAATCCTTTGGGTTTTGTGAGCTTAAAGACCAAAACTGTAAAACAAACACCAAGATTTTAATAAGGATGGAAGCAAGATAATGCCTTTTTGCTTGGGTTAGAAGATTCGACCTAATCTAAGTTCACCAGATACAATGTTTTTGGGAAACTCTTCTTTTAATCCTGTGCATTCTGACGTGTTGAGGGAAGTAGCCCCTTGGCGCTGGTGGTTGGAACTGCTGTCATCTTTGTTAAACAATCTGTGACACCAAAATCGAAAGGCTGGCCCAAAGAGATTTCCCCCCACTGACCTAAATGGCACCTAAAATGTTAAGAAATGCAAATTGTATAATGATTTAAGACTGTTTCCTGAGGGGCTAGCATATTGGCAGAAATGAATTTTTATAGGATTAGACCCTTTACTGCTCCTTTGACACCTAAAAGTAGGGAAGTATTTTGAGAGAGCAGGAGGTGGCAGTCACCTTATATAAGGCGTGGATTCTGAAGCTGGAATGTCTGTAAGTAGTGAGACGGTAGTTTGAGGAGGAGTGATACCAAGGTGTATGCAGTTTATGTGAAGTTTAGCCCATCTCATTTTAAGTTGTGGGCTTTAGACGTAATCTTGTGCCAAGACATTAGCTTTCATGTCCATCTTCCTTGACGAACATGGATATATCAGAAGAACATCTGCAACAGATTAATAAAATTAATTAAAAAGGAAGTTAAAGAAAAGACTAACCCTCTGGCTTCGAGGATTAAAAATGTGTAATTGAGGATCAGACTTGTCTTTGAGCTTCCTATCAATCAGATTGGCCACCCAGTAATCTATCAAAAAGCTAGTCCTTTGTAATTTAGCAAATTGGGAAATGACTAAAAATACCACACACCTTTAACAATTTACCAACCCTATCTCTAAACCAAGTTCTCACAGAACAAACAATTGGAACTGAAGTTACCTTCTTGTGGAATATCTTTTGTTGCACAGTTAAAAATAGAGAGGCCAGGTGCGGTAGCTCACACCTGTAATCCCAGCACTTTGGGAGGCCAAGGTGGGCAGATCACCTGAGGTCGGAAGTTCGAGACCAGCCTGGCCAACGTGGAGAAACCCCGTCTTTACTAAAAATACAAAATTAGCTGGGCGTGGTGATGCATGCCTGTAATCCCAGCTACTCGGGAGGCTGAGGCAGGAGAATCGCTTGAACCTGGGAGGTGGAGGTTTCGGTGAGCCAAGATCACACTATTGCACTCCAGCCTGGCCAACAAGAGCAAAACTCCATCCTAGAAAAGAAAGAAAGAAAGAGAGAGAGAGAAAGAGAAAGAAAGAAAAGAAAAGAAAAGAAAGAAAGGGAGAGAGAGGGAGGGAGGGAGGGCAGGCGGAAGGAAGGAAGGAAGGAAGGAAGGAAGGAAGGAAGGAAGGAAGGAAGGAAGGAAATAAATTGTGCCAAAAACTGTATGCTAGATCTAGCTGACATGCCTTTGGAAAGGCAGTATTGTAACCATAAAAGCGTTGAATTTTAGGATATTGTTGATGAAGGGATCAAAGCTGTGCTGGTAGACGCTCCTGGAGAAAAACACCAACCCCACTGAAGTACATACAACTTTGTGTACTGTACAGGGAAATTTTCTCTCACTGCTTTTGAATCTTCACTTTTTTTCTTTTAGGATAGTGTGTGGCATATTCAAGGTACTAAACAAAGAAATGTTTCAAAATATGTCATCATCATTATGGTTTAACTTATGATTACTGAGTTTGCAAATATTTTGCTACTATAAGTTGTGCATATTTGGAAAAAACTCACATAAACTCTGATTAGTTATTTGCTGAAAATGTTTATAGTTTATTGAAGGAAGGTCTCTATATCTTTGGTAAGAATAACCAAATTACTTAACCAAGAAAAATTATTTGCTTTAGTGAATGTGTTTTGCTAATGTACAAAATTTTCAAAGAATAGAAAGAATATACGCCAAAGACAAGTTTTGTTTGGTTTCTCAACAACCATGTGGGAAACCAGGAAAATAATTAGCAACCTTGGAGTGCTTGAAAAGCAAATCTTTTTTGCTTCCCTAGAATATGGTTGCTATGAGGGCAGGGACCTGGTCTACCTTATTCCCCACTTCATCCCTGACTCCTAGAAAGGGCCTTATACAGAGGTAGATTCTAATAAATATTATTATGGATGAGTGAATTATGAAGGAATGAAAGTTGAGAGGCTGAGTCAGAAACTCTAAATTAGAAGTATTTTTGAAAGTCTTCTAAAAGATTTATTTTTCGTACATACATTTAAAGCGTCATGCATTTGTCATCTAAAGAGCAACAGGAGTTCTGGTCTGAATAACAGACCATTTGTTTTCTTAATAGCTGTTATTGCAAACTGTTCTACATGAATTTGGTTGTTCACAACAACTGCAAGATTCTTTTTGGTAAATATTGGTCACCTTTTGTATTTAAAGGTAGGCAAGTGTTCCTTCTTTACAATCTTGCTTCCATGTAGTATGTTAGGATGAGAATAACTATATGGAATTCTGCCACTCATACATTCTCGAATTAGCCAAGAGCCACGAAGCTGTCCTGCAACCTGTGCTATGTGCTTCCCTGCAGGTCCTCTTCCACGGTAAAGTCACTTGAGGCAAGTATGACAGAATTACAGAGACAGTGTGTAAATGAAAACCAAATGAGCCTGCATGTTATATACTGAAGGATTTGAAAAATCATTAAGGACCATGTAACACCTGGAAAATACATTTAAACATTTTATCTTTAAATACACTGAGTGAGTCATGGATGTCGTATTTTAATGCCTTTGCTCATGCTGTTTGTCTTATTGTCCTTTTCTCCCCACCTTTGGCACCGTCAGCAACATCCTTATTTGTCCTCGAGGCATAGTTTAAATTCATCTTCCTACCCCTAATGTTCCTAGGTCCTCTCAGAGCTCATTGTTCCTTCCTGATGTTTGTTTTTCTATTATTGCTTTATTGAAATAGCTTTATAGCAAACGATTTCCGTGATTATCAGGAGAACCAGGGAGTGTATTTTATTTTACTAACTTCAAAAACAATCCCTCAGTAACGACTGTCTAAAAGATAGTTTCCTAGGTGGCGCACCGATTCTGAATGGTGGCCAGGGAAGCATTGAGAGAGGGAAGCATTTATAATCAGTTGGGCTTTGAAGTTCACGTTGGACTTTCTCAAAACGTTGTTGATGAACGAGGGAAAAGAAAAGGGATAGTCGTTTAAGGAATAAATGAAAGCAAAGGGTGGTAGAAGATTGGGGAGGGAAAAAAACTGAGCACATTTCTGATGTAAAAGGCTGGGATGTATCCATGATAGAAAAAGGGGGAAGAATGAGTACAGTGAGCACACAAAAAATCTGATCATGTGATGGAGGCGACAAAAAGACGGCTCAGGTTTGGAAAGATAATAGTTTGGGCATTTCCTCCTCTCATTTGGACAGGGAGGGGAGTGAGGATGGACCTAGCTCCACGATTTCCAGTGCTCAACAGTGACTTGCTGAGTTAAGTGTATGAAGAGCCTCTTTTGATAAGAAGTAGGGCCCAATCAGTGCTGTGATCTGTTTCATTTTGTGACTCAGTAATTCTCCCTCCTACAGCTGTCCACTCAGAATCAAATTCAAAAACACTGTATAGGTTGTACCAGGGCTTCCAAATTACTTACAATTGTAGGGGTAATACATTTTTTTAAAATAGGCAATTTAAGAAGTCCTATCAGTTACATTGATTTTTTTTAGTGTAAAATATGTCAAATAAAGTAAAAGAAATTTCAGAAATTCTATCAATATGCAATTTTGCTCATATATGACAATGTATTTAGCTAAAATGATAGTCACTTTGATGACATACCGTTCAAGAAAAATCAGAGAAATTGAAGAATTAGGTTACTAATGAGAGTAGAAGATTCAATATTACTTTATATAGTCAAATAAATAACTCGACTATATCTTAAAATGAAATACAAAAAAATAAGATATTTGATAAGTGGTGCAGAAAGAGAATAAGGAATTCTTTAAAGAAAACATTTTTTACTGAATATGATATTTTTTAACACTTAAAAGCATCAGAGTGGATATAGTGTGCTTATTAACTGGTATAAGTTTTTCTATTTGAGAAAACATTAATATAGACATTTTTAGAATTAATATTTGTTTGAAATTAATATTTAATTCATGCACACCTCTCCTTGCAGACATATTTATTTATTTGCTTATTATTATAAAGGTTTGCTCATTTTCATTGGATCAGGTATTATTTTGACATCCATTACAGCTTAAGTGTTATTTTTAACATAAACAGTTTCAGCTGTGGAGTTGAGCAGAACCTGTCGCCTAGTAGAAGGAGCCTGGGGCATAACGCCAGTACACCTGGCTGCCGGTCCCAGTGCTATTAAACCATGCTCTTGGGAAACTGATTTGGGTGCTCTGGACCTCGGTTTCTTCATCTGTAACACAAAGGGTTTACCGGTCTGAAAATCTCAACCAAGTCCCAATCCTTGAGGGGCTTTTATGAATATCTCAGGATATGTATTGCCTATTTCAGTGACTTGACTTGCTAATGGTTTATGTTGTTCTAGGGATAGAGATGCTAAAAGTATTACAATATGTGGGAAAATCTAACAAGAAAATCGCTGTATCCAAAATGCCAATAGCACCCACTCTGAGAAGCAGCAGAGGTGGTTTACAGCATGGTCTGGAGGAGGCATGGACCTTTGTTCCTCACCCTCATCATTGCCACTTTCAGCCAAGATTGTAAATATAATGGAGGAGCGTTGAGGGTGCATCTATTTGAGGGTCTCTATTTTCTCTGTGCATTTGAGTGTGATGTCCACTGAGAGTGGGTGTGGGCTAGAAGGTGTAAGTATAGTATAAAAGGCTTGATAGGCCAGGTGCGGTGGCTTATGCCTGTAATCCCAGCACTTTGGGAGGCCGAGGTGGGTGGATCACCTGAGGTCAGGAGTTCAAGACCAGCCCGACCAACATGGAGAAACCCCATCTCTACTAAAAATACAAAATTAGCTGGGCGTGGTGGTGTGCACCTGTAAATCCCAGCTACTTGGGAGGCTGAGGTGGGAGAATCATTTGAACCCAGGAAGCATAGGTTGCAGTGAGCCGAGATCGCACCATTGCACTCCAGCCTGGGCAGCAAGAGTGAAACTCCGTCTCAAAAAAAAAAAAAAAAAAAGCATTGATATAATTGTCATGGAGAAAGAGAATAAATAGGAATTGTAGGCAGCTTTGAAGTCTTATTCAAGGTCGAAGACTATGAATTTATAGTGACTATATTCTGCATTGTTTTATGGTAAACATAAAACAATGTAAGGAAACTAAACTGGCTATAAAATTCATTATTTTATTTATTTTTTTTTTTTGAGACAGAGTCTCGCTCTGTTGCCCAGGCTGGAGTGCAGTGGTGCGATCTCGGCTCACTGCAACCTCTGCCTCCCAGATTTAAGCAATTCTTCCACCTCAGCTTCCCGAGCACCTGGAATTACAGGCACGTGCCACCATGCCCAGCTAATTTTTGTATTTTTAGTAGAGATGGGGTTTCGCCATGTTGCCCAGGGTGGTCTTGAACTCCTGGCCTCAAGTGATCCGTCCGCCTCAGCCTCCCAAAGTTCTGGGATTACAGGAGTGATCCACCATGCCTGGCCCAAAATACATGATTTTTACCAACAGTTCTTAATATCCTGGGGGGAGGAGTGGAGAATGGGAAAGTTAAATTGACCCAGGGTCGAGATTTTGTGTGACATCTGGAAAAGAAGGGAAAAAAGGAATTGAGGATATTTTAAGAGATTCATGGAGTGGTTGACCCTGGAGTCCCGACTGGATGAAAGATGAATCAAGGACAGAAGACTCAGACGAAGTAGGATGGTAGAAGAGCCAGATGTTGGACCATCGATCCAATCTCTAATGCATTAAAAATTAACATTAGCATTTTTTATACTGTGGATTTTTTACTCAGTTTGATTCTTGGTTGAATTTCACTGTACAGTTGAGAATTTTCAATATTATTCTGGTAAGTTGCATCCATATTTGAAGCCCTACATGTTCTTTCAGAACCTTGGCATTCCCTATCCAGCAGAATCTATTTCCTATTCCCTTGAGTCAGGGTGGTCTTCTGTGACTGATGGAAGGATGGCGTGGTAGACAACAAGGGCTGACGCAGCTTCCTCCAGATGTTCTCCTTCGTGGCCTGCAACTTGAAGCCCTGGGTTGACATGTAGGAAGTCAGGCTATTCTGAAGCCACCATATTGGAGCAACCATGGAGAGAGAATAGATGAGCCCCAGCAGTTCCAGCTCACAGATGTTTGAAACTTTCCTGCCCAGACATCGGACACATGAGTAAGGGAACCCCCCGATGACCCAGCCCCTAGCTCCAGGCTTCTTCAGCTGATGCTGAGTAAAGCAGAATGAGTTATCCCAGCCAGCCAGGTCTGATTCATGAGCAAGATAAAAGTTGGGGTTTCTAAGGACACTACATTTAGGATGTTTAGTTATACAGCAATAACTATCATTATCTTCCTTCAGCTTTTAATGTTTAAAAATGCCTGATCTCTTTGTAACTGTAAGGAAGCTAAACTGACTATAAAATTCATGGTTATAAACTCTAGACATTGCTGACCTGCCTTCTGGCACTTAGTCTTACTGTGCACGTTTTTGAGGCTACCCAGATCTTTTCCCTCAAGAACCTGACTCGTTTTCTGTATCTGGAAGCTTATGTAATCCTTGTTTTTACTCTATTTTTGAAAAAAAAAAAAAGCTTTATTTTTCAGGAACGTCACTTAAAATGTATTTGAACTCTTTGTTTCATATTTATTACTAATTATTTTTATAGTTTTTCTTTTACATTTTATTCTGTATGACTTCATTACAGCTGTTAACTGTTTCCTCGTATTTTAGTTTTTAAATTCTGTTTTTTATGTTGCTTTTTATCTTTATAAAGTTTTTATATTTTGCTTTCCTTTGTTATTGGAGTTCTTTCAGTTCATTTAATCTTCTATTATTTTTTAAAATCTTCTATTATCTTTGTTTCCAAAGGCCCTGCTAGATAATCTTCTACTATATTTTAATATATATTTAAGCCCTTGGCTTTGTGAATTCATAGGGTTGGAGGGGAAGAGTTGTCTCTGAAAGGAAAGGGCTGTTAGAATTCTTCCGTTTCCTTGGTTAATTTATCTTGCATGGTATTTTTTTTCATCAGCCTTTTGCTTTTATTCTTTTTCCAATTAAAACCTCTGCAGTAGATTCCATGTTGGTTCATTTTCATTATTCATTTTAATTATTTATCATGCAGGTATTGGATAAATTAGTAAGTAAACAAAAATGGGAATAACAAAGGCAGGGACAGAGGGGAGGGGAGTTAGGGAGAGGAAGTGATGTGAAGCAGTTCTGTTTGGATTTGCCATCTCCAAAATACTTTTAGTAAATCTGTCATTTTTTTTCCATTGGTAACTTATTTCTCCTTTTCTTTCTTTCTTTTTTCTGGTTGTTGTTTGTTTTCATTTATGTTTTTGTTTTTAGAGACAGGGTCTTACTTTGTTGCCCAGGTTGGAGTACAGTGGTGTAATCTCAGCTCACTGCAGCCTCAACTTCCTGGGCTCAAGTGATCCTCCTGCCTCAGCCTCCCAAAGTGCTGAGATTACTGTCATGAGCCACTGTGTCCAGCCTTCCTCTCCCTTTCAACACTCAGGAGGTGTATGTGCTTTGCTATAATAGCTCTTAGCCACACCTCCTTAATGCTGAGATCTGAAGATCACTGATTCCCTCATTATTTCACCCTGCTTCCCCCTTGGAGATCACTTTCAGCAATGGGCTTTGGGGAAATGTGTTTACTGAGCTCTGAAGAAATTATGTTGACTCTCAGCATCCCCCTGCATTCAGATTTCTGAGCCTATGAAGGGTAGCCTTCAAAAGGTGGGTTCAGGATTGCATTAGTCCGTTTTCATTGATGAGTTTGCCTTTCATCCATTCTTTCTTTAATGGTTGGGGATACAAAGATTTTTAAAAAGGAAACAGCCTCTTTCTGCACTATCTTTAACTAGAAGGTCTTCGAAATCATTTGGTTTTAGGTGTCCTTACACCAAAACCAGTTGAGAGCCACACTACTCCAGAACGTCAGATTCACCCTCCCTGTGTCCCACAGTGGAATTCCACAGAGCAGAATAGCCCACAAGAGCTTGCGAAATGAGAGGGAAACAGCAATGCTCTGTGCTGCATGTTCCATCCCTTCCGGAAAGCTTGGTTCAAGTCTTGCTTCCGCTACCACTTTCTGACCAGATTAAGTTTTTTCACTTATAAAGTGAGAATCAGACCACATATTCTTGTTGCAAGAATTAATTCACATTATAGGTAAGTTTTAGGCTACAAAGCACTCTACAAACGTAGTTCACGATCATAAAAGCAATGGAGAATTCTACTTCTAGCCCAGGAGCTGGGGAAGAGGTAGTGTCTGCTGTTTCCCCATTGCTTTTCTCATTAACTTCAACATTTTTGGGTATTCTACCTACTGCAGAGGTATTCTACTTTAGTATTCCTGTCTGTAAAACAACTACTGTTACACATTTCTAGGGTTCCATTTTGTTTTTAATCCACAAACTATTTTTTTAAATTTGTGGATACATAGTAGGTGTATATATTTATGGGGTGCATGAGATCTTGTGATACAGCCATGCAATGTGAAATCAGCATATCATGGAGAAGGGGTATTTATCTTCTTAAGCATTTATCCTTTGATTTACAAGCAATCTAATTACATTCTTTAAGTTATTTTAAAATATATAATTGTTATTATTAACTATAGTCACCCTATTATGCTATCAAATAGTAGGTCTTATTCATTCTTTCTATTTTTTTGTACCCGTTAACCATCCCTATGTCTGCTCAATCCTCCATTACCTTTCCCAGTGTCTGGTAACCATCCTTCTATTCTCTAGGTCCATAAGGTGAATTGATTTGATTTTTAGATCCCACAAATAAGTGAGAACATGTGATGTCTGTCTTTCTATTCCTGGCTTATTTCACTTAACACAATGATCTCCAGTTACATCTATGGTGTTGCAAATGACTGGATCTCATTCCTTTTTTATGGCTGAATAGTACCCCATTGTGTATACGTACCACATTTTCTTTATCCATTCATCTGTTGATGGACACATAGGTTGCTTCCAAATCTTAGCTATTGCAAACTGTGCTGCAACGAACATAGGAGTACAGATATCTCTACAATACTGATTTCCTTTGTTTTGGGCACATTCCCAGCAGTGGGATTGCAGGCTCATATGATAGCTCAACTTTTAGTTTTTTGAGGAACCTCCAAACTGTTCTGCATAGTGATTGTATTAATTTACTTTCCCACCAACAGTGTACAAGGGTTCCCTTTTCTCCACAACCTTATCAGCATTTATTATTACCTGTCTTTCGGATATAAGCCATTTTAACTGGGATTTGATGACATCTCATTGTAGTTTTGATTTGCTCTTCTCTAATGATCAATGATGTTGAGCACCTTTTCATATGCTTGTTTGCCACTTGTATGTCTTCTTTTCAGAAATGTCTATTCAAATCTTTTGCCCAGTTTTTGATTGGATTATTAGATTTTTTTCCTGTAGAGTTTTTTGAGCTCTTTATATATTCTGGTCATTAATCACTTGTCAGAGGGGTTGTTTGCTAATATTTTCTCCCATTCTGTGGATCGTCTCTTTACTTTGTTGATTATATCCTTTGCTGTGCAGAAGTCTTTTAACTTCATGTGATTCCATTTGTCCATTTTTGCTTTGGTTGACTGTGTTTGTGGGGTATTACCCAAGAAGTCTTTGCTCAGACCTGGAGATTCAATGTCCTGGAGATTTTCCCCCAGTGTTTCTTGTAATAGTTTCATAGTTTGAGGTCTTATATTTAATTATTTAATTTCTTTTTATTTGATTTTTGTGTTTGGTGAGAGATATGGGTCTAGTTTCATTCTTTCACATATTGACATCCAGTTTTCCTGGCACCATTTATTGAAGAGACTGTCTTTTCCCCAGTGTATGTTCTTGGCACCTTTGTAAAAAATGAGTTCACTGTAGGTGTGTGGATTTGTTTCTGGGTTCTCTCTTCTGTTCCATTGGTCTATGTGTCCATTTTTATGTCAGTACCATGCTGTTTTGGTTACTATAGCTCTGTAGTATAATTTGAAGTGAGGTAATGTGATTTTCTCTAGTTTTGTTCTTTTTGCTTAGGATAGCTTTGGCTATTCTAGACCTTTTGTGTTTCCATATAAATTTTAGGATTGTTTTTTCTATTTCTGTGAAGAACATCACTGGTATTTTGATAGGGATTGCATTGAATCTGTAGATTCCTTTGGATAGTATGAACATTTTTAACAATTTTAATTCTTCCAATCCATGTACATGGAATATTTTTCTATTTTTTGGTGTCCTCTTCAATTTCCTTCATCAGTGTTTTACTGTTTTCATTACAGAGATCTTTCGCTTCTTTGGTTAATTCCTAAGTATTTAATTGTATGTGTGGCTATTGTAAATGGGATCACTTTCTACATTTCTTTTTCACATTATTCACTGTTGGCATATAGAAATGCTACTGATTTTTATATGTTGATTTTGTATCCTGCAACTTTACTGAATTTATCAGTTCTAATAGTCTTGTGGGTCTTTAGGTTTTTCTAAATATAAAATTACAGTATCAGCAAACAAGGATAATTTGACTTCTTCCTTTCCAATTTGGATGTCCTTTACATCTTCCTCTACTCTGATTGCGCTAGCTAGGACTTCTAGTACTATGTTGAATAACAGTGGTGAAAGTGGTCATCCTTGTCATGTTCCAGATCTTAGAGGAAAGGCTTTCAGTTTTTCCCCATTCAGTATGATACTAATGTGGGTCTGTTGTATATGGCCTTTATTATGTTGAGTTATGTTCCTTCTATACTCAGTTCTTTGAGGGTTTTTATCTTGTTGTGATGTTGAATTTTATCAAACGTTTTTTCAGCATCAATTGAAATGATCATATGGTTTTTATCCTTCATTCTGTTGAAACAAACTATTTCTTACAATTTGAATTAAAAAAGCTTTGCTGCCTTCTTAGCTTGGCCTTTTGTCCATTCATACTTTCTTTCCCCTCCTTTGTCTAGAATGCCAGGTATGAATACAGTCCAAAAAATCTCCAGGAATCACAGCTGGGAAGATTGCTGTGTATCTACTATTCATTAAAGTTTCTGTGTTTAATATATTGGACCCAGCCCACTGTGTTAACATTTCAAAATGCTTTATTTCTTTTCTACAAAAAGGGCACAAAGTAATTTCTAAACTTTATTTTTATGACCAAGTCGAACTAGAAAATGTTTAAAATGATACTGAAACTAGGTAGGAACACTTGCAGTTGTGCCGTGTGTGCAGTTCATTGGGAAGTATGATGATTATGGGTGGGTAATGCCATGTGTTCACATCGTTAGGAAGTATGGTGGTTATGGGTGGGTAATGCCATGTGTTCACATCGTTAAGAAGTACGGTGGTTATGGGTGGGTAATGCCATGTGTGCACGGCGTTAGGAAGTATGATGGTTATGGGTGGCTAATGTCGTGTGTGGGGCATTAGGAAGTATGATGGTTATGGGTGGGTAATGTCATGTGTGGGGCGTTAGGAAGTATGATGGTTATGGGTGGGTAATGTCGTGTGTGGGGCGTTAGGAAGTATGATGGTTATGGGTGGGTAATGTCGTGTGTGGGGTGTTAGGAAGTATGATGGTTATGGGTGGGTAATGTCGTGTGTGCGGTGTTAGGAAGTATGATGGTTATGGGTGGGTAATGTCGTGTGTGGGGCGTTAGGAAGTATGATGGTTATGAGTGGGTAATGTCGTGTGTGGGGCGTTAGGAAGTATGATGGTTATGAGTGGGCAATGTCGTGTGTGGGGCGTTAAGAAGTATGATGGTTAAGGGTGGGTAATGCCGTGTGTGGGGCGTTAGGAAGTATGATACTTATGGGTGGGTAATGCCCTGTGTGCAGTGTTAGGAAGTATGATGGTTACGGGTGGGTAATGCCGTGTGTGCGGCGTTAGGAAGTATGATGGTTATGAGTGGGTAATGCCGTGTGTGCGGCGTTAGGAAGTATGATGGTTATGAGTGGGTAATGCCGTGTGTGGGGCGTTAGGAAGTATGATGGTTACGAGTGGGTAATGCCGTGTGTGGGGCGTTAGGAAGTATGATGGTTATGGGTGGGTAATGCCGTGTGTGCGGCGTTAGGAAGTATGATGGTTACGGGTGGGTAATGTCGTGTGTGGGGCGTTAGGAAGTATGATGGTTATGAGTGGGTAATGCCGTGTGTGGGGCGTTAGGAAGTATGATGGTTATGGGTGGGTAATGTCGTGTGTGGGGCGTTAGGAAGTATGATGGTTATGAGTGGGTAATGTCGTGTGTGGGGCGTTAGGAAGTATGATGGTTACGAGTGGGTAATGTCGTGTTTGGTGCATTAGGAAGTATGATGGTTATGGGTGGGTAATGCCGTGTGTGCGGCCTTAGGAAGTATGATGGTTACGAGTGGGTAATGTCGTGTGTGGGGCGTTAGGAAGTATGATGGTTATGAGTGGGTAATGTTGTGTGTGGGGCGTTAGGAAGTATGATGGTTATGGGTGGGTAATGTCGTGTTTGGTGCGTTAGGAAGTATGATGGTTATGGGTGGGTAATGCCGTGTGTGCGGCGTTAGGAAGTATGATGGTTACGAGTGGGTAATGTCGTGTGTGCGGTGTTAGGAAGTATGATGGTTACGGGTGGGTAATGCCGTGTGTGCGGCGTTAGGAAGTATGATGGTTACGGGTGGGTAATGTCGTGTGTGCGGCGTTAGGAAGTATGATGGTTATGGGTGGGTAATGTCGTGTGTGGGGCGTTAGGAAGTATGATGGTTATGGGTGGGTAATGCCGTGTGTGCGGCGTTAGGAAGTATGATGGTTATGGGTGGGTAATGTCATGTGTGGGGTGTTAGGAAGTATGATGGTTACGAGTGGGTAATGTCGTGTGTGGGGCGTTAGGAAGTATGATGGTTATGAGTGGGTAATGTTGTGTGTGGGGCATTAGGAAGTATGATGGTTACGGGTGGGTAATGTTGTGTGTGGGGCGTTAGGAAGTATGATGGTTATGGGTGGGTAATGCCGTGTGTGCGGCGTTAGGAAGTATGATGGCTACGGGTGGGTAATGTTGTGTGTGGGGCGTTAGGAAGTATGATGGTTATGGGTGGGTAATGTCGTGTGTGGGGCCTTAGGAAGTATGATGGTTACGAGTGGTTAATGTCGTGTGTGGGGCGTTAGGAAGTATGATGGTTACGAGTGGGTAATGTCGTGTGTGGGGCGTTAGGAAGTATGATGGTTATGGGTGGGTAATGTCGTGTGTGGGGCGTTAGGAAGTATGATGGTTATGGGTGGGTAATGTCGTGTGTGCGGCGTTAGGAAGTATGATGGTTATGGGTGGGTAATGTCGTGTGTGGGGCGTTAGGAAGTATGCATGGTTATGGGTGGGTAATGTGTGTGCGGCGTTAGGACAGTATGATGGGTTATGAGCTGGGTAATGCCGTGTGTGCGGCGTTAGGAAGTATGATGGTTACGGGTGGGTAATGTTGTGTGTGGGGCGTTAGGAAGTATGATGGTTATGGGTGGGTAATGTCGTGTGTGCGGCGTTAGGAAGTATGATGGCTACGGGTGGGTAATGTTGTGTGTGGGGCGTTAGGAAGTATGATGGTTATGGGTGGGTAATGTCGTGTGTGGGGCCTTAGGAAGTATGATGGTTACGAGTGGTTAATGTCGTGTGTGGGGCGTTAGGAAGTATGATGGTTACGAGTGGGTAATGTCGTGTGTGGGGCGTTAGGAAGTATGATGGTTATGGGTGGGTAATGTCGTGTGTGGGGCGTTAGGAAGTATGATGGTTATGGGTGGGTAATGTCGTGTGTGCGGCGTTAGGAAGTATGATGGTTATGGGTGGGTAATGTCGTGTGTGGGGCGTTAGGAAGTATGATGGTTATGGGTGGGTAATGTGTGTGCGGCGTTAGGAAGTATGATGGTTATGGGTGGGTAATGCCGTGTGTGCGGCGTTAGGAAGTATGATGGTTACGGGTGGGTAATGTTGTGTGTGGGGCGTTAGGAAGTATGATGGTTATGGGTGGGTAATGTCGTGTGTGGGGCCTTAGGAAGTATGATGGTTACGAGTGGGTAATGTCGTGTGTGGGGCGTTAGGAAGTATGATGGTTACGAGTGGGTAATGTCGTGTGTGGGGCGTTAGGAAGTATGATGGTTATGGGTGGGTAATGTCGTGTGTGGGGCGTTAGGAAGTATGATGGTTATGGGTGGGTAATGTCGTGTGTGCGGCGTTAGGAAGTATGATGGTTATGGGTGGGTAATGTCGTGTGTGGGGCGTTAGGAAGTATGATGGTTATGGGTGGGTAATGTCATGTGTGGGGCGTTAGGAAGTATGATGGTTACGAGTGGGTAATGTCGTGTGTGTGGTGTTAGGAAGTATGATGGTTACGGGTGGGTAATGCCGTGTGTGCGGCGTTAGGAAGTATGATGGTTATGGGTGGGTAATGTCGTGTGTGGGGCGTTAGGAAGTATGATGGTTATGGGTGGGTAATGCCGTGTGTGGGGCGTTAGGAAGTATGATGGTTATGGGTGGGTAATGCCGTGTGTGGGGCGTTAGGAAGTATGATGGTTATGGGTGGGTAATGTCGTGTGTGGGGTGTTAGGAAGTATGATGGTTACGGGTGGGTAATGCCGTGTGTGCGGCGTTAGGAAGTATGATGGTTATGAGTGGGTAATGCCGTGTGTGGGGCGTTAGGAAGTATGATGGTTATGAGTGGGTAATGCCGTGTGTGGGGCGTTAGGAAGTATGATGGTTATGGGTGGGTAATGTCGTGTGTGGGGCGTTAGGAAGTATGATGGTTACGAGTGGGTAATGTCGTGTGTGCGGTGTTAGGAAGTATGATGGTTACGGGTGGGTAATGCCGTGTGTGCGGCGTTAGGAAGTATGATGGTTATGAGTGGGTAATGCCGTGTGTGGGGCGTTAGGAAGTATGATGGTTATGAGTGGGTAATGCCGTGTGTGGGGCGTTAGGAAGTATGATGGTTATGGGTGGGTAATGTTGTGTGTGGGGCGTTAGGAAGTATGATGGTTATGGGTGGGTAATGTCGTGTGTGTGGTGTTAGGAAGTATGATGGTTACGAGTGGGTAATGTCGTGTGTGGGGCGTTAGGAAGTATGATGGTTATGGGTGGGTAATGTCGTGTGTGGGGCGTTAGGAAGTATGATGGTTATGGGTGGGTAATGTCGTGTGTGCGGCGTTAGGAAGTATGATGGTTATGGGTGGGTAATGTCGTGTGTGGGGCGTTAGGAAGTATGATGGTTATGGGTGGGTAATGTCGTGTGTGCGGTGTTAGGAAGTATGATGGTTACGAGTGGGTAATGTCGTGTGTGGGGCGTTAGGAAGTATGATGGTTATGGGTGGGAAGTATGATGGTTACGAGTGGGTAATGTCGTGTGTGGGGCGTTAGGAAGTATGATGGTTATGGGTGGGTAATGTCGTGTGTGCGGTGTTAGGAAGTATGATGGTTACGAGTGGGTAATGTCGTGTGTGGGGCGTTAGGAAGTATGATGGTTATGGGTGGGTAATGTCGTGTGTGGGGCGTTAGGAAGTATGATGGTTATGGGTGGGTAATGTCGTGTGTGCGGTGTTAGGAAGTATGATGGTTATGGGTGGGTAATGTCGTGTGTGCCGTGTTAGGAAGTATGATGGTTACGGGTGGGTAATGCCGTGTGTGCACAGCGTTGGGAAGTATGATAGTTATGCGTGGGTCATTACTGACAGTTGAGCTTGACATGTCCTGTCTCCAGAAGTGGGTGCCGAGGCTCCCTTCCCACTGCCATTCCACTGGCCCAGAGGAAGCTTCTGTTGTGTTCAGATGGGCAGGCACTCTTCCTCGAGAAGGTTTGTCCCCCTTCGCTATCTCAGCCCCCAGGGAATGTCCTGTGAACGCTCCCCCACTTATTCAAGCCACATACATTCTCTAAGACCACGTATGAGTGCCGCTGTCCCCATCGGGACCTTATGAAATACACACATCCAGATGAACTCTCCTCTTCCCTGAACTAACCAGCTTATTTGCTGTTGATACAGTACTGTCTTGTGATGTCTTAAATAGTACCCCCACCGCTAGACTTCAAATATTTGAACACAGACCATTTGACACCTACTGAATAACTGCTGAATCCATGCATGAGTTTTTGATCTATTTATTAGAAATTGATAATGTCATTTGAACAATCATGCCAATGCTAATGATACTTAATATTAATTTTCTAAGTTAAGTAGCCGGAATATCTAAATGCCTCTCCTTGGCGATTACTCGATGAGCGCCTGTCCTTCCTCCACTCTTCCAGCAGACCTGCCTTTTGGGGCTGATGGAAATATGCATATTAGATTATCTGCAGAAACTGGCTCAGCACTACAAGGAGGTAAGAACATTCAGAACCAATAAATGTTAAAATACGAATGGGTACTAGAGTTTCTTACTCCAATTCCTCATTTCAAGATTAGAAAACAAGAGCCCTGGGAGGCAGGCAGTTTTCCTGTAGTAACCCGGATGTCAAGGGCTGGCGTGGGCTTCTCCAAGTCCAGTGCTCGTTTGTAGAACAGTTTCTGGACTAATTTGAGTAATTGATGCAGAGCCTATTTTGATTCTCTCTAGCCAGCGTGCATACGTGTTCCTCACTAAGCACATTTTTACAGTAGATATTTTTTAAATATCAAGGCAGGTGGATAACCTGTGGACAGGAGTTCAAGCCTTGCCAACATGGTGAAACCCCATCTCTACTAAAAATACAATAATTAAGTAAATAAATTAGCTGGGCATGGTGGCACCTGTAATCCCAGCTACTCAGGAGGCTGAGGCAGGAGAATCACTTGAACCTGGGAGGTGGAGGTTGCGGTGAGCAGAGATTGTGTCACTGCACTCCATCCTGGGTGACAAGAGCAAAACTCCATCTAAAAAAAAAAAAAAAAAAGCCGTGCGTGGTGGCTCACACCTGTAATCCCAGCACTTTGGGAGGCCGAGATGGGTGGATCACCTGAGGTCAGGTGTTCGAGACCAGCCTGACCAACATGGAGAAACCGCATCTCCATTGAAAAAAAAAAAGATTCAAAATTAGCCGAGCATGGTGGCGCATGCCTGTAATCCCAGCTACTGGGGAGAGTGAGGCTAGAGAATCACTTGTACCCGGGAGGCGGAGGTTGCAGTGAGCTAAGATCGCGCCATTGCACTCCAGCCTGGGTAACAGGAGTGAAATTCCTTCTAAAAAAAAAAAAAAAAAAGAAAAGAAAAAGAAGAAGACAGTTGTTCCAAGCATTCAAGCATTGGGTGTCTGAGCAAAGGAGAGATGCAGCGCCTGCCGGAGCACACTTCCCTGGGTCAGCGCAGGAGCCTCTCCCTGTTCTTGCGGCTTCCACTCCACTTCGTCAGCCACGGCCTGATCCCGACTGGGCCTCTAATCTGGGGTCTATATTTTCACTGGCTTATTTTTTTTTTTCCAGTGACTCAGTCTGAGCAGCAAAATTCTAAATACTGTTGACTTAATTGATTATCCAAATAGGGAAAATGCAATAATGATAGAAATAATGTCATTACCTAGGTCATGCTAAGTGCAAAGTTATTACTGATCAAACGATCGGCCAAGAAAAAATAGACTGACTATAGAAACTCCATATGTTTTTAGATTGGCATTTGTTTCTTCTTTCCTCTGGAAGGAAAACAAAAACTAAGTATGGGTAAAAGGGCGGATCATGAGGTCAGGAGATCAAGACCATCCTGGCTAACACGGTGAAACCCCGTCTCTACTAAAATATAAAAAAATTAGCTGGGCATTGTGGTGGGCACCTGTAGTCCCAGCCACTCAGGAGGCTAAGGCAGGAGAATGGCATGAACCCAGGAGGCGGAGCTTGCAGTGAGCTGAGATCGTGTCACTGCACTCCAGCCTGGGCAACAGAGCGAGACTCCGCCTCAAAAAAAAAAAATCCCATAAAGAAAATAACACCTGATTTATCCACACAAAGTTGACATAATCAGGGTTACACTGCTTTTACAGTTGTGCCAGACTACTCTTTTTTTTTTTTTTTTTTTTTTTTTGAGATGGAGTCTCACTCTGTTGCCCAGGCTGCTAGAGTGCAATGTGCAATGGCTTGATCTCGACTCACTGCAATATTTGCCTCCCAGGTTCAAGCAATTCTCCTGCCTCAGCCTCCCAAGTAACTGGGATTACAGGCACACGCCGCCACACCCAGCTATTTTTTTTTTTTGTATTTTAATAGAGATGGGGTTTCACCGTTTTACCTAGGCTGGTATTGAACTCCTGAGCTCAGGCAATCCACACGCCTCGGCCTCCCAAAGTGCTAGGATTACAGGAGTGAGCCACCACTCCCAGCCAGTGCCAGACTACTCTTAGACATCAGCGACAGGGACAGCAGCTTTTCTGGGACGGCAGTGAACCGCAATGCCCTTATTCCTTCCACGTGCTCCTCGCAGCATCAAGGAAACGTGCCTGGGGCAGGGAGGAGTGTGGAGGATGCCTAGAGTCCTAGCTGGGAGCTGGCAGGGTACCTTACAGGGAAAACCAAGATACACAGCCTGCATTACACCAGGATCATCAGTCTGTGCTACTTTAATGCCTTGTTTTATCATCTTCAGGTGAGGGAAAACGAGATTTTTTTTTTTTTTTTTTGGAAATTTGAGATAATTTTCTCCATCTCTTCTTATGTGTGTTTATTTATTTATTTTATTTCCCAGAAAAAGACAGTCATTATTCTTGGCTCGCAGGATATAATAAAGATCAAGGTCTTTTATTGCCTTACCTTCGATTCTGGTGCACAAGTGTTCGCAGAACCAAGCTGGGTCTCGCTGCGTTTTCTTGGGGCCCAATAATAAGAAGCAGACAAACTAGGAAAGAAGGGAATTTATTGCTGTAACCGGATGCAGGGAGAAGGCCAGAGAGAATTCCACCAGACCAACTCAAAGTGTTACAATTTTCTTAGTGCTAATATAGGTTGAGGTTATGCGCCTGCGTGCAGTATAGCATTGCCTAAGTCTATTGGTAACGAATTTTGTTTCAACTAGAAGGTCAGAGGCAAAGAAATGCTTCCTAAGTTCGATTGAGCTGTGAGGCCCCAGTACCTTCAAGGCCCGTCTACTGTGGCACCGGAGTGATCATTTCTACTTCATCTCCTTTACAGCTTGGCCCAGAGAGCTACCTTAGACCCTCCAATGAATCTATTCAAACAGCTGCCTCTGTTACCTTGACTCGTCTCAGATTTTGTCGACCCGAGACGGGTCCTGGCACTAGGAATGTAAAACTGTCTATTATTTCAGCTTGCTCCAGGTTAGGGAGAAGGCCATGTAAGGCTCCTACTGACCGTCTTATGTTTCATTTCTAGCTTTGACGTCTGGGCACTGATTTCCCTAGGTTTAACTATTCGTTCCATGTGACGGCCGTGCTGTGGAAATCTATCTGTGTAACTGGAGCGCTCTGCAGGCCTGTCTGTGTGACCATCAGGAGGCCTGTCTGTGTGACCGTCATGCAGGCCTGTCTGTGCGACCGTCAGGAGGCCTGTCTGTGTGATCGTCAGGAGGCCTGTCTGTGTGATCGTCAGGAGGCCTGTCTGTGTGACCGTCATGCAGGCCTGTCTGTGTGACCATCAGGAGGCCTGTCTGTGTGACCGTCATGCAGGCCTGTCTGTGTGACCGTCAGGAGGCCTGTCTGTGTGACCGTCAGGAGGCCTGTCTGTTCGACCATCAGGAGGCCTGTCTGTGTGACCGTCAGGAGGCCTGTCTGTGTGACCGTCAGGAGGCCTGTCTGTTCGACCATCAGGAGGCCTGTCTGTGTGACCGTCATGCAGGCCTGTCTGTGCGACCGTCAGGAGGCCTGTCTGTGTGATCGTCAGGAGGCCTGTCTGTGTGATCGTCAGGAGGCCTGTCTGTGTGACCGTCAGGAGGCCTGTCTGTGTGACCGTCATGCAGGCCTGTCTGTGTGACCGTCATGCAGGCCTGTCTGTGTGACTGTCAGGAGGCCTGTCTGTTCGACCATCAGGAGGCCTGTCTGTGTGACCGTCATGCAGGCCTGTCTGTGTGACCATCAGGAGGCCTGTCTGTGTGACCGTCAGGAGGCCTGTCTGTGTGACCGTCATGCAGGCCTGTCTGTGTGACCGTCAGGAGGCCTGTCTGTGTGACCGTCATGCAGGCCTGTCTATGTGACCATCAGGAGGCCTGTCTGTGTGACCGTCAGGAGGCCTGTCTGTGTGATCGTCAGGAGGCCTGTCTGTGTGACCGTCATGCAGGCCTGTCTGTGTGATCGTCAGGGAGAATTGGCCTGCCGCGCAAGGGCTGGTGTGAGTTTACCTTTGAGAAAGAGCAGGAAATGTTGAGTCATTTCACACAACCTACAGAGATAGCACACTAGGCTGCGGCTGGGTATTTAGTCCCTGCAGGACAGTGAGCCTGGGATAGGCCTGGCCAGATCTAGGGGTCCTGGTACCACATTTGACCCACACAAACCCCATCTAGAGTGATCCCTGACATCATATAATTGGAGGGACATATTTTCCCCAACAAATGCCTGGCATCTCGCTAGAGACGCATGTGTTTGGATTATTTCCCACGCTTTTTCTTGCGGAGTGGCTGTGTGATTTGGATCTTGCAAATTGAGGGTCCGGGGTGTGCTGTCACCTCCGTAACTTAGCTCATGGAGAGATTCCTCGCCTGTCAACTTAGGATACCGAAGTCGAAAACTTCAGAGTTTCCTTCCAGCTCTGAAATGGGAAGATTTTATTTTTTTAAAAGAAAGTGTTCACCTCACTAAAAGGTTTTTCTAGGAAAAATAATGCTGAACTGGCTCTCTGGGAGGGTAGGGCAGAGGAGAGGAAATAAACCCCTCATTTGCAGTGTTTGCCGATTACCATGGTATAAATGCCCCCTCTGGTCAATTTCAGGCTGCCAACATGAAGACACTGGATGCGGAATCAGGAGGAGATGTATACAGCTCAGTCTCCAAAGCCAGGACAAGCCAGCTCCAACACACTACTGGCTGAATCTCACCAATCGTTATAGTTTTGTTTTTTGTTTTTTTAAATGTATTTAAGCATTTTTAGGTGTTTTAAATTTTATGTGTGTATTCTAGGAATATGTACTCAGATTCTTTCATTAGGCATGTGTTATTAACAACATTCATCTTCTTAAAGGCTGAACCAACTTTGCGCGTTTTATCAACAGATATTCACTGAGCACCTAATATTGCCAGGCTGTGCTCAAGGCAGTGGGATTCATCAGTGAACAATACAGACAAAAATCACTGACCTAAATGGAGCTTGAAGTTTATATCTAAATCATTCAAAGATTCTGTGGTGGAAAAGAAGTTAGAAATCTTTCAGCTGCAAAACATAAGCCAAAATACAACTCACCTTTGGAATCAGAGAACTTACAGGTTCATAAAATTGCGAAGCCCAGATGTGCACCTGAGGTGAGACTTCGTCCAGCTTCTGTCTGTGTCACTAATCTTTCCTGCTTTCAGCGGCATCCCTCGCAGGCCCGTGTTGTTCCCAACTGGTGTTCCCACCTGGCGGCAAACTGGTGACTGTAGTTACAGATCTTCAACATCACACTCAGGAGAAGAAGGAGATTGCTTTTCAGGAGCTCCTGCAAGCCGGAGAATAAAAGCTCTTATTTATTCAGAAGCCCTAAAACATACCACCTTGGCTATAGACTATTTGGACATTTCTAAGCAAATCTGTCTGCAAAGGTGCTGAGCTGTGTTGATCAACTGAAGCCCGTGACGTCTCATCCTTGCAGTTGGAGGTAGGTCTTCTGTCCACCCAAATCAGATGGATGAAATAGGGAAGGCTGTTCTCCTCAAGGAGAAGCTAGTTTGAAAAAAGCAATAAGCAGGCTAGGCACAGTGGCTCACGCCTATAATCCCAGCACTTTGTGGGGCCGAGGCAGGCAGATCACGAGGTCAGGAGGTCGAGACCGTCCTGGCTAACACAGTGAAACCCCGTCTCTACTAAAAAAATACAAAAAAATTAGCCAGGCTTGGTGGCAGGTGCCTATAGTCCCAGCCTCTCAGGAGGCTGAGGCAGGAGAATGGCGTGAACCCAGGAAGCAGAGCTTGCAGTGAGCCGAGATCAGGCCACTGCACTCCAGCCTGAGTGACAGAGTGAGACTGTGTCTCAAAAAAAAAAAAAAAAAAAAGAGAGAAAAAAGCAATAAACAGATGCTAGATGGTAAAAACAGCAAATGTCCATCACTGCCACCTTCAGCACACCTGAAATGGGAGTTATCACACCCCCCAAAATGAACAGAGATTTACTCTTTCTCCCTTTCTGGTCAATGACAACAAAGGCATGGCCTCTGGGTCTCAGAGGAGCTTATAATCTAATAGGCAATCTTGGACTGGCCAAAATAGTCAATACTTTAAAAAATACTAACTGGAGGTTAGCACATTTGGAATCCATTATAATTAACATGCTTTTCTTAATTAGTCCGAGGGAAAAATAGAGAACACATTGAGTAAGGATCAGAGGTTCTTCTTTTCACATTTAATTTTTTTTAACAATTCTTGGAAATTTCTTGGTGGCATTCAGGTTTTTTTTTCTGTGAATCAACAAGCTAAACTGAGAGTCAACTGTTGTGAAGGCAAGTCAGAATAAACCTGACAGTAAACACACTATATGGATGCTTGTGGTGGTTTCTGGAGAAATATGTAAAGGCTGAAATGTTTGATGTTTGAGAAAAAATCATTGTCTTTAAGGAAGGGCATGAAATATGAGAAATATATCAGTATGATCTGTTTTAAGTTAATAATGACTATGTAACTGGTTTCTAAGTTTTAAGGTTTTTTCTCCAAAAATATCTACACATAACTGATTTTACATCATATTTTTCACTTCTAAGTGAATATCTACAAAATACATGTAGGCTAAGTTTCATCATTAAAATGTATTAATTTCTCTGCTTCAGCTGATCATGAAAACATGAGATTGACAAAGATAGTCCTTGGCTTTGAGATGTAATTATCCTTAAGTTACCAAGTACAAATCTCGTTTGAATATGATTACCTGCTTCTTAATGTGATTAAGTTTCAGTCTGGTTCGTGACGTCACTAGTCTCATCTAGCATCTAGATGTACTTTTATATTTTTAATCTAAATCCCACCAGAGTCTAGCTGTAACTTAATACTGTTTCTCCTTGTTATATCCTCGAGGGAAATTTAGGATAGGAATTAACTGAGAGATTTCAGTTATGATTCCTGATGACATGCAGTCTTTTCTGTAAGGAAATTTCTACCCACTGTCCTTGCTGGGGTAGACGTAGGTTGCTTGGTTTGCGTCCCTTTGAGTCTTAGCCGCTGTGAACAGAGGCGTTGCATCTGCTGCTGCATCGCAAACTACCCTAAAACTTAGTGGCTTAAAACAACCATTGTATTAAATTTCATCATTCTGTGGGTCAGAGATTTGGGTAGTGCTCCTGTGGGTGATGCTGTTGCACGTGGCATTGACTCAGGATGGTGGATGGTATTCAGCTGATAGCTGATCTGGTCTGAAGGGTCCAAGATAGCTTCACTCCTGTAGCTGGCACCTTGGCGGGGGCATAGGAAGGCAAGACTCAGCTGGACTCCTCTCCTATCTGTGTTGTCCAAGAGCCTTTTCACAAGGTCTTTCTAGCAAAGTGGCAGCTCATGGTTCCAAGGGCAAGAGTGTGGTTCTACCAGAGACCCAGATAGAAGTTGCGAGGCTCCTTCTGACCTAACCTTGGAAGTTCTTCTTCTGAGTTACTTCTCTTGTATTCTATGCATCAAGCAAATCTCAAAGGCAAAGCCAGTGTTAAGGAGAGGGAAATCAGACTTCATCTTTCGATGGGAGAAGAAAAGAGTTTGCAACTGTCTCTATTCTGCCACTGGCAGAGAATCCATAGGTTTGCTAAGGATACAGAGCCACATTGAAAAGGTAAACTGTGAAAATCCCATTCATCTGTCAATAATCTGGGAGGGAGAAAATGATAAGAGGGGCCAGTGAGCCATGATAAAGTGGGGCACAGGTGACCATGTGAGGCCAGTACAAGTGGCTGTGGGGAAGAATCCACTCTGAGGAAAGGGAGAGAGCAGTCATAGGTGGGGAGCAGATAATCTTGCACGAGGGAGAGGGAGACAGAGGGGGTAGCTGCCTAATTCTCAAGGGCCTTTTGATCCTTTTTTATCTTTAAGATAAACCTTGCTATGCTGGAGATTACTTAGGTGGGCCAGGATTTCTTGAAACCAAAACTTTACTGAATCACCTCTTCACCATCTGTATGCCGTGCATTTGCTGAGTAAGTTTTGACTTTTAAAACAAAATACTAAATATTACTGCATCTTTTGCAATAATAAAATTTACTTTTACTTCTCAAAGTATTCCCAAGATGGAATAATAGTTCATGAACTCTACAACCATAACATGCTGAAAAATCACAGATTTAGTTCATTCTATGCCAAAATATATGGGTAAACATGGAAAAACTCAGCTGATGTGTAAGGATTTTTCTACTCAGTATCGAACATCTAGCTATTTGAGCACATGTTGGCTGATTGTCACCCGCTTCGTCCTTCCATGCTAAGAGTGGGTGGCAGGAGAACAAGCTGGACGGTCTAAGCCCACACTCACAGGAAATTGACCCATGACCTCGTGAGTCCAGTTGCACCTTGTTTCAATTGTATGATGGTTATAAAAAATGTTAGAAACTGGGGCAGGCACGGTGGCTCACGCCTGTAATCTCAACACTTTGGGAGGCCTAGGTGGGCAGATCACGAGATCAGGAGTTCAAGACCATCCTGGCCAACATGGTGAAACCCTGTCTCTACTAAAAATACAAAAATTAGCCGGACGTAGTGGTGGACACCTGTAGTCCCAGCTACTCAGGAGGCTGAGGCAGGAGAATCGCTTGAACCCGGGAGGCGGAGCTTGCAGTGAGCCGAGATTGCGCCACTGCACTCCAGCCTGGGCGACAGAACGAGACTGTGTCTTAAAAAAAAAAACAAAAACAAAAAAAAAACTTAAAAACTGATTCTTGAAGACATAAACTATAAAACATTAGCATTCCCTACATTTCATAATCAAACGTTCCACTTTCCTTTCTTTAAAAGCATAATGCCATTTAGATTTTTTAAAAAGCTAAAACTTTAGGGAACTATATGATCAATGGGAAAAATTTAAGTATTTTCTAAAAAGCACTGGATCTATTTCTAAAACAGATTTTAGTCTCCAACTAAAAATTCATGTACACATCAATATCATATCATTCAACAAATATGCTGTCACCCTGTAAAATTCTATAGAATAATTTGATTTTAAAGTCACCTGAGTGGTTAGACCTGAGTCTTTGAAATTGGATTTTTTTTTCCTTGTGAGAAGCACAGAAGTTTGTATCCCACATATAGCCAGGCTAGTGAAGAGGGAAAACAGTTATGGATCTTGTTAAAGCTGATATAAACATAAGCTGATCGTTCTGGCCAGAATCAAAGTTGGCTTACATAGTAGCAATAAAATAAACATAGCACGGCCCTAAACCTAACCTCTTCTATTGAGTGAGAAGTGATGATTTTCCCATGTTTTAAAATGAGAGAAACTTATAGGAGGGTCAATCACCATTGCTGAAAGTGTTTGTTCCTTTTTTGGAGTCTGATGTAGGCACAGAACAAGTGGCCAACTCTGGGTATTTTTAAGTAGTTGTTTGGGGAATTGCCTAAGGAAATTTTCAACACTGAATACCCCATTTTTGTTACAAGGAGAAATGAAGACATAGACCTGTATTTATATATTGTTGCTTCCTTTCACATCAGAAGGAACCATTGATTTTTCTCCAGCTCAATGCTGATGTCCAATTTCAAGCATTAAATTTGCTTATAATTTTGAAATTTTTCAATCTAAAAAAAGCATATAAAAAGTTAAGGAATACATTGTTCTGTGAGGGCGTGGTGGCTCACACCTGTAATCCCAGCACTTTGGGAGGCCAAGGCAGGAGGATCACTTGAGGTCAGGAGTTCAAGACCAGCCTAGCCAACATGGCGAAACTGTGTCTCTACTAAAATACACAAAATAGCCAGGCGTAGTGGTGGGCACCTGTAATCCCAGCTAGCTACGCGGGAGGCTGAGGCAGGAGAATCACTTGAACCCAGGAGGCGGAGGTTGCAGTGAGCCAAGATCACATCACTGCCCTCCAGCCTGGATGACAAAGCCAGACTCCATCTCAAAAAAAAAAAAAAAAAAAAAAGAATAATTGGCAGAGATTTTTATAGGATGAATAAAATGCATTCTAAATCAATACCTAAATCATAGATTGGAAGGTCAGAACAAATCACAAATGGCTTGGATATCATCTTCTACTTTGTTTTATTTGTTTGAGACAGGGTCTCGCTCTGTTGCCCAGGCTAGAGTGCAGTGGCGTGATCCCGGCTCACTGCAATCTCTGCCTTCTGGACTCCAGTGATCCTCCCACCTCAGCTTCTCCGGTAGCTGGGACTACAGGCAAGCATCACCATGTCTGGCTAATTTTTCTTTTTCTTTTTTTTTTTTTTTTTTGGTAGAGGCTGGGTCTCACTATGTTGCCCAGGCTGGCCTCAAACTCCTGGGCTCAAGCAATCCTCCCACCTTGGCCTCCCAAAGTGCTGGGATTACAGGTGTAGGCCCTGCCTCAGCTCCTACCTTGAAGGACAGCATGTTCAAGTAAGTAACAATGTATTCAGAGCCCTCTCTGGAAGAGAAATCACTGCTTTTATGAAACCTGAGTTTTCATTCTGATTTATTAGATACCACCCCAACTTAACATTGAAAGAAATGCTTATCTTTTCCTACACAAGAGCAAACTTGGAGATGAAATCAGGTCATGTGTTGTTTTATTTGCCCCATGCTTAGTTTATCACTTCCTGGAAATTTTTTTCCATGCATGTGTATGTTGAGCATTGGCCCATGCAGAAGAGGACGGTGTCTTTTTTGCTTCAAGAAGGTCCTTTTCTGCAACTTTAAAAGTATTTAAAGCAGAGGTGTGCAGCCACCGTGGAGGCCTGGTCCTCAGAAGACGGGGCCAGTCCCTGCAGCAACAGCAAAAACAGGAGAAATCTGCCGGGGAGGCTGAAGCCCTGGAACAATACTTAACATATAATGGATTTGAGCCGCTGGGTAGCAAATGAAATTGAAAATTTCTGTGGATTATGCTGCTTCTGCATCTGCTTTTTGGACAAAGATACTGTCATTTTCCATCCTATGATTTGACATTTAATTAAACTGAATGTTACCCTCATATTTGCACCATGCTGGGAGCACTGCAATTAGTTCTTCAAGAATTGTCCTACAGCTAGACAGATGTTCCCTGACTTACCGTGGTTTGACTTAATTTTTTGACTTTACGGTGCTGCCAAAGTGATACACATTCAGTAGAAACCATACTTCCACTTTTGACTTTTGATCTTTTCCGGGGCTGGGGACGTGCTGTCCAATACTCCCTCCTGCTGCTGGGCAGGGGCAGCGAGCCGCAGCTTCCAGGCAGCCCCATGACCATCGGGGTAACAGCCAATACTGCACAGTGGACTGTATTGCCTGCAGTTTTTTGGATATCGTGTTTTCCCATCTCTTCATTTCTACAGACACTCCTCTGTGTTTCCTGCTTCTGATGAGAAGAAGACAATTATTCTTGAGATGAAACTCAAGATAACTTCCCGGCATGAAGCTGCAAACAGTAATGGCCATTGCACATGAGTCAGGACTTCTGCATTTCACCATCTTGACCATCTTATCCTTTAAAGGCATTTTCAACTTATCGTATTTTCAACCTACAATGGA
Organism: Homo sapiens; assembly: GCF_000001405.40. Lineage (NCBI taxonomy): Eukaryota > Metazoa > Chordata > Mammalia > Primates > Hominidae > Homo > Homo sapiens. The sequence continues at coordinate 186,420,225 of NC_000004.12, read as the reverse complement.
TTTCTTGGGATGTAACCCCATTGTAAGTCGAGGAGCATCTCTGTATAGTATATTAACCAAAAGCTGATTCCCACAGAAAATATTTCCAATAAGTCAAATTAAAACATTTCGAAGTGGATTTACACTATGAGCATTGCTGCATAAATCATCATCTCTCCCTTTCTCCTCTTGGAAATCGTAAAAGGAAAACCTCCATTTTGAGCAAAACTAGGAGATAGATGTATTCCCTCTAGTACAAAATGCATGCACAGGATACTAGAAACAGCTAAGATCCTGCAGAAGCATGCAAGCAAGATTGAAGAGTAAAATAATGAAGAGCTGAAGGTGAGCTAAATTGTAGCAGATCTTTGGAAAAGTTCAGAAAAACACATTTCCCGAAAATGATGGAAACATACAGCTGAACTGAAACATACAGCTAAATTCCTTGTTAGTAACAATGGATGGAGAAACAGAGTATAAGGGAGAAGGCTTCTTGAACTTGGCTTAGCTCAAAGTGTTAGAGGAAATGAGATATCAAAAAAGAAGGAGAGAGAGGGAAATACAATAACTGGCCACACTTGCAGGAATCTAACTGTTTCTATGGCAGCAGAGGGCAGAATCTTTTACAGTAAAAATCTGAGGGTTCCCTTGACCCCTCCTTTATATACGAAATTTCCACAAATTCTAAGTCATTCAATGATGGGGAAAAAAAGCAATAGCAGGTAGGAAGGAGCTGGGGCATCACTGATATAAGATACTACATGACAAATTTTGAAGAAAAGCAACAAAATTTCAATAGAGGAATAACACTCACCAGAAACACGTTGCCACAGCACAGATTTTTAAAGTGACTGTTTCTCTATGATAAAAAAAAACTTAATAAATAACCTCTATGCAGGAGAATCACAAATCAGATATTTGAGAACTTAAGGAAATGATGACTAAATAACAGTAGAGAAAACATGAGCTTAGAGAACTCAGAATTATTATTTAAGAAAAAAGGAAAAGAAAATGAAATCAAAAGGAGCACTAGGAAGAACAGAAATTGAAGACGCACAAATGGATAGAGACGCCAGATGAGAAAAGTAAATTCAATGAAATGGGAACAAAGGAAAAATTAAAAGGACTAGGGAGAAAAGATGATCAGAAATCAGATGAGAGTTGTGATACACAAAAAATTAAAATCCTACAGAAAAAAATAACAACGATTATTTACATGTTAATTCAAAAAATGTTCCTGAAATTAAAAACAAGCAACATACTGAAAGGCATACTATGCCCTAGGAAAATAGAACTAGAATCGTAAACGCTGAAATGGATTCTAGTACAATCATTGTGCTTTGAAGATAAAGAATTTCGAAGTCAGCACGACCAAAGCGACAACAACATAAAAAAATGAAAAAAAAAGAAAAGAAAATTACTTGCAAGGCAGGTAAAAGATTAGCCTCTAGTTTCCTCTTGGCAAAATTTAACTAAAAGGTAGCAAAGCAACACCAGCAAAATACTGAAAAGAGGAAAGTTGAAGGCAAACTGTCCTTTTGTGTAAAAATGTCAGTAAAACACTGGGCACGGTGGCTCACACCTGTAATCCCAGCACTTTGGAAGGTTGAGGCGGCTAGATCACCTGAGGTCAGGAGTTTAAGACCAGCCTGACCAACATGGTGAAACCCCGTCTCTACTAAAAATACAAAAAAAATTAGTTGGGCGTGGTGGCAGGTGCCTGTAATCCCAGCTACTAGGAAGGCTGAGGCAGGAGAATCGCTTGAACCTGGGAGACGGAGGTTGCAGTGAGCTGAGATTGCGCCATTGCATTCCAGCCTGGGCAATAAGAGTGAAACTCCGTCTCAAAAAAAAAAAAAAAAAAAAAAAGTCAGTAAAACACCATTAAACCATTAAACATGCATTAAGATAGAAAATACTGTTCTCATGGGCTCTTCCTTTAGGAAACTATTGGAGAATAAATTTCAGCCAACCAAGAGACGACAAAGGGAACTATGACAAAAGGATTTGTGAAAATCATTAAATATATTCTTGGTAGAAATAAGACAAACAAATGTCACTCATAAAGCAAAACCCTGAGCTATGTAAAAGAGAGACTTCTAAAATAAAGTAATTCAGAAATGTTGAAAATGAAAAGATAGCTAAGGCTATGCATGGCTCTGCAGAAGGAAAGCAGGGAACACAGTATTACCACCAGCCTAGGCAGAACTCATGCCAAAAGCCACTGTCATTTTTTATTGAATCTAAAATACCATTGATTGTATGATTTATCATTACTTTGTTTCATTAAAACAATGTAGGTGGTCAGCTAAATTGTGATAAAGTGCTTTATCACCCAGGATTTTTACTTTATACTTACTGAGATAGGTAGACTTATTAAGACAAAGATTTTAAAAAATGATGTATCACTATTGTACATTCATGAAGAGGAATATATCAGTAAAACACATTGGTTTATGGCTTCCAGAAATTCTCCAGTGACAGTTCATTTGAATCTATTGTTAACTCAAATTCATTAATGTCCATAATTTTCTGCATGATGTCAGCCTCTGTGCCACCAGGAGCACGGGCAGCATGATGTCGGCCTCTGTGCCATCAGGAGCACGGGCAGCATGATGTCGGCCTCTGTGCCACCAGGAGCACGGGCAGCATGATGTCGGCCTCTGTGCCACCAGGAGCACGGGCAGCATGATGTCGGCCTCTGTGCCATCAGGAGCACGGGCAGCATGATGTCGGCCTCTGTGCCATCAGGAGCACGGGCAGCATGATGTCGGCCTCTGTGCCACCAGGAGCACGGGCAGCATGATGTCGGCCTCTGTGCCACCAGGAGCATGGGCAGCATGATGTCGGCCTCTGTGCCACCAGGAGCATGGGCAGCATGATGTCGGCCTCTGTGCCATCAGGAGCACGGGCAGCATGATGTCGGCCTCTGTGCCATCAGGAGCATGGGCAGGGCAGCATTTCCTAAGCCTTCCATGATTGATTTCAGAATCTTCTTCCAAGCCATTGATTCCTGTGCAAATCAGCGAATCATTGGCACATGTGGATGGGGTAATGTTAGGAGAGTTTCATAAGGGAGCTATTTGCATAGGTATGGACAGGGTATAGAGTTCACTAGCTCAGGTGGTGGGAAGCCCCTACCACTGCTAGCCTGAAGGGTCCACAGGGAAGCTGGGGCCTCCCCCTGTCCTGGTGGTGCCACCACCAGGAAAGAGTCCCATTGTCAGGAGCTTCCCTACCCAGCCCCCCTTGATGCATGCCACCCTGTGGCAGGAGCCAGGGGGAGAACACCCAGCTTCCTTCTCTGTCTCCTGTGGGGGTGCCCTGCTGGCTGAACAGAACTCAAAGCCAGAAAGTGAAGGAGCCCATTAATCAATGCAGTCCCTCCAGGATCCTCCGGGTCTGAGACGTGACTGTCAGAACCAGCCCCTGTGAAACTGTGGTGATTGGCGATTGGCTTCTTCTGCCCATTTCCCATCCTCCTGCTGTCACAGCCTCCCACTGTGCTAGAATTTATTTGCCTACTTGTGTGTTTCCTCTTCAAGACTGTGGACAGGGCTTGCTTCCAGCTTAATTCTGCATCCCGAGGGCACAGCAAGGACTCTGCAAAGCCTTTGGCATTATGGGCTGGCCCTCAGTGCCTGGGTTTCCTGCTGGCAGATTTTGATTTAGTAATACTGAGTGAAGCTCAAACACCTGAGTGCTATTACAGTCACTTCACACTGATGCCAAGGTTCTGTAAAAATTTGAAAACCACTGGAATAAATAATCCATTTACGGGCAAAGGGTGCCAGAATGTGCACCCCAAAATATGTCACTTTGGCATAAGGATTATTTTGAGTTAGAAACACTTGAAAAACAGCAGATAGAAGAAGTGCATGTCATTCTCCCCTTTTCTCCTCAAAAACAGGAGATAAAAACATTCCTGTGAAAGATGCCCTTCCCTGCACCGGGAGAAAAGAAGCATTCTGCGACCAGGAGCCATAGCGAAGATAATTCTGTAGAAACAGACCGTGGTAAAATAATGCCTATCTTCCTGCAGCCTCCCCACGTAATTTAGTTACTTTTCCACAGCTGCTTCTTTTTGCTCAACCTAATATCAAAGCAGTTAGGTATTGCCATTTCTTTGGGTCTTCATTTTCTTATTCAGGCTCCTGTGCCATGTAAAACCTCTATTAAATTTGTATGATTTTCTCCTGATAACCTACCTATGTCAACTTCACTCTCAGATCCAGCCAGGAACTAAGAAGGCAGAGGTAGAGTCTCACTTCTCCTCTACAGGTGATTGTAATATTATTATAGGCTGCTTGGGCTCTCAAACCGCTAAATACTAAATCTAGAAGTATTGTTATTTTTTAGACAGATTCTCACTCTGTTGCCCAGGCTGGAGTGCAGTGGTGCCACCGCAGCTCGCTGCAACCTCTGCCTCCCAGTTTCAAGTGTTTCTCCTGCCTCAGACTCCCAAGTAGCTGGGATTACAGGCATGCCACCATGACCAGCTAATTTTTGTATTTTTAATAGAGGGGGTTTCACTATGTTGGCCAGGCTGGTCTCCAACTCCTGGCCTCAAGAGATTGGCCAGCCTTGGCCTCCCAAAATGCTGGGATTATAGGTGTGAGCCACCGCACCCAGCCTAAATCAAGAAATATTAATTGAAGGAACCCAACAGAACTACTGGGGAAAGGGAGAAGAAGCGCCTTTATTCCCTGATCTTTTAGTTTATAGGAGGAGGGTTTTCCCCTAAAGCATCCTGTTTATTTTGCCCAGGTTGAGGGTGTAACTTATTTGATATTGGATTTGGGGAATGTATTAGTCTGTTCTCACACTGCTATAAAGAAATGCCTGAGACTGAGTAATGTTTAAAGAAAGGAGGTTTAACTGGATTACAGCTCTGCAGGCTGTACAGGAAGCATGGCTGGGGAGGCCTCAGGAAACTTACGATCATGGTGGAAGATGAAGGGGAAGCAAGCACATCTTCACATGGCTGGAAGAGAGGAGGGGGAAGAGAGACGGAGGAAGTGCTACACTTTTAAACAACCAGATCTTGTGAGAACTCACTCACTGTCACAAGAACAGTGAGGGGAAAATCCACCCCCATGAACCAGTCACCCCCCACCAGGCCCCTCCTCCAACACTGAGACATGAGAGTTTTCTATTTTACAGAGACGAGATTTGGGTGGGGACACAAACCCAAACCCTGTCACGGGGGAAAGCCCCTTCTTTCCTGCTGAGAGCACCCTGGTTTTCTGCTTTGCTCTCCCAGCTCTCTAACTTAGGGTCGCAGACCTATGGTTGGTCAGCATTGCCTCTGAATGGTGGGCAAGCCTGTCTTACCCCAGAATTCAGGGATAGGGAGTTACTGTGCCCTAGAATCAAGCCACAGTCTCAACAGCCCTGTCAGTGATAAAAGCTGAACTTATCTCCACTGGCTGGAATCTTTTGTGAATCCCTCAGCTGGTTCAGAATTCACATGGGTGAAGCATGTCTTCTCCCTTCCCTGCCTCCCACCTCCCTCCCTTCCTTTCCTTAGGGTCAAAGGGCTCAGTTAATCTATCACAGCACTAGGTCTATGGCATATCAGCAGCAGCAGATTATACAAGGACTCTTTCTAACTTTATTTCTCAGTCATTGCCCCCCCATCCCAACCAAACTCTTACTACTTTATATAAATCCAGAATGATCTGTACTTTGCCCTCTTCAAAGTGGGAATTTTAAGTTAAGCGCACACCAGATTGCACCTGCTTCCTTTTACAAAGGTGTGTACCTTAGTATCTCAGATGATTAGCACTTGCTCTGAGCTGTAGCAGGCAGCAGATTTCCTCCAGGTCACTTTTCAAGCATTTAAATTAAGTTACTTATATTTTGGTTCATTAATGACCATCGAGACCCATTCTATATGCCTGCTGTAAAATTGTATATTTAAAGTCACTTCTTGTGAATTTAGGCTTAACGCTGGGTGCAGATGCAATAGCTTTAATTTCCTAACTTGAGATGAGAGAAAGCAATCCTTCTTTCGAAGATGTAATTTTACTCACCTTTGAGTCTCTCCATGCTTGTCTCACCAAGATCTACACCACTGCCCTCCCCCACAAGCCATACTCATCAGCACTGGTCAACCATGCCCTTCCATGGTTACTTTCTACAGGTCAGGCTCAAGGGACTGTGGCCTTGTCCATCCTAACACGTCCTATGCATGAAGTTAGATGTTACTTATCAGGTTCACAGAAAGACCACACTGTATGTGTGTTTACAACAGCTCATTTGTTCTCCCTTCTCCCTCTCCCCTCGGGGGACAAACCAGCTGAACACACATCCCGGCTCTGAAGGTCCTGGAATGGAAGGAAGCCATGTCCCTGTCTATACCCAGTGGTGTGTCTTCCAGGATGGATGTGGAGGCACTGGCTTCTCCTTGAACACAGCTTCCCTGGTTAGGGCCCTGGGTTAATCATCATATTCTGAGTAGGGGGACAGGTAGGTTGGGAGAGATGGCGCTGGGTGCCCAGACAGAAATATGCAGACTGCAAAGGGCCATGGCTCCCAAGTGCCGCAGGGGTCCCTGTTTTCACAGTCCCATCCTCCCACGTTTCTCTTCAGATGGCTTCATAGAGCCCAGAGCTCCTCTATACAAAGTGTGATCATTCCCAGTGGATTTCTTCGCTCCATAGCTTTATCATTGGAGATCTGGTTGATCCTGACGTAGCGCTCAAGAAAGCACTAAATCTGAAACGTTTAAAAACCAATTCACGTCTCCTGAGAACGATGTTGTATAACACAATTTTTTTCTTTCCTTTTGATCCCAAAAGAAGAAAATCATGACAATATTCTTTCATAAATCCATTATTACACTATTACTATGACAGGATATTGTATGTGGGAAATAATGAAGCCATTTGCCGTCTCTTCCCCAGTTTCCTTTAGAGTTTCTGTGCTGAGCAAACCTCCCTGCGAAGTTAATCAGATGCTGGACTTCTTCCCTCAATCACACCAGTTGCCCAGGGAGAGAGACACTTACAGGACACTCCCTTCTGCCTATTCAAGTAGTGCCCCTTCTACTATTTAAAAATTTGTGTGGCTAACATGGTGAAACCCCGTCTCTACTAAAAAATACAAAAAAAAAAAAAAATTAGCTAGGCATGGTGGCGGGCGCCTGTAATCCCAGCTACTCGGGAGGCTGAGGGAGGAGAATGGCATGAACCTGGACGGCAGAGGTTGCAGTGAGCCGAGATCGCGCCACTGCACTCCAGCCTGGGAGACAGAGCAAGACTCTGTCAAAAAAAAAAAAAAAAGAATTTGTGAGTGCACAGTCATCTTCAAAGGGAGAATGAAATGCACAAGAGAAAAGAAGGAGAAATGAGTAGCTTGTTTTAGCACTTTAGCCTGATGTTCAGTTGTGTCAAATAAAGAAGCCTCTTAGAGAGTCACATGGCAGGTGCTTCACAAGCTGAAAGGGTAACCACTCCAGAGATCCTCAGCCACCTTTTATGAGGCTCGGGCAAGCACGAACATCATATTTCAGTTCAGTTGGATGTATCAATCATTAGATCTATTTCTAGAACTTAAAGGTGCTCCAATCCAAGAGCAGCATGTCACCTCAAAAGCAAAGCACCACAAATTACAGCAATAGTAGGAAACATATTTGAATACACTGATTAATGTCAATGTGTTCACTGTAGTTTTTCCAATCTATACTTCACTAAATGTGCATATTTGAAAGCCCTGAGGGACTATGATTACCCCAAAACCCTGGTGTTGTTAAAGTATTTGATGTCAGAAAAAATTAAATTCCTAGGATTCCTATATTCAAATTATTATGTAACTGTTTGAAAACATTATCTTCAATAAACTTCTATATCTATGTTTTCACAATGTTTAATATTTTAAATAATGCTTATAATGTTCAGCTGATCTTCAGGACTCTTAGATAAGTAAGTTACTATGTGGGTGATGCTAACTAGAGGAAGTAGAATGGAAGAAATCTAGGTTGTAATAAATCTTTCTACTTTTAATTTTCTCTTATTCTTTGTCTACATGTGCATGTTTGACAAAGGAAACACTTAGATGATTCAACCCTCTCAGACCAAAACAAAAACAAAACCCAAAACCCCCAAAGTTGGAAGCTGTTTGGTTCAGATCATATAGAAATTTTAAATTTCTACATAAAATATAATCTTAGCTACAGTTCAGGAAAAGCAAAGAGAAAGCTAAATCTGCTTTCGGAGATATGTAACCAAACAACATGAGAAAATGGAATTTTTTGAATAAATTCCCAGTTTGGAGAATATAATTCTTTTTTTCTCTATGACAATTTGCAATATGAGTTTAAGACAGCATTTAATAATTTCTGGAAAACAATCTGAATTTTTACCCAAGCGGTGATTTGGCAGAGTAAATGGCAATTCATCAAGACCTCCAACCGCAGTCCCAGAAGTCCCATTTGAAGTCAGGGAGGACAAGCTCCACCCTCAACTCAACACCTTCCTTTATCAGCCCGCCAACCCTTAGGGAAAACACGGCTGTGAGATGGATTCTTCACTGGTGTGTTTTTCTAACGTGAAAATACGTATCTTGGAAAGAAGTGGAATCAGGGATGGGGTATCCTTACAAATCAGACCTCCCCACCCTAATCTCTTTCTCACCCTATTCCATTTGTTGTAAACTGCCTTCCGCTCATGCTGAACTCTTCTCTGTTTCCCAGACATCCAAAGCCCTTTCAAGAGGCCACAAGTGCTGAGAATCCCTCCCACCGCCAACGTCCCTCTGCCATTGTCTTGCCTTGCTGGCCTACTTCTTTTCAAATTAGGAGACCCAGATCAAAATCTCATCTCTTTGGTGAAACCTTTCCTGATTACCCATTTAGAGTTCATTATTCCTTCCCTTGGCTTTCAACTGCCATATACAATGCATATATTTTTATATTTCTATAACAACGCATATGCCATGTTGCTTTTTTTACATGTGAGTCTTCTCCACTATGCTATGATCAACTCAAGGTTATTATTTGCCTATTTAACTTCAGTAACTAGCAAACTTGGGGCATGGAACATCCACCAGAATTTATATTAAATGAAAGGATAAATGGTTTTGCAACTGGTATGCAGACAATGCATGAATTGTAATCAAATTTCAGCTTTATTATACATTTGTTCTTTTACTTTGATAAGCGTTATCTAAAAGGAGACACAACTCCTTTGCTGCTGGATGAAATCTCATGGCAGGCCCCATGAATTCTCTATTTTAATGTAATAGACTGGCTGGGTTTAGTAACTTGGCTGTCCAGAGGTTCTAGATCTTTTATTTGGGGTTAGGATGGGTTAAAGAAAACTTTGATACTTGAGGAAAGTTATATGATGTTCTCATTCTTAAAGAACAATAACAAATTTACAGAATTATTGCAAATACAGCACAGAGAAAATTTTTCCTGAACCATTTGGGAGCAAATTGCTGACCTCATGACCCATCAGCGCTCAACACTTCAGTCTGTATTTCCTAAAAACAAGCATATTCTCCTCTGTACCTAAAAATGCCAATACAACCATCAAAATCAGGAAATTAACACTGAAACTTTTAGCTTCTGCTTTAGCAAAGTAATCCAGATCAGAAGCATGCTTCATGTCTCTTTAGCCTTTAAGTTTGGAGTAATTCCCCCGTCTTGTTTCTTGACTTTCACATTTGAAGATTACAGTTATTTCACTGTATCCCCCCGTTTGTCTTCTCTGATGTTTCTGCGTGATTAGGTTCTGGCTCTGGTCTCTGCCTGGATGCTGTGTTCTCATGTGTGCATCCTGTCGGTTGGCACAGAACTAACGAGAGTCATTTCATCACTTGATTAACTGCCCTTTGTAATTAATATGTATTCTGTAGTACAGTACATCAAGATTGTATAAATACCCCATTCCTCACCAAATTTTCAATGTATTAATTTATTTTTATTTAAAATAATTTTTTATTTAAATAACTCTTAGTTTCCTATTTTATTCAATGGATTATGGTTTATTACTACTATTATTTATTTTAATGATCAAATTATCTCCAATTTGCCAGGTAGGAGTGCATTAAAGCTGGCTTCTCTTTTTTTTTTTTTTTAACATGTCTCTGACATTTTTTGAGAACTTCTTTATCTTCTGACACAAAGAATTCCAGCCTCATCTTGGACTTCCTTGCTCCATTCTTGGAATCAGCCATTTCTCCAAGAAGGTCTGGTTTCTGTTAGTTGAGAATATTATTTAGAAGCAAGACCTGGATGTTAGGCGTGCTCGCTGATGTTGGGGTGACACTGCTCCCAGATGCTCTCAATGCAGGGATCTAGAAAATATCTATAAGTATACAGACAGTTACATCTATGTGTATCTGTCCATCTGAGGCTTGAGTTCACACTGATATCTCCAGTTCCAATCCAACATCATCAGTTTATTCGAGTCATCTTCTTTTCCATATTTGTAACTCCCTCTATTGTAATACAACAATCCTTGTATTAAGAATCATTAAAAATAGGTTTGCTTATTTGATCAATTCTCCTGTATATAATCAATCTCTCACCTCCTGCACTGAATTGTTCAGGAAGGAAAGTGATGAGAAGAGAAAGAGGAATTCTACATCCTTGCATCTCCATTTAAAGTACAACTTCCCTTTCGTCTATGCTCAGGCTGGAAATGGGTGGTCACCGGCCTCTGGTTAAGACAGAGAGGGAAGAGAAAGGAAGCCTGTTGGCTTACACCATCCCTCCTCCCTCATTTCCTCCCCTATCACTATCTAGTGGTTTTATGGCTGCCTACATCGAAGTGGGGAAGGCAAGGTGGTGAGGAAGAGAGAAGATGATAAGACATTTCTTTATCTGTCTGTGTCTTCATCATCCTTGCGGCTGGTAGATGGTTAAATCTTCTCTCCCACAGATGTGTTGGGGATGGTTAGAAGATTCCTCATGTGTTCCCTCCAATGGCAATTCCTATGACACTGGGGACAGTCCTTTCTTTGCATTACCTCCAGCACCCTCAGTTCAACTCCTGCAGCATCCTACCCTTAACAGAATCTCAGTATTGGGGTCTTCTCGCTCTTTGCAGAAATTCCCTTGGGAAAAACCCAGAATGCTCCATCTCTCTAGTTTTGTTGTCATTCATATTTGGTCCCCAGACGTATGTCTTGGATCAGTAAGTCCTGGGAGAGGAAAATGTCCACGGAGCTGTGTGGAGTGGGCACATTTTTCACCATCTGTGTACCCAATATGGGAGTCAGACACTAATCTTTTGCACCTCCCGACTGTGGAGAACACATTTCAGAGCTCTCTGGTGTTCACGTGGAAGATTCTCTTCACTAGCCTTGAGATGAAGAAGGCGACTCCTGGCAAAGAAATATATTTCCAAACATTTCTGTTCTCTCCATATCCTGGGTTTTTTGTTTGTTTGTTTTTGTGGTTTTTTGAGATGAAATTTCGCTCTTGTCGCCCAGGCTGGAGTGCAATGGTGCGATCTTGGCTCACTGCAACCTCCGCCTCCCTGGTTCAAGTGATTCTCCTGCCTCGGCCTCCCAAGTAGCTGAGATTATAGGCACCTGCCACCACGCCTGGCTAATTTTTGTATTTTTAGTAGAGATGGGGTTTCACCATGTTGGCCAGCCTGGTGTCGAACTCCTGTATCCTGGTCATTTTTATATCTCGAATCTGGCTGAGAGGTCCCTGTTTTTCACAATTTCGTTTTGGAATTGGCACATGGAGGTCTGCCTCAAACCCACTTTGGTATCTGATATCTATCACGTGGACAATTCAATGGAAATAAGGCGGAGACAGTCCTGTCTTCACACAGTGTTGGAAAAAAAAATGAATAAATTGCTGTTGAGTGAAGAAGCTAGAAGCTGAGAATAAAAGCAGACAGATTTCAGTCTCATCTTGACTTACAGAGGTGACTTCTCCAATCTTAATCTTAGACCAGATGCCTCTGTCCCCCAAAGCTTATTTCTGTGCCTTGTTTACAGTCCTCTGGGTTTAACTTTTCTTAATTCTTACAACTTCCCCTCCCATGCTCATTCTGCTCATTCACTGCCCTGGCCATTTTCCAGAATGGATCTGCTGAGCACCCACTCAGAGGCTGGCATTTGTCTAGGTTCTGGTCATACATCAGTCAACAGAAGGGAGTCTTTGCCCTCAGAAGGCTTGCATTATAGGTAGAGAGAAAGACAGTAAACAAGTAAGCCAAAACACGTTTGTTATAATGTCAGGCAGCAACAAGTGCTATATAGGAAAATAAATGTATCTCCGTGGCTAGAAGTGGATGGAGATGGGCAAGTGCTGGATGAATTAGAATGGTGAAGAAGGACTTGCTGACAAGGTGATACTGGGCGGCCACATGAAGGGTTGAGAGGGCCAGCCATGAGTAGCTGAGAAAGAGTGCCAGGCGGAGGTAAAAGCAAGTGCAAAATCCCTGTGGCAGGACAGAGCTCGACATGATCCAGGAAAAACCGGAGGTCCCTGTAGCTGAAGCAGACTTAGCAGTAGGCTACATGGTAGGTAAAGGCCAGAGCCTGTAGGGCCTTACATGCCACACCATGGATTTTGATCTCATTCTGTGCTGGAAGGGATGTCATTGAATGGCTGGCTTTGAGCACAAGTGTGGCCTACCCTCCCCGCCATATTTATCGGGCTGGTCAAAGAATGTGCAGAGCCTGACACCACTTCCTCAGTGGGGGGCAGCCCTGTGTCCTTCCCTTTCCCCCACACACAGACCACCTGGGCCCGACCTTAGATTCCCCTTTCCACCTTCCCCTTATCCAGCATATTTCATCTACTACAGCAGATTTATTATCTGGAAATTAACAAGCCTTTCACAGATGTCCCATCTCTTTGGGTATTTTTCTTCTTTAACTGGGCTTTCAAGACATGCCACTGAAAAGTTTCTAACTGCCTCATCCACTCCACCTCGTTCCTTCCTTCACACTAGTATTGATGGCTACTCACAGCTGCACAGACAATCCCTCAGCCCCGCTGTGGGTGCACCTTCACTGATGCCGTGATTACATGCATGCACACACATGTGCATAGCTCGCCTTTCCTTACACGTGTTTGAGACTTACTTTCTCACCAAGTCATAAGTGTCTTCAGTAGAGCAGTCCTGTCTGCAAATGGCCCTATTCAGGAAGGAATAGTAACAACTAAGCTGTGGGTGAAAACGACACTATTTTTAATTCTTTCATATTGAAAAAATGATCTAGGGTTAGTTTTACCTGGTGTCTGACAGATGGTGAATGTAAGGCCCTAGCTAACAGAATAATGAGAGGAATGGAGCACATGGGATTCTGATGACTTTAGGCTTTGTGTGGTAGCCAAGGGAAATCATTCAAATAAGCATATTTCTTTTCTTTTTTTTTTTTTTTGAGAGACGAAATCTCACTCTGTTGCCCAGGCTGGAGTGCAGTGGTGTGATCTTGGCTCACTGCAACCTCGGCCTCCCGGGTTCAAACAATTCTCCTGCCTCAGCCTTCAGAGTAGCTGGGACTACAGGCGTCTGCCACCACACCCAGCTAATTTCTGTATTTTTAGTAGAAACGGGGTTTCACCATGTTGGCCAGTCTGGTCTTGAACTCCTGACCTCAGGTAATCTGCCCACCTTGGCCTCCCAAAGTGCTGGGATTACAGGCACGAGCCATCGTGCCCGGCCAAATAAGCATATTTCTAAATGTATATTTTCATTTGCTGACTTAACTAACAGACAGTAATAACCAATTTCAGGATTGACCATATACATCTATTTCTCTGTATGTTACACTGACAATCCAAAAAAAGACAAGGCTTCCAGAAAGAGGCCACCCTTAGAGTGAGCTGAGAAGGAATAGGCCATAAACGGGGCAAGGGTAACAGTGTGTGTGTGTGAGAGTGTGGGTGTGAGTGTGTGACTGTGGGCATGAGTGTGTGTGTGAGTGTGGGCGTGTGTGTGTGAGCATGTGGGGGTGTGTGTGCGAGCATGTGGGGTGTGTGTGCACGTGTGTGCGTGAGCTTGTGTGGGTGTGAGTGTGTGGGCGTGTGTGCACATGGGTGTGCGTGGGTGTGTGTGGGGGGGCATGAGTGTGTGCGTGTAGGTGTGTGCATGTGGGCATAAGTGTGTGCATGTGGGTGTGAGTGTGTATGTGGGCATGACTGTGTGCCTGTGGGTGTGAGTGTGGGTGTGTGTGCACGCGTGTGGGTGTGAGTGCATGTGTGTGTGCGTGTGAGTGGGTGTGAGTGTGCGTGTGGGCATGAGTGTGTGGGTGTGAATGAGTATGGGTGTGTGAGACTGTGTGCACGTGTGTGTGTAACATAGGTGGAGGAAGTGACACGTGTAAACGTAGAGAGATGTGAGAATATGTGGGGATGCATGAGTGGTCTGGTCTGAGTGGTGATAGTGCTGTGTGCACCCAGAGCTGGGGGACAGATGAGGCCTGGCTGAAAAGACCTTGAGACCGTGCTCAGGAGTTTGACTGTCATTCTCAAGGCCATCCAAGGAAGGATTTCAGCAGGGGAATAACACAGTTAGATCTAAATGTGAAAAATATTATGCTAAGTAACTAGAAAAAAAATTGATAGCAAAATGAGCTTATTAAATAGGAAATTTATAACTAAATATTCTGAAGCTATGTTTTCCGTACTAGTACATAATGAAAACAGAACAGTTTTCTCCAAATGGAAATCACAAAATGTTTTTTTTCCTACCTTAAATCTCTTGGACACAGACAATGAGATAGTTGAAATAGTTGAACCATGTGATTTTCCACCAGCGTTTTGAAAGATGGATAACACAAAGATATTAAAAAACGCAATAAAAGAGCAAAAATTGTCTTTGCAATTAGATTTTGTTTATAATAACTTGGTTTCTGTGATTGGTAAGGGCCATCTGTCTGGGATAACCACTCAATTTAAGTAAGTGAAAACACAGTCTTGAGAGATACAGATCAAATCAGCAGCAGAAAACAATTCTTAAGGAGATCGTATGTCTCAGCGTGGGCCGTTTATACGTGTGCAGCATTGAATCATTACATAACTGCCACAAGAACAAACTTTTCATATAGTTAATGAATATCTTAGTAGGCTTGTGAGAAATATGATGTAAAAAAAATTGGAAAAATAATACTAGAATAAAGTGAAAGATAAAAACACCTGCATGGGGACTATATGAATAAAAGAAACAAATGTCACTCATTCAGCTGGTTATTGATCAGGCAATATATGCCAGGCATCTTCCTCTGCACTGAGGGTACAAGATGAATGAGATACTGCCCTGTCCTCAAGAAGTCCAGTATGATGAGGGGAAATAGAAAGAAATACGGTGCGTAACATGAGAACAGAGAGGAATGGAGAGAATGCGAAAAGGAGGGAGTGTCTAGGGTGGAAAAGGGCTTTGTTGAGAAGGTGAAATGTGAATGAATCTTGAAGACCAAATACCAAGTTAATAATTGGATAAGCAAAGAAAAGAAAACCCAGGCCGAGGAAGCAATGTGTACAGAGGCATGGAGGAATGAAAGAACTTGGCATTCAGAACAGGGTCAAAGTGTCAAAGGCTGGAGCACAGGACACAGCACAAGTTAGGACTGGTCAGAGAGATTGGAGACATACTGCAGAGTCACGAATTCACACACATCACACAAAGACATTTGGGTTTCATCATTTAGGCCCATGCCTAATGGTCTAACAGGACCACGTCTTTCCTCATACTTAGAATGGTACAAGAAACCACATATACATGCAACGCATCCTCCTGGAGCATGATTTTACTTATGGCTAAAGCATTACTTAAAACAGCGATTTTTTTTTCTTAGGAAAAAGAGATGGAATAGATTGAAAAATTCACATTAATCTTTAAACTGAATCATGTTACTTAAGTTAGACTTTTATCTTTGAAGTATTGGGCTGCCTTTGGCTCTAACCCTAACCCTGTCAGAACTACATGCTTCATCTCCTCTACTACTGGAAGAACTTTCAAAAATATTGGGAAGCAATGTTACATCATGAGTTGTATGGAAATGCCTGGATATCCAGGCAGAAGTTGGTTGCAGGGGCTGGGCTAGCATGTCTCATGGAGAACCTCTGCTAGGGCAGTGCAGAGAGGAAATGTGGGGTTGGAGTTGACACAAAGAGTCCCTACTGGGTCACTGCCTAGTGGAGCTGTGAGAAGAGGGCCACCGTCCTCCAGACCCCAGAATGGTAGATCCACCGACAACTTGTACTGTGGGCCTGGAAAAGCCGCAGACGCTCAACGCCAGCCCATGAAGGCAGCCAGGGGAGAGGCTGTACCCTGCAGAGCCACAGGGGCGTAGCTGCCCAACACCATGGGAACCCACCTCTTGCATCAGCATGACCTGGATGTGAGACATGGAGTCAAAGGAGATCATTTTGGAGCTTTAAGATCTGACTGCCCCACTGGATTTCTGACTTGCATGAGGCCTGTAGCCCCTTTGTTTTGGCCAATTTCTCCCATTTGGAATGGCTGTATTTATCCAATGTATGTACCCCCATTGTATCTAGGAAGTAACTGACTTGCTTTTGATTTTACAGACTCATAAGTGGAAGTGGCTTGCCTTGAATCAGATGAGATCTTGGACTGTGGATTATTGAGTTAATGCTGAAATCAGTTAAGACTTTGAGGGACTATTGGGAAGGCATGATTGGTTTTGAAATGTGAGGACATGAGATTTGGGAGGGGCCAGGGCGGAATGATATGGTTTGTCTGTGTCCCCACCCAAATCTCATCTTGAATTGTAACTCCCACAATTCCAATGTGTCATGGGAGGAACCTGGTGGGAGGTAATTGAATCATGGGGGTGGGTCTTTCCTGTGCTGTTCTAATGATAGTGAATAAGTCTTGCAAGATCCGATAGTTTTAAAAAATGGGAGTTTTCCTGCACAAGCTCTCTCTTTGCCTGCTGCCATCCATGTAAGACGTGACTTGTTCCTCCTTGCCTTCTGCCATGATTGTGAGGCCTCCCCAGCCACATGGAACTGTAAGTCCAATAAATTTCTTTCTTTTGTAAATTGCCCAGTCTCAGATATGTCTTTATTAGCAGCATGAAAACAGACTAATACACTAATCATCAGAAAAATGCAAATCAAAACTACAGTGGATATCATCTTCCTTCAGTCCAAATGGCTATGATAAAAAAGACAAAAATAACAGATGCTGGTGAGGATGTGGAGAAAAGGAAATTCTTACACACTGTTGGTGGGAATGTAAACTAGTACAGCTGCTATGGAAAACAGTATGGAGATTTCCCCAAAAAACTAAAAACAGAACTACCATTTGATTAAGCAATTCCACTACTGGGTATCCACCCAAAGGAAAAGAAATCAGTATTTCAGGCCGGGCATGGTGGCTTATGCCTGTAATCCCAGCACTTTGGGAGGCCGAGGTGGGCAGCTCATGAGGTCAGGAGATCGAGACCATCCTGGCTAACACAGTGAAACCCCGTCTCTACTAAAAATACAAAAAATTAGCTGGGCATGGTGGCAGGCACCTGTAGTCCCAGCCACTCAGGAGGCTGAGGCAGGAGAATGGCGTGAACCTGGGAGGCGGAGCTTGCAGTGAGCTGAGATCTCGCCACTGCACTCTAGCCTGGGTGACAGAGGGAGACTCCGTCTCAAAAAACAAAACAAAACAAAAAAAATCAGTATTTCAAAGGGATACCAGCATTGCATATTTATTGCAACTCCATTCACAATAGCAAAGATATGGAATCAACCTAAGTAGCTGTCAGTGGATGATTGGATTAAGAAAATGTGGTATGGCCAGGCACAGTGGCTCACGCCTTAATCCCAGCACTTTGGGAGGCCAAGGCGGGCAGATCACCTGAGGTTGGGAGTTCGAGACCAGCCTGACCAACATGGAGAAACCCCGTCTCTCCTAAAAACACAAAATTAGCTGGGCGTGGTGGCAGGCGCCTGTAATCCCAGCTACTTGGGAGGCTGGGGCAGGAGAATCGCTTGAACCCAGGAGGTGGAGGTTGCAGTGAGCCGAGATTGTGCCACTGCACTCCAGCCTGGGTGACAGAGCGAGACTCCATCTCAAAAAAAGAAAGAAAGAAAGAAAATGTACATACACACACTGAAATACTATTTGACCATAGAAAAAGAATGAAATCATGTGTTCTGCAGCAACATGCATGAAACCTAAGGTCATTAAGTGAAATAAGTCAGGCACAGAAAGACAAATATCATGTGTTCACACTTACATGTGAGAGCTAAAAAATTGGAACACGTGAAAGTGGAGAGTGGAAAAATAGGTAACAGACTGGGAGAGTAGGGCAGGGGGAAGGGGGAGGATAAAGGGAAGTGGTTAGAGGCACAAACGTATAATTAGATAGAAGAAAATAAATTCCACGTGTGATAGCAGAGTAGGGGGACTATAAGTTAACAAAGATGTATTGTCCTTGGGTGATGGGCACCCTGAATACCCTGAATTGATCACTATGCGTTATATACATGTCACAAGTTTTCTCATATATACTATAAATTTGCATGAGAAAAAATAAAAATAAAGCTCTAAGGATTTAAATGAGGGTGGAGTTGGGTAAGGATCTCCAGATAAAACTATCCCAGGCAAAGAACCATAGAGTAATGCCATTTATCCCCATTTTGCTACTATCTTCCAGGATTTTCTGCAGGCAGAACATGGATACTTTGTATGCATATGGGGCATGCAATACCGGGTTACATACAGAGGCCTTAACCACTGGCCCTCTCCTCCCTTTACTTCCTCAAGTTCAGTAATCACATAACAGAAGTAGGGGTGGATGCCGATACTTGAATCCGACAGACCTTATTCATTCAATTCTCATAATGGTCGATGGCTAAGATGTGTCATAGAAGGATGCCAAAACTCGGGCAACTTCCCGCCCACTCTTTTTACTTGTCCATTTCCAAACCTCTTGTGTCCTTATTGTCAGCACCTAGGGTGACGTTAGTCCTGGCATGTGATAAGTAGTGGAGTGGCTTGAGTTGAGTCTATTCTGGCAAGTCCCGGGAATGTCTCATGTCCAGGGTCCCTTTGAAGTTTCTCACCTGCACTTTGAATTCTGAGACAGTAAAGGCAAACTCTTTTTTTTTTTTTTTTTTTTTTTTTTTGCTCATACTCCCTTTTGTGTGCTGTGGAGCTGCCACACTGATCACTTATTAAGGGGAGTGTTGTTTGAATCAGAACAACTAAGCTGTACTTCAGTAATAATAATTTTCAAAAATCCTCCAGATCTCAACAGTTTAACAAAATAAACTCATAAGATGGTCTCATTTAGGTCCTCCTTAGGTTTTTCCCTGGCAACTTTCCAGAAAGCGATGACTCCAGGCTGCTTTCATTTCCTGGAGCTGCTGTTCTAATCCCATGGCCTTCCACGCAGACAAGGAAGAAAAACTGTGGGCAGCGATGCAGAAGTTTTGTGGCAGGCTATTAAGTCATGGCCATCACTCCTGCCACTATCTTCTTGGCCAGAATTCAGTCACATCCAGAGGGCGGGGACAGAATAGTCTAAGTCCCAGGCCTATGAGAGAACATCATAGAATTGGTTCACACAGAGCCTCACCTCTGCCACCGGATTTCTGAATGTCCTTATCTCGGCTGGCTACTCTCAGGAAGCCTGTGTGAAAATGTACATAACTTCTGTTTCCAAAGTCTGTGAAGCTACTCTTAGGCCTTCTCCCATTGTGTGTGCTCCTCATTTACCCCAGGCCCAGGTCCCAGAGCCCAGCTTCCTCACTGACACTTCCTCTCACTGGTTTCACGTTAAAAGGAGGCTGGAGGCCAGGCCTCTCCAGGTAGCATATAGACATTACCTGTTCTCATATTTCCAGTCCCACTGTAACTATTGTAGCTAGTGAAAATGTCTCTGCATAAGGTCAGAAGGATAAAATAAATATGTATACTTATTTTTATGGGTTTACTGGAAGCATCAGCATGCTGAAATGCTGTTAGCTAGCTCTTCACATGCTCAAGTAGTTACTTGAAAACTTTCGAGTCACTAGATAATTGTTCCCATTGAGAATGTGACCTCAAATATTGGTGCAGAAATGGCTCCTGTCTCCAGCACTTCACATACCCAGTCTGACAGTTCTCCTTGACTTGCTTCCTGGGAGAGGGAGGTGGTATCTGAATTCTGAACACTTTAGAGAACAAAAGATAAAAGCTACTCTCAGGGTAGGTGACCTCACGGCCTCAAGACTCTACCCTTAACCCTCAGGAGAAAAGTATTTTCTGTGCCTCAAAGTTATCATCTTAAGTGAAACCAAGACAACTTTTGACACCTTAAATACTAGAGCAGGGAAATACGCAGGGACACACAGACATCTCTGTCCATATATTTTTGATTGTACACATTTATTAATAAGAATGTTTGAGTCTGTATCTTTGACATATACATATTTATTTACTTGTGGGGATTTTACAGTATTACTCTACTAATGTATTATTTATTATCTAAAACATGCAAAAATAAAAATTTGAAAAGTATGAAATGAAGGTGAAATTATATTTTTAAAATATTTGTTATCAAATAATAGCAAATACTTTTTGCTTTCACAAAAATATGATCAATAATTTAGAAAGAACAGTATGTTAGAAAATACCTTATTTAAAAAAATCTTGGCTTAATATTCTGCACACAGCAATGTAAAGAATTAGACCTACGTTCACTTTATTTGATAAAATCATTACTCAATTTTAGTAGTTTTTGTACCTGAGAAAGATCATTTATGAAGAGCTTTAACAAAAAGAAATCAAAACTGGTTCCTTAACGACAAAAACCACATGATTATCTCAATAGATGCAGAAAAGGCCTTTGACAAAATTCAACAACCCTTCATGCTAAAAACTCTCAATAAATTAGGTATTGATGGGATGTATCTCAAAATAATAAGAGCTATCTATGACAAACCCACAGCCAATATCATACTGAATGGGCAAAAACTGGAAGCATTCCCTTTGAAAACTGGCACAACACAGGGATGCCCTCTCTCACCACTCCTATTCAACATAGTGTTGGAAGTTCTGGCCAGGGCAATCAGGCAGGAGAAAGAAAGAAAGGGTATTCAATTAGGAAAAGAGGAAGTCAAATTGTCCCTGTTTGCAGATGACATGACTGTATATCTAGAAAACCCTATTGTTTCAGCCCCAAATCTCCTTAAGCTGATAAGCAACTTCAGCAAAGTCTCAGGATACAAAATCAATGTGCAAAAATCACAAGCATTCTTATACACCAATAACAGACAAACAGAGAGCCAAATCATGAGTGAACTCCCATTCACAATTGCTTCAAAGAGAATAAAATACCTAGGAATCCAACTTACAAGGGATGTGAAGGACTTCTTCAAGGAGAACTACAAACCACTGCTCAATGAAATAACAGGATACAAACAAATGGAAGAACATTCCATGCTCATGGGTAGGAAGAATCAATATCGTGAAAATGGCCATACTGCCCAAGGTAATTTATAGATTCAATGCCATCCCCATCAAGCTACCAATGACTTTCTTCACAGAATTGGAAAAACTACTTTAAAGTTCATATGGAACCAAAAAAAGCCCACATTGCCAAGTCAATCCTAAGCCAAAAGAACAAAGCTGGAGGCATCACACTACCTGACTTCAAACTATACTACAAGGCTACAGTAACCAAAACAGCATGGTACTGGTACCAAAACAGAGATATAGACCAAATGGAACAGAACAGAGCCCTCAGAAATAATGCCACATATCTACAACTATCTGATCTTTGACAAACCTGACAAAAACAAGAAATGGGGAAAGGATTCCCTATTTAATAAATGGTGCTGGGAAAACTGGCTAGCCATATGTAGAAAGCTGAAACTGGATCCCTTCCTTACACCTTATACTAAAATTAATTCAAGATGGATTAAAGATTTAAATGTTAGACCTAAAACCATAAAAACCCTAGAAGAAAACCTAGGGAATATCATTCAGGACATAGGCATGGACAAGGACTTCATGTCTAAAACACCAAAAGCAATGGCAACAAAAGCCAAAATTGACAAATGGGATCTAATTAAACTAAAGAGCTTCTGCATAGCAAAAGAAACTACCATCAGAGTGAACAGGCAACCTACAGAATGGGAGAAAATTTTTGCAATCTACTCATCTGACAAAGGGCTAATATCCAGAATCTACAATAAACTCAAACAAATTTACAAGAAAAAAACAAACAACCCCATCAACAAGTGGGCGAAGGACATGAACAGACACTTCTCAAAAGAAGACATTTATGCAGCCAAAAGACACATGAAAAAATGCTCATCATCACTGGCCATCAGAGAAATGCAAATCAAAACCACAATGAGATACCATCTCACACCAGTTAGAATGGCGATCATTAAAAAGTCAGGAAACAACAGGTACTGGAGAGGATGTGGAGAAATAGGAACACTTTTACACTGTTGGTGGGACTGTAAACTAGTTCAACCATTGTGGAAGACAGTGTGGCAATTCCTCAGGGATCTAGAACTAGAAATACCATTTGACCCAGCCATGCCATTACTGGGTATATACCCAAAGGATTATAAATCATGCTGCTATAAAGACATACACACGTATGTTTATTATGGCACCATTCACAATAGCAAAGACTTGGAACCAACCCAAATGTGCAAAAATGATAGACTGGATTAAGAAAATGTGGCACATATACCCCATGGAATACTATGCAGCCATAAAAAATGATGAATTCATGTCCTTTGTAGGGACATGGATGAAGCTGGAAACCATCATTCTCAGCAAACTATCACAAAGACAAAAAACCAAACACTGCATGTTCTCACTCATAGGTGGGAATTGAACAATGAGAACACTTGGACACAGAGTGGGGAACACTACACACTGGGGCCTGTTGTGGGGTGGGGGGAAGGGGGAGGGATAGCATTAGGAGATATACCTAATGTTAAATGACGAGTTAATGGGTGCAGTACACCAACATGGCACATGTATATATATGTAACAAACCTGCACGTTGTGCACATGTACCCTAAAACTTAAAGTATAATAAAAAAATTAACTTGAAAACAAAACAAAACAAAACTGGTTCCTTTTAAAAACGCTGACATTCATTTTGCAATTCCATTCAATAATTGGGAGAGGATTTTAGAAATTTTCAGTTTTGCCTGATGTTAATCAATTCTTCTTGCAGACTATAAGGCAGCTGATGTATTTTTGACAAATGATTTTAAAATCTACTTAAGACTTTCATTTGACAGATTTTAAAACAAGTTTCTAAATTATGTTTTCAACTTTTAAGGAGAAGATAAAAGAGTATCTATAGGTGACTCACATTGTTTCCAACGCACTCAAATTACATTATAAAAACACATTCATTCAAAATATCCTCTATGTAACACATGCTTTAAAAAAGACTTCTATGTTATTCAGCCATAAAATGGAGTACCATTCTGATACATGCTACAACATGGAAGAATCTTAAAAACATTACACTAAGTGAAATAAGTCAGGCAAAATGACAAACGTTGAATCATTCTGCTTATATGAAGTCCCTAGAGTAGTCAAATACATAGAGACAGAAAGAATGGTGATTACCAGGGGAGGCAGTAAACGGGAGTGGACAGTTATTATTTAGTGGGGAGAAATTTAGTATGGGATAATACAAGGTGTTCAGTGGATGGTAGTGATGGTCGCACAGCAGTGTCAATGCACTCAGTGCCACTCAACTGTAAGCTTAACAATTGTAAATTTTGCATATGTTTCACGACAATAAAAAAAGTTACATTTTCATTTATTCTTAAGCGGTTACACTTGTCTAAAAGGTACAGATTAAGTGTGTGTGTGTGTGTAAATATCCCTAAGTTCTAAGTTAATGGCTCTCAAAGTACCCTACGTGGATCAGCAGCATAGACCTCACATGGGAAACTGTAATAAATGCAAACTCTTGGCCACACTCCAGACCTACTCAATCAGAAACTGCAGGGGTAGGGCCCAGCAATCTGTATCTTGCAAGCTGTCCAGGTGCTTCTGATGCACACTTTGAGTTTGAGAACGTTACGCTAGGCAGCATGCTACTGGCTACTTGTCCTCATAGAAGAAGACAGCAAATTTGGAACACTTGTCTTTTTATACAAGAAAAATTCTCTTTTAAATATACTTGCCTCAAGATAAATAGGGAGCCTTTTGTATTAAAGTATTTTATGGTTCCATATAATAATTCTCATGTATTTTGAATACATTCATGTTTAATAAAGCTAACCACGTTAATGATATCTTACATAAAGTATAACAATTTAATATCTTCTGGCTTCAACCTATGTAATGCATTCATTGGCCTTTGAATGAAGCAATCAACGGATTTCACGTTTTACCCTCTCTCCCTCATTACAAAGAATCCTCGTTTTATTTCAGCCAAAGCAGCTACAGCATTAATGGTTTATATTTTAACAGTAGTTACAGAAACCTAAATAAACAGAGAAATTCCATGTTCATGGATAGGAAGACTCAATATTTTTAACATGTCAACTATTTCTAAGTCAATCTATGCATTACATGAAATACAAAGAAAAATCCCATTAAGGTTTTGTCTAAGTTGTGTAAATTGAGTACTAATTCTTATGTAAATTGAGTACTGATTCTAAAATTTGCATGGAAATATAAAAGACCTAGAATAGGCATGATAATCTTGAAAAATAAGATCAAAGTTGATGGAATTACATTACTATATTTCAAGATTTATTATAAAGTTTCAGTAATTAAAACAATATGGTATTGGTGCAAAAATAACGAAACAATTGAAACAGAACAGGGGGTCTAGAAATACACCCCTCCATAAGTAAAGTCATTTAGTTTACAACAAAGTTGCCAATGCAATTTAATAAGGGAAAATGGTATTTTCACTAAATAGTGCAGGAGCAATTGAATATTCGTAAAGCAAAAAATGAACCTTAGTCTTTAATCCCCTACCTCTTGCCATTCACAAAAAACAATTTAAGATATGAAAAGAAGAATGATATGAAAAGAAGAACAATAACACTTCTAGGAAAAATACATAAACTTTTTTCATGATATAGTGTAGGCAGAAAATTTTTAAAATAGGACCAAGAAATACATCAACCATAAAAGAAAAACAAGTGTAATGTTAGGTATAGCTTTAAATGTCTATGGGAGCATAGTTTGGTACAACATCCTTTAAAAATGTATGGCAGTATCTACTAAAGCACGTCTATTCTGCAGTTATATGCTCAAGAGAAATGGCAATGTGTGCCACAGCCAGTGGCAGCATCATTTGTAATAGCCAAGAACTGGAAACGACCAAAATTTTCAAGAGAACAAATACTACACAGCTGTAAAATAATAAGTGATCGCTGTTACAGAAACATGGATGAATATCATAGATAAGTTGAGCAAAAGAAGCCCCCAAAAAAGAGTACATGGTGTATGATTCCATGAAGTTAAAGAACAGGCAAAATTAATCTATGTGATACAAGTCAGAACGCTGGTCTTCTCTGCGGGGAGGGTTTGGTCTATGCTGAGAAGTAGGAAGGATCCATATGAGGTGTTGTAGGCATTTGTCATGGGTTGAATTGTGTCCTGCTAAAAAGATATGTCAATTCCTAACCCCCAGTGCCTCAGAATGGGACCTTATATTTACAGAACTAATCAAGTTAAAACGTTATCACTAGGGTGGGCCCTGATCCAGTATGACTGCTGTTTTGATAAAAATGAGAAAGTTGGACACAGACAGACATGCAAAGAGAGAAGACTGTGTGAAGAGAGACAGGAGAAGTCCACGTGACGATGAAGGGCGAGATTGGGGTGACAAATCTCTGAGCTGTGGAGAGCCAAAGACTCTCAACAACCACCGGAAGCTGGGAGAGGCATGGAACAGATTCTCCCTCTGAGCCTCAGAAGGAACCAACCCTGCCAACATCTTGATCCTGGACTTCCAGCCTCCAGAACTGTGAGGCATAAGTTTCTGTTGCTTACACCCCTAGCGTGTGGTGCTTTATGTCAGCTCTAGGATCTAATACAGTGTTCAATATTTTGACCTGGGTGCTAGCAATATGGAAATGTATATATGTATAGTGCATATGTAAAAATTTATTGACCCATTCAATTAAGATACGTGTACTTCTCTACATGCATGCTACAATATCATTTTAAATATTAAGCTTCATGTGTGTGCTCTGTTTTCTTCCCTATAGGATATAATGGGTGGCACTGAAATCATTTCTACAAATTCATAGCAGGTTGTGATCTTCAATTTTTAAAATCATCCCAACATTTTCTTTTCATAGCCCTGTTAGTAATACTCTCTAGATTTAAACCATCTGTACCTTGATGCTTATGACTGTAACTTATTACTCGTAATTGCTTTTCTGAACAGAACTTTAAAAAAGTTTGTTTTGGCCACTCAGGGAGGTGAAAACACACGTGAGAAGGCCAGGGAATTGATTTAGAAGGAATAAATCTAACAAAAGAGAAGTAACACTTCTGGGGCCTTATCACACTCATTCTCTTCACAGTAGTGAAGTGGAAAGGCACTTCATCAATAGTCTAATTTACAAAGTCAAGGTCTGATATTGTTTGATTTTTTTTTAATAATTAAAAACTTGCTTTCAGAAGCACATTATGCCGTGAGGAATTAGATATTTAGAAAATACAGTCTTTTGCAACCGGCTTTCTTTCTTTTTCTAAGTCTTATCTGTCTAGCAATATGATAGTGTGAAACCATTGTCTAATTCATGTTTAAAGGAGCTGGTTATTTCCTTAAGATTAGCAAATTCATTTAAAGTTATTGGATTTTGTTTTTCATTTATGCAAATGAAATATGATCTTAAGCAGAAATAAGTACAATTGAAATTA
Organism: Homo sapiens; assembly: GCF_000001405.40. Lineage (NCBI taxonomy): Eukaryota > Metazoa > Chordata > Mammalia > Primates > Hominidae > Homo > Homo sapiens. Next base: position 186,393,436 of record NC_000004.12, on the reverse strand, counting down.
ACATGATTACAATAGGGTAACATAAGAAAGAAAATTTCTCTATTAATTTTTTTTCATAATCATCAGGCCAGGTTTAAGTAATTTTTCCACCAAAAAGTTCCTCACAATTTATCCAAAAAGATGAATTAGTGGCAGTCAATTTGAAGTTTTTATTTTAAATTAAATATGACAATTGTGATGGGGAAGTTTCTGAAGTTTCTTCCTGATTCTTTTAATGTGTTGAATTTCTTGACCACTGTATTTTAATATTTTCAATCCACTAATTTTTTTATTCCCCACAATTGTGAATATGTCATGTGCCCACAGCTCAACCCTTAGGGGGGGTTCTTCTTTTTCTGCTGAGCATAATGATAAACTCACAGTAAGAAACTGTATATAACGTTCAGATCTTCACATGGTCTATCATAGGAGCCTGGTGAAAAGGGACATATATTCCAATTATCAGCTAAATAAGAATGCAACCACTGTGGGCTACTGAGAGTTTCCCTCTTAGATTAGTAGTTTAGCCATTCTTTATAGAAGTCCAGTTCCCTCGGCAAATTACTAGAATGGCACTGCAGTGATGTGAATATAAGGAAGGTTCCATCCACTCTTGTAGGCAATGGCATAGATAGACAATTTTTTTTTTTTTTTTTTTTTTTTTTTTTTTTTTTTGCCTTGATAAGCCTCTGGGTTTCTGGATTATAAGCAAAATGGAGTTTAGAAGTTGCTGAGAAGGGGGAGCTCCCAGGAACCCTCTGGGATTTCTCTTCCAGTTTTCCTTTGGGGTTCCAATGATTAGATCATGGCTGATGGTTATGGGGAGAGGCTGTTTCTGGCACAGTGGCCTGCCGAGGCTGGATCCCTCCTCAACTCACCATCCTGGCTTCGCAGGCAGGTCTTCACAGCGATAGCACAGGCCTGCTTTGATGTGGAGCATCCGAGGTGAGTAAAATATTGGGGAGTGAAGCCTCCTTTAAGGTTTGGGTTGCTATCATTTGCTCCAGCTCTCATAAAGTATAGGGCCTTGCCACAAACGCTTGAGCTTTGTGCTTGGGACAGTGACAACCCAGGAGATGTTTCAAACTGCCAGTCATGACGTTTCTCCCAGAACAGCTTCGCTGCTCTCTTTTCCGCACTCTGATTAAAAGCCTCAGGGCAAGGCAGGCCTGGACAAATAACCCACACCACTAGCCTGCTTCAAGCACACAGGCCCTTCTCGGGCAAATCACAGCATCGCTGCACATTCCGGACGATCCTCCTATTGCCCTTGGAGGCCAGTACCTGCTCTTGCTGACCTGCTCTCCATGCCGCAGCTGCAGCTGTGTTGTCCGGGTCACTTCCAAGATGCTGCTGCTGCTGCTGCTGCTGCAGGACAGGGCTGCAGAGGCTCCCCTTTCTTCTGCAGCCTCTTCTGAGTTCGGGCCCTGAGCCCATTGCTTTGATCCCGCCACAAAGGCCACACTTCTGCTAGGCTCATTTCCAAGCTTGCATGCTGCCAGCATGGCGGGGTTGAGTCCAGTTCCTCAACAGCCACGATCGCTGCTGTCTGAAGTCTGGCGACTCCCGCAGAGTCACTGTCACACTTGTTTTTCCACTGGGTTGAAGACACTTCTGGGCCACACAGGACTTCCTTGTAATTGGCCTTTTGTTTCTCCACTCCCAGCCCTTCTTTATAAGACTTGCTTGTATATCTGAACCCCAATCTTGTACCTACCACGAATTCTTTTCTCAGAAGCCTTCTGAACCCTTATAAAAATAAATGGATTTAAGCACCAGGATGGGAGTGATCAGGTCATTTTAGCAGGAAGACATAGCTGAACCCCAGCTCCCACTCATGGTGCTCCAGGAGTTTTTGTTTTTTAGATTAGAATAGCCAACCACATAATTTTCATTCACAAAACAAAGTGCACGTACTGCAGGGTTCTTGAAGTGATCAGAATCACAAACAAAAATGTCATAACCGGGACCACATTAGACATGGATCTGTTTCTTTAGACTGAAGTTGTATTTTAATGGAATCATCTTTTTAAAGATAAAGTGATACTTCATTGATTTGTTTAATCACATGCTCTGTTTTGAAACAATGAGGATGACAGCAAGTAATGTTCTACACTGCATTCATTCCCTCTCTAATAAGTTACACTGTTTCATTCTTTGACATAATAGAAAATAACAGGATAGATTAGTGCATGTATTTGTTACTGCCCTTAAGATAAAACTGAAAAGTCCTTAGTGTAGCTTGTAAGGGTCTGGCCTCAGCTCATCTTTCCAGCTTGATTTTCTACCTCTTTCTCTTTGCTGTATGTACTAAACGGGATTCCATTCAGCTCTCTAAACACTCCACGATTTCCTTAACTCCTAGCTTTTGGTTTATGCTCTTTCCTTTGCCTGGAATGTTCTTATCCATCTCCATCTTCACCTGACAAAGTCTTACTTATTCTAGTCTTAGCTGAAATGTCACCTCATCAAAAGGCCACCCATCGACCTGCAAGCCAGCAGCTGCAGCCAGGTTAAATTCCCCCCTAACAGGCTTCTCAGAGCAGCATTGAACTTGATCACTGCCATGTGATCAGCACTTACCATAGTCTCTGGCATGTGGTAGGTGCTCAGTAAGTAATTTCATGTAAGATTACATTTCATGTAATCAAAGTTTCTATAGCATAGTAGAAATATGGTTCCTTATTGCTAAAAAATGAAAAATGTTTATTAACCTATTTCAATTATATAGCACAAATAATCTTTGATCCCAAATGTCTCTGTCAATCAAAAATCTTATGGTTGAAAAAATATGCCTGTGATGTTTAATTTTATGTATAACTTGGCAAGGCTCAAGTGCCCACTTTGGTCAAACATCATTATAGATGTTGCTGTGAAGGTATTTTGTGAATGGGATTAACATTTACAATAAGTTGACTTGGTAAAAAGTGAAACAGGTTGCCCTCAATAATGTAGGTGGGCCTACTCTAATAAGCTGAAGACCCTAAGAGCAAAAACTGAAATTTCTGGGAGTAGAAGGAATTCTACCTCAAGATAGTAACATAGAAATCCTGCCTGAGTTTGCAGCTGGTCCGGCCTACCCTGCAGATCTCAGACACGAGACTGCAGCATCAACGCTTGCCTGTGTTTCCTGCTTTCCAGATGCCTAGCCACATAAACACACAAGGGTTAAATCCGAGTGAAGATTTACCCAAAATTATTTTTATTTTAATTATTTATTTTATAGTATTGTTATTATGTTTTTAGACACAGGATTTTGCTGTGTTGCCCAGGCTGGACTCCAAATCCTTCTTCAGCCTCTGGAGTAGCTGGGACTACAGCCATGTGCCACCATGCCTGGCCTCATAATTTTATTTTTTGAAAACTTTTATTTTAGAAAAAGGAGGAACATGGGCAGGTTTGTTACAAAGGTATCTTGCATTATGCTGAGGTTTGGGGTATGACTGAATCCATCACCCAGGTAGTGGACATCGTCCCCAGTAGGTAGTTTAGCCCTTACTCGCCTCCAGCCCCAGTAGCCTCCAGTGTCAATTGTTGCCATCCTTGTGTCCGTGTGGATTCAGTGTTTAGCTCCCACCTGTAAGTGGGAACATGCGGTATTTGCTTTCTGTTCCTGAGTTAGTTTGCTTAGGATAATGGCCTCCAGCTGCATCCATGATGCTGCAAAGGACATGATTTCCTCATTGTTATGGCTGCACAGCATTCTATGGTGGATATGCTCCACATTTTCCTTATCCAGTCCACTGTCGATAGGCACATAGGTTGATTTCGTGTTTTTGCCATTGTGAATAGCACTGTGATGAACACACATGTGTCCTTATGGTAGAATGATTGATTTTTCTTTGCATATACCCAGGAATGAGATGGCCAGGTCAAATGGTAGTTCAGCTGTTAGTTCTTTGAGAAATCTCCAAACTGCTCTCTACCAGTGGCTGGACTAATTTACACTCCCACCAACAGTGTATAAATGTATCCTTTTTTCTGCAGCCTTGCCAACGTCTGTTATTTTTTGAGTTTTTAACAAAAGCCATTCTGACTGGTGTGAGATGGTGTCTTACTGTGGTTTTGATTTGCATTTTTCTGATGATCAGTGATGTTCAGCATTTTTTCATGTTTGTTGGCTGCTTGTATGTCTTCTTTTGAGAAGTGTCTGTTCATGTCCTTTGCCCACTTTTTAATGGGGTTATTTGTTTTTTTTGGTTGTTGATTTACATTCCTTATAGATTTGGGATATTTGACCTTTGTCACATGCATAGTTTGCGAATATTTTCTCCCACAGGTTGTCTGTTTAATCACTTGATAGTTTCTCTTGCTATGCAGAAGCTCTTTAGTGTAATTAAGTCCCGATTATCAATTTTTGTTTTTGTTGGGATAGGTCTTCAAGGCTTAGCCATAAATTATTTGCCAAGGCCGATTTCAAGAAGGGTTTTTCCTGGATTTTTTTCTAGGATTTTTATAGCTTGAGGTCTAACATTTAAGTCTCTATTCCATCTTGAGTTAATGTTTCTATGTGCTGATAGGTAGGGCTCCAGTTTCAATCTTTTGCATATGGCTAGCCAGCTACCCCAACACTATTTATTGAATAGAGAGTCTTTTCCCCATTGCTTATTTTTGTCAAGTTTGTCAAAGATCAGACGGTTGTAGGTGTTTGGCTTTATTTCTGGATTCTCTGCTCTGTTCCAATGATCTACATGTCTTTTTTGTACTAGTATCACGCTTTTTTGGTTGCTGTAGGCTTGTAGTCTATTTTGAAGCTGGGTAATAAGATGTTTCTGGCTTTGTTCTTTTTGCTTAGGATCGCTTGTTTATTTGGGCTCTTTTTGGTTCCATATGAATTTTAGAATAGTTTTTTCTAATTCTGTGAAAAAATGATGTTGGTAGTTTGTTAGGAATAGTGTTTAATCTGTACATTGCTTTGGGCAGGATGGCCATTTTAATGATATTAATGATTCCAATCCATGAGCATGGAATATTTTTTCATTTGTGTCATCTCTGATTTTTTTCAGCAGTGTTTTGTAGTTCTCCTTGTACAGCTCTTTCACCTCCTTGGTTAGCTGTATCCCTAGGTATTTAATTTTTTATGCTACTATTGTAAATTGGATTGTGTTTTTCATTTGGCTCCCAGCTTGAATGTTATTGGTGAATAGAAATACTACTGATTTTTGCACACTGATTTTGTATCCTGAAACTTTACTGAAGTTGCTGATTGTTCCAGGAGCCTTTTGGCAGAGTATTTAGGATTTTCCAGGTATAGAATCATATCATCAGCAAAGAGAAATAGTTTGATTTCTTCCTTTCTGATGCCCTTCATTTCTTTCTCTTGCCTGATTGCTCTTGCTAGGACTTCCAGTACTGTGCCGAATAGGACTGGTGAGAGCAGGCATCCTTGTCTTGTTCTGGTTCTCAAGGGAAATGCTTCCAGCTTTTGCCCACTCAGTATGATGTTGGCTGTGGTTTTGTCACAGATGGTGCTTATTATTTTGAGGTACGTTCCTTCAATGCCTAGTCTGTTGAGGGTTTTTATCATGAAGGGATGTTGGATTTTATCAAAAGCTTTTTCTGCATCTATTGAGATGATTATATAGTTTTTGGTTTTACTTTTACTTCCTCCATGATTCTTTTAAAATAATAGCATCAGCCTAATCATATATCAATGTTATATATTTTGCTAAAATCATAGAAAGTGCAAGTAAATATATACCCTTTACTTTTATGATCTATTTATTTATATATATATATATATGGCTAAATATATATAGATAAAGAGGCAGATATATATATATATGCAGATATAGATATATACACTACACATACTTAAATATAAAGATCTCCTTTCTTTTTTTATATTTTTCCATAAGTTATTGGGGTACAGGTGGTATTTGGTTACATGGGTAAGTTCTTTAGTGATGATTTGTGAGATCCTGGTGCACCCATCACCTCAGCAGTATACACTGCACCATATTTGTAGGCTTTTATCCCTTACCCCCCTCCCTCTCTTCCCCCCAAGTCCCCAAAGTCCATTGTATCATTTTTATGCCTTTGCATCCTCATATCTTAGCTCCCACATATCAGTGAGAACACACAATGTTTGGTTTTCCATTCCTGAGTTACATCACTTAGAATAATAGTCTCCAATCTCATCCAGGTCACTGCAAATGCTGTTAATTCATTCCCTTTTATGGCTGCATAGTATTCCATCATATATATATATATACACATATATATATCTATCTCACAGTTTCTTTATCCAGTCATTGATCAATGGGCATTTGGGTTGGTTTCACGATTTTGCGATTGTGAATTGTGCCACTATAAACATGCATGTGCAAGTATCTTTTTCGTATAATGACTTCTTTTCCTTTGGGTAGATACCCAGTAGTGGAATTGCTGGATCCAATGGTAGTTCTACTTTTAGTTCTTTAAGGAATCTCCACACTGTTTTCCATAGTGGCTGTTTGCATTCCCACCAGCAGTGTAGAAGTGTTCCCTGTTAACTGCATCCACATCAACATCTACTGTTTTTTTATTTTTTGATTATGGCCATTCTTGCAGGAGTAAGGTGGTATCACATTGTGGTTTTGATTCGCATTTCCCTGATTATTAGTTGTTGAGCATTTTTTCCTATGTTCGTTGGCCATTCGTATATCTTCTTTTGAGAATTGTCTATTCATGTCCTTAGCCCACTTTTTGATGAGATTGTTTGTTTGTTTCTTACTGATTTGTTTGAGTTCATTGTAGATTCTGGATATTAGTTCTTTGTCAGATGTATAGACTATGAAGATTTTCTCCCACTCTGTGGGTTGTCTGTTTACTCTGCTGACTGTTCCTTTTGCCATACAAAAGCACCTTAGTTTAATTAGGTTCCAGCTATTTATCTTTGTTTTTATTGCATTTGCTTTTGGGTTCTTGGTCATGAAATCCTTGCCTAGGCCAACGTCTAGAAGGGTTTTTCCAATGTTATCTTCTAGAATTTTTACAGTTTCAGGTCTTAGGTTTAAGTCCTTAATCCATAATCCATCTTGAGTTGATTTTAGTGTAAAGTGAGAGATGAGGATCCAGTTTCTTTCTCCTACATGTGGCTAGCCAATTATGCCAGCACCATTTTTTGAAAAGGGTGTCCTTTCCCACTTTACGTTTTTGTTTGCTTTGTCAAAGATCAGTTGGCTGTAAGTATTTCAGTTTATTTCTGGGTTCTCTATTCTGTTCCATTAGTGTATGTGCCTATTTTTATACCACTACCATGCTGTTTTGTTGACTATGGCCTTATAGTATAGTTTGAAATCAGGTAGTGTGATGCCTCCAGATTTATTCTTTTTGCTTAGTCTTGCTTTGGCTATGTGGGCTCTTTTATGGTTCCATATGAATTTTGGAATTGTTTTTTCTAATTCTGTGAAGAATGATGGTGGTATTTGATGGGGGTTGCATTGAATTTGTAGGTTGCTTTTGGCAGTATGGTCATTTTCACAATATTGATTCTACCCATCCATGAACATGGGATGTGTTTCCATTTGTTTGTGTCATCTATGATTTCTTTCAGCAGTGTTTTGTAGTTTTCCTTGTAGATGTCTTTCAACTCCTTGGTTAGGTATATTCCTAAGTATTTTAACTTTTTTGCAGCTATTGTAAAAGGGGTTGAGTTCTTGATTTGATTCTCCACTTGGTCGCTGTTGGTGTATAGAAGAGCTACTGATTTGTGTACATTAATCTCCTATCTGGAAACTTTGCTGAATTCTTTTATCAGTTCTAGGAGCTTTCTGGAGGAGCCTTGAGGGTTTTTGAGGTCAATGATAAAGTCGTCAGCAAACAGTGACAGTTTGACTTCCTCTTTACCGATTTAGATGCCCTTTATTTCTTTCTCTTGTCTGACTGCTCTGGATAGGACTTCCAATACTGTGAGGAAGAGGAGTGGTGAGAGTGGGCATCCTTGTCTTGTTCCAGTTCTCAAAGGGAATGCTTTCAACTTTTCCCCATTCAGTATTATGTTGGCTGTGGGTTTGTTATAGATGGCTTCTATTACATTAAGGTATGTTCCTTGTATGCTGATTTTACTGAGAGTTTTTATCATAAATGTATGTTGGATTTTGTCAAATGCTTTTTTCTGCCTCTGTTGAGATGATTATGTGATTTTTGTTTTTAATTCTGTTTATGTAGTGTATCACATTTATTGACTTGTATATGTTAAACCATCCCTGCATCCCTGATATGAAACCTACCTGACCATGGTGGATTATTTTTTTTGATATGTTGTTGGATTTGGTTAGCTAGTATTTTGTTAAGGATTTTAGCATCTATGTTCATCAAAAATATTGGTCTGTAGTTTTCATTTTTGGTTATGTCCTTTCCTGGTTTTGCTATTAGGGTGATGCTGGTTTCATAGAATGAATTAGGGAGGGTTCCTTCTTTCTCTATCTCGTGGAATAGTGTCAAAAGGATTGGTATCAATTCTTCTTTGAATGTCTGGTAGAATTCTGCTGTGACTCTGGTCCTGGACCTTCTTCGTTGGTAATTTGTAAATTACCATTTCAATCTCACTGTTTGTTATTGATCTGTTTAGGTATCTAATATTCCTGATTTTAAGCTAGGAGGGTTGTATTCTTTTCCAGGAATTTATCCATCTCTTCTAGGTTTTCCAGTTTATGTATGTAAAGGTGTTCATAGTAGCCTTGAATGATCTTTTGTATTTCAGTGGTGTCAGTTGTAATATCTCCTGTTTCGTTTCTTAGTGAGGTTATTTAGATTTTTTCTCTTCTTTTCTTGGTTAATCTTTCTAAAGGTCTATCAATTTTATTTATCTTTTCAAAGAACCAGCTTCTTGTTTCATTTATCTTTTGTATTGTTTGTTGTTTGTTTCAGTTTCATTTAGTTCTGCTCTGATCTTGGTTACTTCCTTCCTTCTGCTGTGTTTGGGTTTAGCTTGCTCTTGTTTCTCTAGTTCCTTGAGGTGTGACCTGAGAGTGTCAGTTTGTGCTCTTTCAGTCTTTTTGATGTAGGTGTTTAGGGCTATGAACTTTCCTCTTAGCACCACCTTTGCTGTATGCCAAAGGTTTTGATAAGTTGTGTCATTGTTGTTTGGTTCAAACGATTTTTTAATTTCCATGTCAATTTCATTTTTGATCCAATGCTCATTCAGGAGCAGGTTATTTAATTTTCAGGTATTTGCATGGTTTTGAAGGTTCCTATTAGAGTTGATTTCCAGTTTTATTCCACTGTGGTCTGAGAGAGTGTTTGATATAATTTCAATTTTCTTAAATTTATTTTGGCTCGTTTTGTGGCCTATCATGTGGTCTATCTTGGAGAAAGTTCCATGTGCTGTTAAATAGAATGCGTATTCTGTGGTTGTTGGATGAAATGTTCTGTATATATATGTCAAGTCCATTTGTTCCAAGGTATAGTTTAAATCCCTTGTTTCTTTGTTAACATTCTGTCTTGATGACCTGTCTAGTGCTGTCAGTGGAGTACTGAAGTTCCCCACTACTATTGTGTTGCTGTCTATCTCATTCTTAGGTCTAGTAGTAATTATTTTATAAATTTGGGAGCTCCAGCATTAGGTGCATATATGTGTAGGATTGTGATCTTTTTCTTTTGGACGAGACCTTTTATCATTATATAATGTCCCTCTTTGTCTCTTTTAACTGCTGTTGCTTTAATGTTTGTTTTGTCTGATATAAGAATAGCCACCCCTGCTCGTCTTTGGTGTCCATTTGCATAAAATGCCTTTTCCCACCCCTTTACTTCAAGTGTATGTGAGTCCTTATGTGTTAGGTGAGTCTCCTGAAAGCAGCAGCTAGTTGGTTGGTTAGTTCTTACGCATTCTGCGGTTCTGTATGTTTTAAGTGGAGCATTTAGGCCATTTACATGCAATGTTAGTATTGAAATGTGAAGTACCATTGCATTCATCATGCTCTTTGTTGCCTGTGTACTTAGGGTTTTTTTGTTTTTGTTTTTTAACTTTTATTTTTGTTTTATAGGTCCTGTGTGATGTATGCTTTAAAGAGGTTCATTTTGATGTGTTTCCAGGATTTGTTTCAAGATTTAGAGCTCCTTTTAGCAGTTCTTGTAGTGGTGGCTTGGTAATGGTGAATTTTCTCAGCATTTGTTTGTCTGAAAAAGACTGTTTCTTTCCTTCATATATGATGCTTAGTTTCGCTGGATACAAAATTCTTGGCTATTAATTGCTTTGTTTGAGGAGGCCGAAGATAGGGCCCCAGACCCTTCTAGCTTGTAGGATCTCTGCTGAGAAATCTGATAGGTTTTCCTTTATAGGTTACCTGGTGCTTCTGTCTCACAGCTCCTAAGAATCTTTCCTTCATCTTAACTTTGGATAACCTGATGACGATGCGCCTAGGCAAAGATCTTTTTGCGATGAATTACCCAGGTGTTCTTTGTGCTTCTTGGATTTGGATGTCTAGGTGTATAGCAAGGCTGGGGAAGTTTTCCTCGACTCTTCCTCCAAATATGTTTTGCAAGCTTTTAGAATTTTTTTCCTCAGGAACAGAGATTATTCTTAGATTTGGTTGTTTAACATAATCCCAGACTTCTTGGAGGCTTTGTTCATATTTTCTTATTCTTTTTTTCTTTGTCTTTGTTGGATTGGGTTAATTCAAAGACCTTGTCTTTGAACTCTGAATTTCTTTCTTCTACTTGTTCAATTCTATTGCTGAGACTTTCCAGAGCATTTCACATTTCTAAAAGTGTGTCCAAAGTTTCTTGAATTTTTGATTTAGTTTTTTCTTTAAGCCATCTATTTCCTTGAATATTTCTCCCTTCACTTCTTGTGTCATATTTTTGATTTCCTTGCGTTGGGCTTTGCCTGTCTCTGGTCCCTCCCTGATTCGGTTAATAACTAACCTTTTGAATGCTTTTTCAGGTAAATTAGGGATTTCTTCTTGGTTTGGATCTATTGCTGGTGAACTGGTGTGATTTTGGGAGTGTTGAAGAGCCTTGTTTTGTCAAATTACCAGAATTGGTTTTCTGGTTCCTTCTCATTTGGCTGTTGTTCAGATTCTTTTGTCCCACGAGGTTTTCCTTTGATGTAATACTCTCCCCCTTTTCCTATGGATCTGGCTTCCTGTGAGCCAAACTGCAGTGATTGTTGTCTCTCTTCTGGGTCTAGCCGCCCAGTGAGTCTACCCGGCTCTAGGCTGGTACTGGGGGTTGTCTGCACAGAGTCCTGTGATGTGAACCGTCTATGGGTCTCTCAGCCATGGATGCCAGCACCTGTTCTGGTGGAGGTGGCGATGGGAGGCAGGGAGAGTGCAATGGACTCTGTGAGGGTTTAGCGCTCTATTTTTGTGCTGTTTGGCCTCCTGCCGGGAAGTGGCACTTTCCAGAGAGCATCAGCTGTGGTGGTGTGGCGAGGAACCGGCGGTGGGCGGGGCCCTAGAACTCCAAGATGATATGCCCTTTGTCTTCTGCTACCAGGGTGGGTAGGGAAGGACCCTCAGGTGAGGGTGGGGTAGGCACCTCTGAGCTCAGGCTCTCCTTGGGCGGTCCTTGCTGCGGCTGCTGTGGGGGCTGGGGGTGAGATTCCCAGGTCACTGGAGTTATGTACCTGGGAGGATTATGTCTGCCTCTGCTGAGTCATGCAGGTTGTCAGGGAAGTGGGGGAAAGCCGGCAGTCACAGGGCTCGCCCAGCTCCCACCCAAACCAAAGGGCCGGTCTCACTCCCACCGTGCACCCCCCAACAGCCCCCAGTCCGTTTCCAGGCGGAGAGGGATACAGGCCTGAAAACCTGCCCCAGGCTACCCGCCTCCCAGCTGCGAGAGAAAAAGGCTTGGTTCTTCCCCCGCCTGTGGAGTCTGCACCCCGGATTCGTGCCCTGCCCTAGTTCTGGCCAGGAGGATTCTCACCCAGTTCAAATTGTTACAACGCTCAGCTAGAGATTTCCTTCTCCCTGTGGAGTTTTACCCCCTCCTCTCCCGATGGATCCCTGTGGTGCCAGCAGGAATGGGCTGCTCGGGGACCCAGCGAGCTCCGCGGGCCTTTCCGCTGCTTCCTCTACCCCTGTACCTCACTGGGCTCCCCAGACGGACTCAGCTCCAGGTAAAGTTGGAAATTCTCCCGCAAACAGACCTTCAGCTTCCCCAGTGGGGGTGTGTGTTTGGGAGAGGAGGGTCTCCCTCTCCCACTTCTGCAGTTGGGGCACTCACACTTTTGCGGGGGTCTCCCGGGTCCTGCAGGAGCAGCCCACTTCCTTCAGAGGGTCTGCGGGTCCTCTCGGGACTGCTGGTTTCTTCCTGCAGTCCATCTGGAGCTAAAAGTCACAATGCGAGCCCCGCACGCTGCCCTGAGGGAGCTGCAATGTAGTCCTGCCTCCCGTCCGCCATGATGATCTGTCTCTTAAAAGTCTCCTTTCTATGATCTTTTCGGGTAATACATATCATTGGCCAAAGGAGAGTGTATTAGTTAACTCAGTTATGGTGATGTATTTCGGGAATCTGGAAATATATTTTAAATTATACCTCTTTGTACCCAATAAACAATAAATTTGAAAGCTTTTCTGTGCTGTTTTAATGTCTTCTTATTGCTATATTTCTCCTTGATATGTAAGATGTTTGTGCGTACATGGCAAAAATTATAGTCTTCATTCATGTTAACAAATTTTGCTTGAATTACCACCCTAGAAAACGCATAAAAACAACTTATTAGCATATGGTGTATAGAATTTCTTAAAACTGTCATTAATATTTTCTTTACTACCTTTAAAATTCAATGGTTCTCAGTGTAACACCACTATATTTCAGTCCTGTTATCTACTTTTTTTTTCCTGAGGTTATAAAAAGAATCTGACAACTACAAAATGAACTCTGCTTTTGTTCATACACAGCACAGCACGGGGTCCGACAAGTTCTACCTTGAATCAATTATTCTGTGACAAATATCACCTGAGGATTTCCAGATTGCTGCTATTATTGTGAACTTATAAGCTTTTTATTATGAAAAATAGCATTTTCAATTTTCATATTGAATAATCATTTCGAATATGTGTAAATTTGACTTCATAGTGTACCAACACCTGTGTTTCCATCACCCAGGTTCCAAAATCATCAGTTGAAGATGATCCTGCTTCATCTACATCCCACCAGTTCCTGGCCCCCATAGTAAGCAAGCCGTGGACATTATGTAGTTTTATCCTGAAAATTTTTAGGATATCTCGAGAAGCTAAGAACTCTAAATAAAACAACCACCAAATGACTATCTCATATAAAAATTTAGCAATTTCTTAACTTATAAAATATCATGTGCATATTAAAATTTTCTGTCATCTTATAAATGTCATTTAAAAAATAATTTGTTCCAATCAGGATCCAATGTGTCTCCTGGTATGATTGGTTAAGACACAGCTAACATTGGACTTGGCGTGGTGGCTCATGCCTGTAATCCCAGCACTTTCGGGGGCTGAGGCTGGCAGATCGTGAGGTCAGGAGATTGAGACCATCCTGGCCAACACGGTGAAACCCCATCTCTACTAAAATACAAAAAATTAGCCAGGCGTGGTGTCACGCGCCTGTAGTCCTAGCTGCTTGGGAGGCTGAGGCAGGGGAATTGCTTGAACCTGGGAGGTGGAGGCTGCAGTGAGCCAAGATCTTGCCACTGCACTCCAGTCTGGTGACAGAGCGAGACTCCGTCTAAAAAAAAAAAAAAAAAAAAAGACTTGGTTTACATTTATTTTGCTCTCTAGATTCTCATCCATCTTCTTTTTCTCTTACAATTTATTTATTGAAGAAAATGGATTATCTTTTCTATAGAACTTTTGACAATCACAGTGTGGATTTTCCAGATTACATCCTGGTCTGCTTTACAATGTCTTCCTCCATCTTCGGTATTTTTTAAATAAATTGGTAGTTGAATATAAAGGCTTGATATGATTTTGCTTGATTGGTTTATTTAATTTTGGGAGGACAAGACTATTTCTGAAGTTATGTATTTCTCATCAGGAATCATGTATTTCTGGTTATCTTTTTTAAAATTGTGTCAGTAGCCATCTAAATATCAGTGTCATTCATTAATTCATGAGAAGTTGCTAAATTACTATATTCAATTTTATTGTTTGTTTTCATATATTCTTCTCATCTCGTATTTGGTTACTCCCTAAAATTGTTGGTAAAAAATGACATAATAAATGCTTGAATGTTTTCTTTTATTTATAAGTTTTCAAAATATTGAGTTTTGCATTCTCCAATTGTGACCAATGTGTGGTGTGTGTGTGTGCTGTGTGTGTGTGTGTTGCAGTCTGAAGAAAGGGTGCTTGTAAGAAAGCTAAATATCACTTGGAAAAAGCTGATTGGCTTTACCTTGGCAAATTCAACCCAGACCAGGTTTGGGTTTTCCAGAATGCAGGATCGAGAACCTGATCTGACAGCACAGAGATCAGAGCTGTACTCAGTGGATATAATCACCTCATAGAATTGAGATATGAAAATCAGAAAGGTGGTTCCTTCCACTCCAATGAGAAGTACAACCCCCAGGTCAACAGGGGACTTGTGATCACTGATCAATGTTTTCTTTCCCTGGAGAAAAAGATACAGTGGAGCTCTTAGTTATTATGTGAATTTTCTTAGCGGAGCACAGGAGCTGGTTTGTTAGGTGGGTCTTCGGCTGGCACCACGGCACCGCAACAGTTTTCGACATCTGTCGCCAGTCTAGAAATAAACCTGCGAATGGCCTTGTTTTATTGGAGCAGGGCAGATGTTCTGGCTGTTATTTACACATGCGCTCCCTTGATTGACACATTTTTTTCTTTCAACTTACGCTGAAGTCTTGGCTTTACAGATTCATTTTATTTCTTTTCAACAGTGATTTTGTATATCTGTACTGGGAGCTGGAGGGAGAGTGAAATACGTAACCCTGAGAGTGAAAGTTAGAAAAATCTACGTGAATCACAGAGGCATTTGCCAAGATCGGCTCAGAGAAAAGAACATCATGGTGGCTCACTCCTGTAATCCCAGTGCTTTGGGAGGCTGAGGCTGGAGGATTGCTTGAGGCCAGGAGTTCGAGACCAGCTTGACAACATAGCAAGACTCCGTCTCTACACAAATGGCTATAGCCCCAGCTACTTGGAAGGCCGAGGTGGGAGAATCGCTTGAGCCCAGGAGGTTGAGGTTGCAGTGAGCCATAACTGCACCACCGCACTCCAGCCTGAGCAGCAGAGTGAGACTCTGTCTCAAAAAATAAATAAAAATTAAAAAAAGGACATCAGGTTCAGCAAAGCCTAAAGGGAACATACGAGGAGGGAAGAGTTTGTTGGCCTTAGCATAGGTCGAGGGTTCTGTGGGAGGTCTAGTTCTGGCACAGCCTGCGCTGAGACAGGAAGCTCTCTCAGATGCTGCCATAAACACTATGTATGAGGAACAAATGCTGGGCATGTGAGCACATGAGCCCTGACTTTGAAGCCAACCATGGGGCATGACTGCAATGCTGGGGGGAGCCAGGCCAGCAAGGACCAGGGAAATGGAGATGTGTCCATCTGACGCTAAGGCGGTTCTCTTAACAATTAAAGCAACCAAGTAACTGTGCAATTACAGGAATAGAAAACCAAATGCTGCATATTCTCATTTATAAGGGGGAACTAAATGATGAGAACACATGGACACAGAGGGGAACAACACACATTGGGGCCTTTTGGAGGGTGGAGGGAGGGAGGAGGGAGAGGATCATGAAAAATAACTAATGGGTACTAGGCTTAATACCTGGGTGATGAAATAATCTGTACAACAAACCCCCATGACACAAGTTTACCTGTGTAACAAACCTGCACGTGTATCCCTGAACTGGAAATAAAAGTTAAAAAAAGTAACTGTGCAATTAGACAAATCAGATTTATCTGTTTTTCTCTCTGTCTAGCATTGAAACTCAGCATTGATATTTTAGGCCTAAATAACCCTTAGGGGCTATTGAACAATTTGTGTGGTTAAGAGTAAGGCTTCGGAGAGGAAGAGCATATGTGTGCGTGTGTGTGTGTGTGTGTGTGTGTGTGTGTGTGTGTGTATGTAGTATTTGGGAGCTGGAATCAGAAACAAGCAAAAATAAGTTTTCTCTGCATTTGTGCTGTAAACTGGTAATATGAACTCATATTACTGGTTATAATCTCCGTCACTCTTAACCTCTTCCAAAGTCATTTTCTGAGACTACCTGTGTGTATGTTACCCCACCGAGAGTTAGAAACATGGAAGCTTATAGGGTAGAACCTGTTCTAGGACACACTGATGTACGTGGGAAGGGGGAGAATACTAATAAAACATAAACCACACAATAAATTATGAGGAAAATGGCAAACAAAAGGAGGAACGATGGCAACAAATACATATTTCACATGAGGACTGGAGGAAGTCAAAGAGGCCCTGAAGGCAGAGGTGGCCCAGGGTGGTCTGTGGAACTGAGCCAGGCTGTGGAGAAAGCACAGGAGCTGGCTGTTTGGCAATAAGGAGGCTCATTTAAAAACAGGCACAGTTTTCCTTTCTATCCCTGGTCGACATCATCCCAGACTGCTTCATGGATGAATTCTTATGAAACATTTAAGGAAGAAATAATTCAAATCATAAAAAAGCTTTTAGAAAACCCTAATACAAACCTCTGACAAGAGCTTCTGACAAGAACACACGCACCAGCATCCCTCATTAACATGAATGCAAAAATCTAGAACAAAATTTTGGTAAATTAAATCTAATGTTATAGAAAAATAATGTATCATCACAAAGTGAGGTTTATCCCGAAACTATTATGTTAAAGTTTGAAAAAAAATCAATATAATTTAAAGAAGAAAACTCAGATGATCATCTCAAGATTCAGAAAAAACATTTAACAAAATCCAACATTCATTCATGATGACAAAAAAAAGAGGGTATCTGTGCAAATCTTACAACTAACATTACACTTAATGGTAAAATACTGAACTCATTTCCCCCGAAATGAGAATCAAAGCGAATATGTCCCCTCTCACCACTTGCATTAATTATTCTACTAAATATCTAATCCAATGCAATAAGGAAAAAAAAGACAAAAATAAAAGAGAAGAAATATTGGAAATGAAGAAGTAAAACTATATTTGCAAATAACATGATTTTATATAGAAAACTCACAGAAATCTAAGAAAAAAATCTGCATTTATACTAAATTGGATAAGTTGAAATCAACATGACTTCAGGATATGAGGTATATATATATATATAAATTTTCTGTATTTCTATATACAGACAAATTTATAGAGATCAGTTCCAATAAAATAAATATCAAAAAATAGAAAACAAGAAAGACCTAAGTACGTGGAGAGATATATAATCCTCATAGTTGTAAAGTCATTAATTTTTCCCAATTCGTCCATAAATGCAATTGAATTTCAAAGTTGCAGCAAGGTTAGAATTTTTTTTGAGGGGGAGTATATATTGATAAGTTGATTCTGACATATATATGGAATGTAAAGGACTCAGAATAGGCAAAACAATTTCAAAAAGAATAACAAAATTGGATAGCATACTCCACCTGACTTTAAAGCACATTATAGAGCTGTCATGAGATGTGAAATCAACATGTGGATAGACAGACTGATCAACAGAGCAGAATGGAGATTTCAGATATAGCTCCACAATACATGGTCAATCAACTTTCAAAAAAATGCAACAAAATAATTTATTTTTTAATTTTTATTTTTCGAGACAGAGTCTCACTCTATTACCTAGGCTGGAGTGTGGTGGCATGATCGTGGCTCACTGCAGCCTCAACCTCCCTGGCTCAGGTGATCCTCCCACCTCAGCCTCCTGAGTAGCTGGGACTACAGGTGCATGCCACCACACCCAGTTAATTTTGGTATTTTTTGTAGAGACAAGGTTTTGCCAAGTTGCCAGAACTGGTTTTGAACTTCTGAGCTAAAGTGATGCTCTTGCCTTTGCCTCCCAAAGTGCTGCAGTTTTATGTGCGAGCCGCTGTGCTCGGCTGCGACAAAATAATTCAATAAGTTGAGGAAAACTTTCAGCCGAAAGCACATAGTCAATTAAATATCTATATTAAAATGATTGAAAATTGGTCCATATATTATGCCATGTATAAAAATTTACTTGAAACATGTTACATTTTTAAATTGAAAAGCTGAAACTACAAAGCTCCTGGAAAAATACAGAATATCTTTGCAACCTGTGGTTATGCGAAGTTTTCCTAGAGAGAACTCAGAACAAATCATGAAAGAAAAAAACAACTACATTTAATCAAAATTAAAACTTCTTTCAAGGAACACACAATAAAAAAGCAAGCCACAAACTGAATATAATTATACATCAACAACAACAATAACAGCAAATTCCCGTAGGGAGAGAGCGGCAATGAGCTACAACAACAGCCCGCTTAAAACCCCAAGACTAACAACAGTTAATGCTGGAGAGAACGTACAGTTAACTCTCATTCTCTCTTGTTTGGGTGTCAACTGGTACAACCATTTTGCAAAACTATTCAGTACTGTCTAATAAAGCTGAATAAAAACTTTCCCTTTAAGCTAGCAATTTTACTCCTTGCTATATTCCCAAAAGAAATGCACAAATATGTGTACCTACATACGAGAATGTGTGCAGCAGCATTATTCATGGTTGCCAACATTGGAAACACCTGAAATGTCCATCAGCAGTTGAACAGCTCATTCATGTTTTGTGTGTTTATAAAATGAACCAACTTATAGCTTGAAAATGAATGAACCACTGCTACCCAAAACAGTATGCGGTGAGAGGAAAAGAATAAAGAGGAGTGAGAGGAAAAGCAGAGAGACGAGTGAGAGGAAAAGCATAGAGATGAGATGGGATATGCAGTCCGCTGTTTGCAGGGACTTGTCAGTTATGGAAAGGAGATTGAGGTTTTTGATCTCTCTGATGACAAAGGCATGAAAGATTTTAGGGAGGGATTGATTTAATATGATTTACATATTTTTAAAGAGTTTACTCTGGCTGCTCTGTGGAGAATGGGTTGGGTTGTGAGTTAAGTGAGGAAGCCAGGAGACTCATTAGGATGTTGCTGAAGAGATCAAAGAATAAGTGCCTGGAGCTAGAAGGTAGTGAAGCCTGTTAAAGATTGTTAAAAATGAATAGAAATAAACTATCCCCGAAAGCCAAAAAAATTGCCAGCATTTGCTTCTTGGTATATTTAATTCAGACTAATTATTTTTAAAAAGTTTTGGCCAGACGCAGTGGCTTACGCCTGTAATCCCAGCACTTTGGGAGGCCAAGGTAGGCGGATCACCTGAGGTTGGGAGTTCGAGACCAGCCTGACTAACATGGAGAAACTCCATCTCTACTAAAAATACAAAATTAGCCAGGCATGGTGGTGCATGCCTGTAATCCAAGCTACTCAGGAGGATGAGGCAGGAGAATCGCTTGAGCCCAGGAGGTGGAGGTTGCAGTGAGCCAAGATCACACCATTGCACTCCAGCCTGGGCCACAAGAGCAAAACTCCGTCTCAAAAAAAAAATTTGTTCTTCTCTTTTGCCATACAGATTCTGCTTATGTAAGAGCTAAGCAGAATTTAGACTCCTACATAGTTTTTAATTATGTAGGAAAAAAAATTTGTTCGTCTCAAAAAAAAAATTTGTTCTTCTCTTTTGCCGTACAGATTCTGCTTATATAAGAACTAAGCAGAATTTAGACTCCTTACATAATTTTTAATTATGTAAGGAGTCTAACGCATCGCACAGTCATTTAGAGCCAGCTGCCAAGCTAGGCAGTATTCCATCCTAACTCTGATGAGGCAGTGGTCTCCGGCTAGATGGGAAGCTGGCCCGCATAGAGCTTTGTTTCCCAAATTCATGAATCACTAGACTTTTATATATTATTTATGAGAGTTCTAAGGATACCATGTCTAGTTATTAGGTTACAGAGGCTTTCTGTTATTTTGGTGTTTATGCTTTAACAGAAACAGTCATGGCTGGCACCATGCTGTTATGTTTCTGCTTATGTCCATGGTAATGTCAGTTATTAGCTTGTGTAGTTTAGGGGAAAGCTCAGGTCATTTGATTGCTAACGATTAATGAGAATATACTCAATTCAAGTTATATTTTTTTTTATTTTGCAACAAACAGATGATCTTTTTTTCAAAAACTCCCTCCCATGTATCTCTTAATGAAATCTAGCAATGCAGAATCACTAATCATGCACTCAGAATATAAATGAGACTATTATTAGAGTACATAGGAACTGAATTCAGCACACTTGTGTTATTGGAGAATCCTCCAGGTGTTGATTAATTGGGATTGACGGTACTGTCAATGAATAAAGATCCCGTGATTTTTGCCCTTGTACTTCTGATTCAAATGAGATGCAGTGAAATACAATTCCCACCTGTATCGGCAGCACTTTACAAGAAGTGACAGCTATTGCTTTCCCAAAGAACTCAGATCAGAAACCCATGTAGAGTGATAGATTCACAAGTGATAGTTTCCTGCATGCTGGTTCATGCAGGAAACTCTGCTCTAAACAAAGGGAGAATATGTTGCCCCTGTATGCACCATGTATATGAACTCGAAGTCCAATTAAAAACGTTCTGGACATTTATTTCAGTCAACTCTGCCATGAAGTTGGTCTGTAAAATCCAAACGAAGTCACTTCAACTGTATTATTCGATTTTGTTGTGAATTCTAGAGCCACGATTAAATTGATTCCTGGTGCTAGGTGGATTTGTTCCAAGGAGATTTGGATAGCAGGCAATGTTCTAAGGTTACAACCCATTCTGAAACTTCAGGCCGTTCTGCAATGCTTATTTGCTGTCTCTCCCCAGTGAGAATATCATCTTCGTGAAGATAAATACTTTGTCTATTGTATTCACCCTGTATTCTCAGCACCTATAACAGGGTCTGGCACAGAGGCTGGAGCTTAATAGATGCTGTGGCGGTATGACTGCTGTCCACCAACTATTTCCATTTCTACCATTAAGCTCATGAAGAGACTACACTTCCACACACACTCTCCTTGAATTGAGGTCTAGCCTGTGACTTGCTCTATAAGCAAAAGTGACTTGCGTCACTCCTGAGTGGATGCTGTGTACTGGCCCGTGTGTTATTCACACGCGCGTCACTCCCGAGTGGATGCTGTGTACTGGCCAGTGTGCTATTCACCATGCGCGTCACTCCCGAGTGGATGCTGTGTACTGGCCAGTGTGTTATTCACATGCGCGTCACTCCTGAGTGGATGCTGTGTACTGGCCGGTGTGTTATTCACCACGCGCGTCAGTCCTGAGTGGTTGCTGTGTACTGGCTGGTGTGTTATTCACATGCGCGTCACTCCTGAGTGGATGCTGTGTACTGGCCGGTGTGTTATTCACCACGCGCGTCAGTCCTGAGTGGATGCTGTGTACTGGCCGGTGTGTTATTCACATGCGCGTCACTCCTGAGTGGATGCTGTGTACTGGCCCGTGTGTTATTCACATGCACGTCACTCCTGAGTGGATGCTGTGTACTGGCCGGTGTGTTATTCACCACGCGCGTCAGTCCTGAGTGGATGCTGTGTACTGGCCGGTGTGTTATTCACACGCGCGTCACTCCCGAGTGGATGCTGTGTACTGGCCCGTGTGTTATTCACCATGCACGTCACTCCCGAGTGGATGCTGTGTACTGGCCGGTGTGTTATTCACCATGCGCGTCACTCCCGAGTGGATGCTGTGTACTGGCCGGTGTGTTATTCACCATGCGCCTCACTCCCGAGTGGATGCTGTGTACTGGCCGGTGTGTTATTCACCATGCGCCTCACTCCCGAGTGGATGCTGTGTACTGGCCGGTGTGTTATTCACCATGCGCGTCACTCCCGAGTGGATGCTGTGTACTGGCCGGTGTGTTATTCACCATGCGCGTCACTCCCGAGTGGATGCTGTGTACTGGCCGGTGTGTTATTCACCATGCGCGTCACTCCCGAGTGGATGCTGTGTACTGGCCGGTGTGTTATTCACCATGCGCGTCACTCCCGAGTGGATGCTGTGTACTGGCCGGTGTGTTATTCACCATGCGCGTCACTCCCGAGTGGATGCTGTGTACTGGCCGGTGTGTTATTCACCATGCGCGTCACTCCCGAGTGGATGCTGTGTACTGGCCGGTGTGTTATTCACCATGCGCGTCACTCCCGAGTGGATGCTGTGTACTGGCCGGTGTGTTATTCACCATGCGCGTCACTCCCGAGTGGATGCTGTGTACTGGCCGGTGTGTTATTCACATGCGCGTCACTCCCGAGTGGAGGCTGTGTACTGGCCGGTGTGTTATTCACATGCTCTCTTTCCTTCTGACATGGTGACCAGCAACGTTTCAGGTACAGACTGCTCATGCAACAGGAGACCTGGCCAAGAGTGTTTAAAGCAGCTCCATTCACAATGAGCAAATTCTTGTAAACAACTCATTGCCCATTAAAGAAGTGTGGGTGAATAATTCATGGTCTGTTCACATGATGAATGTCATATTACTATACAAGCAAATGAACCACAGAAACAACAACAGGATGAATTTTAACAATACTATATTTAAAGAGAAAAGTGAAGTTCCAAAAAATTGCATTTGGCACTTTAATAAAACTTACAAACAATCAAGATTTCAAGAGAATTTACTTATGCACATGCATAGATAAAACTCAAAAGAAAAGCCGGGGAATTATGAATCTAGGATTAGGATGTTGGTTACCTTGAGTGGGTTGATAGGGGTATCATACATTTTGACATAAGTCGTTGTAAGGGACCTACATTTTGTTTTGAGCTGTAAGTTCCTTAATGCTCATTTTATTTGTTTATTTATTTATATTATACTTTAACTTCTGGGATACATGTGCAGAACGTGCAGGCTTGTTACATAGGTGTACCTGTGCAATGGTGTTTTGCTGCACCCATCCACCTGTCATCTACATTAGGTGTTTCTCCTAATGCTATCCCTCCCTTAGTCCCCCACCCCCTGACAGGCCCTGGTGTGTGATGTTCCCCTCCCTGTGTCCATGTGTTCTTGTTGTTCAACTCCCACTTATGAACACTTGTGAATGAAAACATGCAGTGTTTGGTTTTCTGTTCCTGTGTTAGTTTGCTGAAAATGATGGTTTCCAGCTTCATCCATGTCCCTGTAAAGGACATGAATTCATCCTTTTTATGGCTGCATAGTATTCCATGGTGTATATGTGCCATATTTGCTTTATCCAGTCTATCATTGATAGGCATTTGGTTTGGTTCCAAGTCTTTGCTATTGTGAACAGTGCTGCAGTAAACATACGTGTGCATGTGTCTTTATAGTAGGATGATTTATAATCCTTTGGGTATATACCCAGTAAGGGGATTGCTGGGTCAAGTGGTATTTCTGGTTCTAGATCCTTGAGGAATTGCCACACTGTCTTCCACAATGGTTGAACTAATTTACACTCCCACCAACAGTGTAAAAGCATTCCTATTTCTCCACATCCTCTCCAGCATCTGTTTCCTGACTTTTTAATGATCGCCATTCTAACTGGTGTGAGATGGTATCTCATTGTGGTTTTTCATCTCATTTTTAAAAATGATTAATTAAATAACTACAGGTCAATGATGAGAAGGCCTTCTCCCTTCTAGCCTGACTATAATAAAACTGTGACTCTGACAGAACTATCTTGCAAAAGCAATGGAATTATGAGTTTTACTCCAACAAATACATTATTATTATTATTATTATTATTATTATTATTATTATTATCATCATCATCATCATTTTGAAATGGAATCTTGCTCGGTTGCCCAGGCTGGAGTGCAGTGGCGTGATCTCGGCTCATGGCAACCTCTGCCTCCCGGGTTCAAGCGATTCTCCTGCCTCAGCCTTCCGAGTAGCTGGGACTACAGGCACCCGGTACCAGGCCTGGCTAATTTTTGTATTTTTAGTAGAGACGGGGTTTCACCATGTTGGCCAGGCTGGTCTCGAACTCCTGACCTTGTGATCTGCCTGCTTCCGCCTCCCAAAGTGCTGGGATTACAGGCATAAGCCACCGTGCCCGGCCGAATACATTATTTTTTAAATGTCATTTGAATCATCTTATCCAGATCTAATTGAATTACTATTTCAATAGAAGATGCTATATTTTAGTGGCTCTCTCAAACTAAAACTACAAAATGTTGTTCAAACCATTAGCCACAGTTCACTGCGTTATCCTTTCTAAAGTTATTTCTAGTAAACTTCTCCTTTAAGTTTATTGACATTTACATGTTTTTGTCTTGTTTTGTTTTTTAAGAAGATATTGAGTAAATGCAGCAATAAAACAATCTACAGTTCTGCCATCTCCCCCCACCATCATCACCTTCATCAGAGAATATGATGACTGAGAGTTTTTAAAATAAATTAGTGTTTTGTGAGCCAAGCTCCTCCGAAAAATATGAAATATTCAATTGAGTTTTGTTTTGAGGATCATTGAACAATAGCAGGTTTTGCTTGTTTTTAAATTTCCACTTTGACAAATTTTCTCTTAACCTTCAAAGTTTATGTAGCAGACATAAGCAAGACATTTAAACCAAAGAAAAGAGGCCAAGAAAGTAGAAAGGTGAATGGAAACAGTTTTACAGGAGGAAACAATTTTACAGGTCATCACTAGTTTTGTTGAGAGTGATTTGCCATATATATCTACAGTGCTTCTTAAAGCACATAGTTAATTTAATATTTAACTTACCTGTAATATTATAGTTACTAATACAAACTGCTAACCATAGCATTAATATAACACTTTTCCTAGGGAAGTGTAAAGAGTTATAATGATAGAAACAATTGCATTATAGAATCAGGGACATTTGTTAAATATCCTGAAACTCTCTAGATATAAAGTTTTAAATTTGAAAACTTTAAAAATATTTTATTATGGGCAATGCAAGGTGGAAAATGGTATAATTGACCTACATGCATGCATCATGCAGCTTCAACAATGATCAATTTATGTCCAATCTTGTTTGATCTTTGTTCACCCACTGGAATCTGGGCTAGGCTGTTGTCATGTTCCTGCACGTATTGGCAGGTGAAGAGGAGCAATTATACAATGCTACTCAAGACAGCCGGCAAGTCACATCATGTTAACACAAACTGCTTGAGACATTGTGTCTACGTAACGCCAAACAGCCAGACTGAATGTTATTTTCTGAGGGAACTGGTATTTTGGCTTAATTGACCAAAGAAACAACATGCTTTTATATGTATGTATACAGTGTAAGGTGCAGACCCACCATCAGGCACAGGTTTGCTGGTAGCGGCTGCAGATGCAATTAAAATGGATCTTTCTTTTCACATAGTGTATAGAGGATAGAATGGAATAACTTGGAGGCCTTTTTTCTGTTCAGCCCGTATAGGAACAGTAGTCCCACTTAACCAGTATCGCCCTGCGTTCCAAACTAAGCAAAGTGAACATTTTAACGTGGACTGGATGCCCTTACTTGTCCATCTGTCAATGAATATAGTAATCGCATCAGGCTTGGAGTCAGACAGACAGTTTAAATCCTTGTTCTGCCACTTAGTAGCTGAATGTTCTTGAGCAAGTTACCTAATTATTCTATGAATCAGTCTTCTCATCTGCAAAATGGGCAGAATACGAGTACTTACCTCATAGGGAGGGTGGGATGATTAAATATGTGGATACACGTGAAGCTCTTCAGCATAGCATTTGGCCCATAGTAAGTCCTCAAATAATATTATTTTCTCTTAGGTTTTATCAGTTGCAATGCTTAGCTTTGTAACTTATAATCCATCCAGGACTTGGAGAAGTGCTCATCTTTCTTGTAGGAAATTTCCACACTGAGTGTGGACTCAGCTCCAAGAAATCTCAGTTGATTGCTGTGTAGACCTTAAAGTCAACTGAGCCAGTGATTTTCTTTATTTAAAAGACAATAGAACATTATAGAACATTATTTATCTTGTTGGCATACCCACTGAGCATTATGATTTTCTTCTTTAGTGAATGTAAATAGATCGTAACTCCTTAAACGCAGGGGTTATATCATCTACTTCATTTATAAAATCCTCTTTCGATTTAAAAAAAATAGTGTCTCTGTTCATAACAGGTACTTAATAAAATTGGATAAGAAGTCAAAAAACTAGAAATGAAATTATTTATTTGCCATGTCTAATATTGCTTATCACTCAAGGTCCATACAAAATTTGAATATTACAAAAATCTTTTGAGCATCCAACCCTAATGAGAAAACAAGGCAATGTAGAAAGTGTATGAAAATAATAAAACACTTCAACCACAAAATAGATTATTTGCTTCACTTGGAAGAAATAAATATGCTATTTTTCAGCACAGATGTTTACTAGCAAATGGAAGCGTCTTCTGTTTCTTCTTCCTTCCATTGATTGGGATGTAATTCACACCAGACAGTCAACAGGCAAAACTTTAGCCTCATAAAAAAGGAAATAATTTGGGAGAATTCTGAAGCTAAAGAATGCTAAACAGATGGGAGACATTTTCACTTAGGGGAGTTTGAATAAAGTATTCAAATGAACAGGTGTGGACTCGCCGGCCTGTGGGACATACTATGCATCTTCTTTTATCCTTAATTATTTTTCTTTTATCTTGATTATCTCAATACAGGCAGCTGAGACACGAAAGATGCTCCCTTTTTTATCATTTAATCTTTAAAGAGACTAGGGCCCATGGCTCACTGGTACAATTCCAAGTTTGAGAACCCCTGGTGAAGAAATGCCTATGTTGGGCCTATGCACTAGGCCCAAGAAACCAGGCCAAGCCAAAATATAGGCACTCATGCTAAACGCACACAATAAAATGGAAACTTTAAGGAAGCAAATGGGTCCCTGAACAAACCGGTTTCCCCTGAAGTCAGGAGTCCAGTCTACCTGAGTCCACTAATAAGGAAACCCCTTCTGCTTTAACTCTTACAATAGAAGTAAACAAGTTAACCAGTCAGTTTTTCTCTACTGTTCTGTTTCCTTGTCCCTATCTTGCAAAACCTACTTTTCCGGCATTGCCCAGTGGGGGCGCTCATTCTAATTTGTAGAATGGAGACAGCCCAGATTCATTAATCATGAATAAAAGCCAATTTGATCTATAACTAAATTTAGAGTGAGAGTAACTTCGTCTTTGACATACTTATGGGGATTCAGAATTTTGTGAATATAGAATCTTCTCATCTTATAAAGCCATTCAAGGATGAACCAACAGGACTTGCCGTTTGCTGACCCTGTGCAATGACCCTGGGCAGAGCTCTTCACACAGTGGGAGCGTGTCTGCAGCAGGCAGGGTGTATTGATGCTGACGGTCTGAATCGACCTAGGTGACCTCGTAACATCATCCTGTACTCCCCTGCAGGCCTGCGGGAGGAAGGAGGGACTGCTGTCTCCAACTCAACGGAATTGAAATGCTAAAATCCATATCATTTGCTCACAAACATCACTTCAGTACTGGTTGTTATGTCAATAAGGATAAAGTAACAGCAACAAAAAATAAGACAAGTAGCCATCTTAACATACTTTAAAAACGTGTATTGATCCTGACCTTAGTGTCAGAGGTCATTATTTCAGAGTAATCTCCAACTTTTAAAAGTTAGATGTGTGAAAGTTTACAATTTCTTCCTGTTTTGATATCACTACCAGTCCTACTGAGATCCCAGAAGAAAGACAATAGAGGCAACAGACTTGGGCTGCGATGAATGTAAGTTATCATACACCTGGCTAGTGCAAACATTTCTCCCATGGGCTGTCTGCCAGCTGCCTCAGCAGTAATTTGTTTAAAAATCCTGTATTGTGGTGATTGATATTGATGCATCTCTTTGCAGACTAACCTATGAATCACTTTTTCAGTGATTAAAAATGTTTTGGAAGCTGTCGGAAATTAAGAATGAGTTCGTTAGCACATCAATAGACTCATTAAGATGATTGGCAAAAATCACTGGAGTGATTGACTTCCTAGAAATTTGATTTTATTTTTAGTGTAATTCCTTTCTGCTAAGCAAAATAGTAGTTTATTTGGTAATTTTTATTGTGCTAATGATAGTAATCATTAATATTTCATCAAGCCTGGCCTCCAGAAAAATCACGACTTAGGCAAAGATTGTTTAGATCCATTTACCACTTTGTAATTTTATTTGTATTTATTTTATTAATTTATGCACCAAATATTTATTGTCCATGTAAGGTTGTTGGCGACCTTGACAAGTGCGGTTTTGGAGGAGTAGAGGAAGTGAAAGACAGATTGAAGTGGACTTGAGGGAGAGTGGGATGAGAAAATTGGAAATAACTTTGAGAAGCTTTGCTACAAAGGATGACAAAGAAATGGAGTATTAAATGCGATGGAATTGAGTGCAAGGGAAGGTGTTTTAAACAGAAGAAATAACAACATATTTATGTGCTGATGGGGTGACTCAGTGGATATTGAAGACGTGGTGATGGAGGAGAGAGGGGACAATTGCTGGCGTGTCGTCCTTCAGTAGGGAAGAGAGGTTGAGGTAATGAACAAGTAGAGAAGTCGACATGATTCATGACTGTTACCTAAGGCAGACCATTTGCGTATTTGGGTAGCCAGGTTAGAATTGTGATGGTGAGAGAGTGAGGACACCATCTTCTGAGGATAACTTTTGTTTTCTCATTGAAATAAAAAGCAACTGCGAGAATTGTGGAGGCATTTGGGGGATTTGAGGAGGATGAAGGTGGGCAGTTGGGAGAGTGAGAGGACTAAGGAAGTGCAGAAATGCCTCCTGGTAGTACACATGGTTCCCTTGAGGTACAGGGTCATGAATTTACTGTGTGGCCATTGTGATAGATAGTCAGCTGTCTGGGTACTGGGATGGAGCAGGCAGTGAACTGGATCTACCCCTCGGTGGGCATATTAAAATAACAGGAAGAAAAGGCAATAGTGTTGAGGCCTGCACAAAAGATGATTATTATGAGAGCCATAGCATCAAATTCAGAGGTGGAGAGCAGTGCATTCCTGAAGGCAACGGGAACAGGGAATGTTGTGGTCACAGGACACACAATCATCATCACAGAGGAAAACTCTGAGCAGGGTGTTAGAGAGAGCAAGCTGGGAAGCAGAAGTGCTAGGCAGAGCACAGAAAACTTGATATTGAAATTCTTCATTTTCCCATCTGTTGGGGTTATCAGACCCAACACCAGGTCACTGGGGTGATGAAGTCCAGAGGAGTCAAAGGAATGAGAAAAAGTGGGACCAGGGGGCTATCGCGAGTATGGAGGCTGCAAAGGCCTGGAGCTCTGGGAGCCCACGCTATTTATTGGTGCTCAAACAAACAGGTGGTGAGGATGGGGGAGGGGGGTGTTGAAAGGAAACAGTATATCAAGTGAATGAGAAACATATGGCTGCCTGAGATAATGGAAGTGCTAGAAGCAAGGAGCCAGCAAGTGTAGCAGACATGCAAGCCCTGCCTCAGCTTCTCTCCCAACACTGAGCTTTTTTCCCAACACCATCCATACATATCCCACCTCACTGAGCAGCTGGGACAGTTAAATGGGCAATGCATACAAAAATAGAGCACACAGCACAAAGCCCAGAACAAAGCAGATGGCAGGTGAGGCTGGTTTGCTCTTTCTTCTTCAGAGTGCTGCAGTCTCAGCCCTTAGCCGAGGGCTCTAGTAACTCAGAAATGAATGGAAAATGTAGGGTCCAGCCCCACAGGGTTGGTGGGTTTTCTCCTCATGTGCAGAGACGAGAGAGCATAGAAATAAAGACACAAGACAAAGAGATAAAAGAAAAGACAGCTGGACCTGGCAGACCACTACCACCAAGGCGTGGAGACCGGTAGTGGCCCCGAATGCCAGGCTGCGCTGATATTTATTGGATACAAGACAAAGGGGCAGGATAAGGAGTGTGAGCCATCTCCAGTGATAGGTGAGGCCACATGGGTCATGTGTCCACTGGACCCTTTCCTGCCTGGCAGCTGAGGCAAAGAGAGAGAGGAGAAGGAGAGAAACAGCTTACACTATTATTTCTGCTTATCAGAGACTTTTAGTACTTTCACTAATTTGCTACTGCTAACTAAAAGGCAGAGCCAGGTGTACAAGATGGAACATGAAGGCGGACTAGGAGCTTGACCACTGAAGCACAGCATCACAGGGAGACGGTTAGGCCTCCAGATAACTGCAGGTGGGCCTGACTCATGTCAGGCCTTCCACAAGAGGTGGAGGAGTAGAGTCTTCTCTAAACTCCCCCGGGGAAAGGGAGACTCCCTTTCCCAGTCTGCTAAGTAGCAGGTGTTTTTCCTTGACACTAACGCTACCGCTAGACCACAGTCCTCTTGGCAACGGGCGTCTTCCCAGATGCTGATGTTACCACTAGACCAAGGAGCCCTCTGGTGGCCCTGTCCAGGCATAACAGAAGGCTCACACTCTTGTCTTCTGGTCACTTCTCACTATGTCTCCTCAGCTCCTGTCTCTGTATGGCCTGGTTTTTCCTAGGTTATGATTATAGAGCAAGGATTATTATAATATTGGAATAAGAGTAATTGCTACAAACTAATGATTAACGATATTCATATATAATCATATCTAAGATCTATATCTGGTATAACTATTCTTATTTTATATTTTATTATACTGGAACAGCTCGTGTCCTCGGTCTCTTGCCTCGGTACCTGGGTGGCTTGCCGCCCACAGGAAAATTGAGAGGCAATGCTGGGTATCATTACTGATTAAGCAACATTAAATAATGAAGTATATAGACAACAAGCTTCTCCAGAAAGCTGCCTTCTGCTTAACAGTCTTATTAAATACCTATCCAGCTGTTCCTGTTTGGTGAGGTCACACTAGAGACAGGATATGCCATTCTAGCTGCTGCATCTCAAGGAAAGCAAGGAAGCCCCAAAAATGGGAATGAGATGCTTAAGAAGATGATTCCATCGGCTCTGGGGGTCAAACAGTGGTGGCATACATCAGTCTGCTCAGGCTGCCATACAAAACATCATAGACTGGGTGGCTTAAGTGACAGAAATTTAGTTCTGGAGACTGGAAATCCTAGATCAAGTACCAGCAGGCTTGGTGTCTGGCTCTCCTGTTGGGTTGCAGATGGCGCTGTCCTCCTGTGTGCTCACATGGCCTTTCCTCAGTGCATGCATGGGACAGGGGGATGCCAGGGAGGGCTGGTGTTCCTTCTTATAAGGACACTAATCCTATTGGATTAGAGCCCCACCCTGATTACATCATTTAACCTTAATTACCCCCTCAAGGTCCCACCTCCAAATGTAGCCACACTGAGGGTTAGTGATTCAACATATGAAGTTTGGAGAAGGTGAGACATGCATTCAGTCCATATCCTGGGGACTCTTACATCTAAAAAAAAGGCTTACAGCGAGGATGTTGTCTGGTTGTAAATGATCAAATTCAGAGTGCTACTATCTTTTGAATTTGAATGATTATTAAATTATAATATACAACACATGATTTCTAGGGAACAGTCTTCTTAGTTGGGCTCTAGCCAAAAACCTCTTTCTTACCTCCCTCTGCAAGAAGCTAACTGTATTCAGTGACAGGCAACTAGAGTCACCTCAGCTAGTGTTGGTCCTCAGTGCTTGCAACAGTGTGGAAGGGCTGAAAATGCAAGATCCAGACTTGGCTCTTGAAACAACTCCCAGCTCCCAAAGTCACTCTGCCTCTGCCCTGATTAGGAGAATAGCTTTTACTACCGGCACAGGAAACCAAGAAATCAGGAAGCTCCTGCTTTGGGAGCTTTCTACGTTCTGATATAGGCCACTCATTCATTCCTCTGTTCATTCTTTCAACAAATATGTGACACCGAGTGAATAAACAAATGAATGAATAAGAATAAATGCTTCCACCAAGTGTCACTGGTTTGAGAACCATGTCACCTTGGCCAGGACCAGGAAAGCTACCATAAGTGCTGCAGGAAGCTGCTGAGTTGGGAAGCCGCCTGCCAAATCAGGGAGCTGCTACTAGCTCCGGCATCATGCCCCCTCTACCAGGACCCATGTTAGCAAAACGGAGTTATGTTTTTTCCCCACTTGACTGAATTCCAAATCTAACTCTCTTTGGTCATCCACTGGATAGAACCTCAGTCACTTCCAGAACTCCAGGCTCTAGGCTTACGTGTGTTAACGTATTTCACTGTCTACTTGGGAAGAAAGATCCAAGATCTTGCTTTTAATAAAGGTCTTTGTTATAGACTGAACTGTGTCATCCCAAAATTCTTATGGTGAAGCCCTAACTAACCCCCTGTGTGATTGTGTTTGGAGACTGGGTTTTTAGGGAAGTAATTAAGGTTAAACTAGGTCATAGGGTGAGGTCCTAATCTGATAGGATTGGTGAGTGTCCCCATAAAAAGAGGAAGAGACACCTGAGATCTTGCTCTGTCTCCACTGGGAAAAGCCGTGTGAGGACACAGTGAGAAGGCGGCAGTCTGCAAGCCAGGCAGAGAGGCCTCACTGGGAGCCAACCCTGATGGCACCTTGATCTCAGACTGACAAACTTCAGAATTGTGAGAAAATGTGTTTCTGTAGGTTAGTTACCCTGTCTGAGGTATTTTGTCATAGCAACCTTAAAAGACAAATATAGTCATTAGGAAACAATTGGAAAAGTTAGTAAAAATGAAGCTTGCCAACTAATAAAAACCACTGTTTTCCACTAGGCATTTTTTTTTTAATGCAAAAGAAGGAACTAAACAAAATGACCGAATGAACTGATAATCAGGTATGTTCCTCAGACCAGAAATAGGGACTTAATGGGATTAGCCACGTGAGGTGTAGCTTTTCAGTGAAGGGCATGAATGTGTTGCTGCGGACTGTTAGAAACATTAGCATAATGCAAGAAGACAGCAGCCAGGAATGATAGAGGCCACATTCAGATTATGATGGAGACCAGTGTTTTGAAAATTGTGTTTTCACAGTGCCTGTGGTTCCTGAAGATGCCTCACAAACACCACAGGCCACTCAAGGGAGGCCACACAGGGTAGGGTTTAAAGCCCCACCCTTCCCGCCTCAGTTAAAGTTGCTCTTCATTATTTGTTTGGCGATTCGACAGTTTCAGGATTCAAATAGAAGAAAGTGAAACCTCATCAATGGGTAGATTCAGTGATGAACACTGGACAATGGATATATTTCTAGCAACATTTAAGGCTGGATATTCATGAATCAGGAGCAAAAGCAGGAGCTTTAGGAGATGGTATTAGAGAGACTTGTAGAAGAAATGAAGAATGAAGAAGACATCTGGAAGATCGAATTTTGGGCATTCTAGGAAAGAAATGTCCTTTCTCATGAAGGATCCAGAGATGAGAGCCAATTCTCAAAGCCCTGGGGCAGTTGCAGAGTGGAGGTACAGAAACACCCAGGACAAGAAGGGGAATGCAGAGCCCCACCTAGAGAGCTGAAGACCGTCCTTTCAGACCTGGGGCAGCACAAGCCAACGAGGTGCAAACTGGAGATTCATCCCCAGACGCCGACCCACAGTATGTGTGCACAGGGAACCGTAAGAGAGAGAGGCTGAGCTCTGTTTATATTTTTTACCAACAATAATTTTTATCAAAGTACCTCTTTTGTTTCATCTCCTCCTCATTTCCCCTTCCTTCCACCATCTCTCTATATACATACACATACACTGTGTGTAGCACTGGACTTATGTTGTTATCAGATGTATTTGCTCAGCTTTGTACTGTTGTGTTGTAAAATCGAATGGCATTAGATATGCTTACTGCAGTCCAAGGAGGGGTCTGCACCTTACTGCATACTGAATGTTGTGTGTATATTGTTGGTAATTCTCACAATATGACTCCCCTTGCAAAGCCATGGGTATGGTTTTTATTAACTGTGCTTTTAATTCTCCTGTGCTAACCCTGTATCTGTAATCTGTATCAACTATGTCTTCCCCATGTATCTGTAAGGGCAATTTCCTACAATTGAGTATCAAAATTGAGGCCGAATGTGGAGGAAAAGTTAAATATTAAATTTGAACTCAATTGAACATGGACACAAACAATGGTCACCAAGTCCCGGGGCAGGTCGTGTGAGCCCCTTGAGGTGTTCATCCAGTGCTGTTTTGGAGAAATCTCTATTTCAATTTATTCCTATACGTTACTTATTGAAAAATAATAGACAATCCCAAAAACAAGTCGACCTTTTTGTGTTCCTTGAGCCCAGTCTCAAAGGGCCCGCGTGACTGGGCCTCATGCCAAACAACTCATTACAAAAAGAGCTAGGGTCCCAGACCGTGCCGAAGCATCACGAGACCTCTCCTTGTCTATGCACAAACGAGTGTCCAACTCTGGAGCCCAGACTGTTGCTTCCCGGTCTGGTGGTGAATCCTTCATAGCCTGGTGAGTATGTGTATATATATATATTCCCTTCTGCCCTTCTCATTACAATTTGCTTATTATATCAGTTTGCTTATTATATCAGTTTGCTTATTATATCAATTTGCTTATTATATCATTTGCTTATTATATCTGCATTGTCATTCACATGGGATAAAGGTTGTTTACCCTTAAAGGTATTGTGTGTGTGTCTTTTCTTCTCCCCTCAAGCATTTCCCTCGCAGAACACACACCAGGCTAGTTTTTGTATTTTCGGTAAAGGCAGGGTTTCACCATGTTGGCCAGGCTGGTCTTGAACTCCTGGCCTCAAGCGATCTGCCTGCCTTGGCCTCCGAAAGTGCTGGGATTACAGGCGTGAGTCACCGCACTCGGCCTCATAGTGCATTACTTCTTGGTCACATAATGTCAGGGTGTTTCACTATCAGTGGTATTAAGTTGGATCCTTTGGATAAGGGGTGACTTTCAGATACTTCCATTACAAAGGCTGTTTTTTCCCTTCCAGAGGGCTGATGCTTTGACACCTTCTGAATATTATGTCCCAAAAAGCTTTCACCTAAAGGCTTTAGCGTCCGTCATGATCTTGGCCTGAATGGATTATCTCACTGGGGTTTGTAGCATGGTTGTTTTTTCATCCTATCATTCTTTCTAGATTAATTAGCTGGCATTATTCTGTAAAGAAGACCTTTCACCTATTAGCTGGAAAGGAACTATAATTTTCTCTAAAAAGGTACAGTAAAATGCGTGATTCTTTCTTTTAAATTACCAACTTTAGAGCAAAGAGTTGATATTACAGTTCCCTCTAATAGTGGCAAACGAGTTAAATTTCTCGGGTTTCTCTTTTCTGATGTCATTTATACACTGGTGGAATGTTACTCATTTAATATACTGCTATCAATCATTCCTTCTCAAAGCTCGAATTGCCCCAGATTTGGCCAATGAGAACTCCTTTACGTTGACCTTTTGACCCACCCCATTAGTTGTTGGAACTCCTTGCTTTCTGCCTGTTGCTTTGCATCACTTAACACTTTAGGGCTGGGTTCTACCTTTGCTGGTATCAAAATCACAGCGCTGTGCTGTGTGTGCACATTTGCCTGTGTACCTGTCCCTATACCTTTATTTTTCAGCCTTTCTAAAGCTTATGTAGGTGTGCTTGTTCTATATAGCAGACCATTGGATTTTATTTTGTGACCCAATCTATAATTTTAATCTAAAATGATGATGTACTAGTTTCCTATTGCTTCTATAACAAATTACCAAAGACTTTGTGGCTTAGAACAACACAGTCCTGGAGGTCAGAAGTACACAATGGGTCAGCAGGCCTCCTTCCTTCTGGAGGCTCCTGGGAACAATCTGTTCCCTCAGCTTTTCCAGCTTCTAGAGGCTGCTGGCATTCCTTGACTCAGGGTCCCACATCGCTTGGACCTCTGTTTCTCTCTCTCCCTGGCACACCTGCCTCTCTTCTAAGCACTCTTGAGACTGCATTGGGCCTGCCTGGATGACCAGGAGCCTCTCCCCATCTCAAAGCCTTTACCTTAATCACATCTGCAAAGTACCTTTTGCCTTGTAATGTGACGTATTCCCAGGTTTTGGGGATTGTGAGGTAGACATCTTTGAGGGGCTAATTTTTTTGCCTACCACATGTGAGTTAAGCCAGTTTACATATATTAATATGACTCATGTGTTTGTTTTGTCATTATTTTATATTTACTGTATGTATTACATGATATTTATAATGTGTTTTTCACCTTGTCATTTATTGCCTTTGCTCTTTCTGGTAGAGGTTGGAGGAGGGTTGTCTATTCATTTATTTATTCAGTTACTTGACAAGTATGCTTTTGTTGTGTTTTCAAATAATATTTATAATAGACAAATACAACAGTAACATTGACTTTGTGTTTGGTGTACAGTTCTATAAATTCTAACACATGCATAGGTTGCCACAATCGGGATGCACCACCGCTCCATCATCCCAGAACATTCCTTTGTGCTAAGGAATGAGGCTTTATATTGAAGCTCTCATCTCACTCATAACCTCTGGCAACCACCCGTTACTCTTTCTGTTCAAAATAAAATTATAGTAGGTGTGTTTTGTATTCACTTTTTGATGGTAACCTTCCTGTTAATACCTTGAATAAAATTCTTAATTTCCTTTTCCCTACTTAGGTTCCCACTGCTTGGTTTATTGGCTTTGATTATATATATATATATATATATATGTATTTTTTTTTTAATTTCTTTGAGACGGAGTCTCGCACTGTCGCCTGGTCTGGAGTGAAACGGTGCGATCTTGGCTCACTGCAACCTCCGCCTCTCAGGTTCACTCAATTCTCCTGCCTCAGCCTCCTGAGTATGAAGATATTGTTCACACACCTCTATTATCCATGCAGCATACAATGAGCTTAGTCTGCTTTCTCTCTCCTTTTCTCATTTTTAAAGTGAAATTATTTTTACTTTCTCAGGGTTTTTAACATCTACACACTATTCTTCCATCCTTATCATAATCTTTGTTTAAATCTTAGGTTTCATGTAAATATAATTAATACTCATTACCAGTACTATGTTCAAAGTTTCTCCCATCGTCACATCTGTGGAGGAAGTTTGTTTCGTAGTTGATTTCTCAGGAAAGATTTGTGGTTACAACATTCAAAGTGTTTCTGTATGTTTAAAATTGTTTTTCCAGAGCCTTCATATTTGAAGTGAAACTTGGCTGGATAGAACATCATTGACTCATACTTTCTTTCCTTGAGTTTCTTGAAAATATCGCCCCATTGTTGTGTTGCTTTGTATATGTTTTCGAGAAGTCTGCTGTAAACCAAAAAATATTTCTTTCCTTTGTAAATGGTTTTAGTTTTTTTTAAAGCCACAGAAGTTTTTTCTTAATCTCTAAACGTTAATCATTTTATTGGCATAGTTTCCAGAGTTAAGCACTGTGGGTAATTTCTTACCCAGACAGCCAGTGGGCCCTTTAAATGTATATTGGATTTAGTCCAATGAAGCTACCCTTGGTACAGGTGAGAAAATGAATGCCAGCAACTTCCTGTGGCTCAGCTTCATAGAATTAGGTCTTATTTTTCCTTCAGGAATATTTGTTTTGAATTATAATTTAAATATTAGTTACATTCTATTGGTTTTTTTCTTTGCAGATTCCAGTTATATATATGTTCCATCTTCTTTGCCTATCTTCTATACCTATTATTTTTTCTATTATACTTCTTAACTTCTTTATTTTGATCTAGTTTTCTTGGTCCTGTGGTGAATTTGAGCAATATTTAATTCTCTTTTGAGCAACTTACAGTTTACCTTCATTTCCAGGATGATTATTATTTACTAAAATTTCTTTTCCTAGTTTAGCTACCATTTTTTTCATATTTTCCTGTTGTTCAGCCATTTCTTGATCTTGGACCAGAATATTAAGATAAATGGGAGAAGGCGATGGTTCCCAGGATGTCAACTAACGGAAGAGCAACACCATCTGTCACAGGTTGAATTGTGTCCTCCCCCAAAGAAATATGTTGAGGTCCTAGTTCCTGCTGCCTCAGAATGTGACCTTATTTAGAAACAGGGTCTTTGCAGATATAAGCAAATGAATGTGAGATCATTAGGGTGGGCCCTAATCCAAAATAACTGGTGTCTTTATAAGAAGAGGAGATTAGCACACAAGCAAGCACAGAGGGAAGATGCTGCAAAGAAACAGAAGGAAAACATCACGTGAACAAGGAGGCGAAAATAAAAATTGTGCTGCCACAAGCTAAGGAACACCAGAGATTTCTGGCAAACAACTAGAAGCTGGAAGAGTAAGGAATGGCCTTTCTCCTACAAGTTTCAGAGGTAGAGCAGCCCAGCTGCCACCTTGATTTTGGATTTCTAGAACTGTGGGATAATACATTTCCTTTACCTTTTTATTTTGATGCCTGGCACTTTAGTATGAGTGCTGTAGGGAATTATCACACTCTCTAACTTTTGCCATGAACATTGTGAACAGCATACACTGCTGAATCTTAGAATACTCATTGCACTAAAAAATTGCATATATATCTTTTTAGACAGTTACCTGATATTCTTTAGCATATCCTCAATGTATAGTCTTATAGTAGATGATTATTTGCATAGTAGACAACTCTATGAAATGACCGGACTGAAAGCTATGGAAGGGCAGTGACCATGTGCATGTGCAGAGTCTCAGTCTGGCTTTTCTTTGTTGCCCAGTGGTGAATGAAATGTGGTTCCTCCTCCCAGGGGCTCTGATCCACTTGTAGGTTAAAAAAATCAAAATGCATGAAACTACTAGAATAATACGTGGAAGTATATAACTAGAAATATAACACTGGTGTTTCTGAACCCTTCCACAACATATATTATATATTATACTATTTCTGGGAATAGAGCCAGCATAAGTGCATTATGATTCCCCCTTTTAACAATATTCATAATTTACAACAATTTCATACCAGAAAGAAATCATTTGCCAGAAAATTATACCTAGATGCATGTGTCACACTTTCTTTACTCCTATAGATTGTGTGCTGCCGATAATTCTCCTTCAGGCCCCAAGGCCCTGCTTCTCTCTGGGTTTGTTGTAAATTCCCTCTGGAAGCCTAGGACCAGTCAAATCCTTGCACTTCTTTTTTGAGAAAGGTAGGACACAACTCCCAAAACTAGACATATTATTTTGCCCTGGGCCCAGATCTAGATCTTTGCTTCTCCAGATACTGCGTGAAAAATTGGAGGGAAAAGAAATTCCTGCTGCTTACAGATTTGTCACTTCCTAACCCCAAGTGGCACGTCCCTTGGTGACATATCTAAAGAACCCCATGCTCTGCTCCTGGGTTCTGCTCATGGAACTGGGCGGTGGAGACCACGTGAAGGGAGTTTGAGGGAGAGGAAGATCGCATAGGGCTGGCCCAACAGAGGGCACCTTCCATCCAGTTCTTACCTATCAGAACTGGGGACCAAATGAATTAGAAGTGACTCAGGTGCAAGACTATTACCTGAACCTTAGTTTGAAGCCAGAGTTTTAAGATTGAAATGATCTCAGATGGACATTGTCTATTTCAAGTTAATCTGGAAAAATGATAGAGCTTTCTAGGAAACCTTGGTCCTGGATGAGGAGGAAGAGGGTGTTTCAAGATTCAAAAGGTGGTAAGTGGGAGTCTGGCTTCCCTGGGAATTCAGGAAAGAGAACTTGTGAACTAGTGCAAATTATAAACCCTAGTTTTCACAGACATTCACTTTGAATTTCCTAAAAATTAAATTCCGGTTAACTTTGTCTAGCTCATCTGCTCTTAACTTTAAGGTATTGGCCCCCATAATGCTGGCACTTTGTAAGAAGGTTCATATAAAGCTACCGAGGAATATTTATAACTTAAAAACCAAACATATTGGCCAGGCATGGTGGCTCAAGCCTGTAATCCCAGCACTTTGGGAGGCTGAGGCAGGCAGATCATGAGGTCAGGGATCAAGGCCATCCTGGCTAACACAGTGAAAACCCATCTCTACTAAAAATACAAAAAAATTAGCCAGGCGTGGTGGCGGGCGCCTGTAATCCCAGCTACTCGGGAGGCTGAGGTGGGAGAATGGCATGAACCCGGGAGGCAGAGCTTGCAGTGAGCCAAGATTGTGCCACTGCACTCCAGCCTGGGCAACAGAGCAAGATTCAGTCTCAAAACAAACAAACAAAAAACCCCAAAAATATTTGTAATAATTTTCCTTCACTCAGGAAAGCATGCTGGGTTGTAAATGAGCAATCTCGTCGAACCCGCCTCATTTGCATGTCAGTTTTGTGGTTATTTTTCAAGTGATCTGTAGCGCACTTCAGGATGGTTGTCGCTAAGGTGACCACACATGCCGGTTGGCCCACAGCAGTTCATGTTGTATGCTGCTTGTCCCAGTGTAATTGTTAATAGAGTCTCTTTTATCCTCAAAAGTATCTGTTTGTATTAAAATTATATTTTTGTACTATGACTCACTCACCAGCATTTCATGACAACACCTATGAGAAGTGTTGAGTTAGATAATCTACTCATCAATAATGGCGATCTATACCCATCAGAATAGTATTAAGTTGAAATGTGATTTATAGTACTATTGAATTTATGTTGTACTATTGGATATATATATATAAAATATTACATCTGCAAATTTATGTGACATACTGAATACTTCTTGGTAAAATGAATTCACCACTAAGAAAACTTTTGTTGAAAAAGTAACTGAGAGTTTATGTGTATGAGTGCTGGAGGACTGAGTTTCTAAGTAGGAACCATTAAAAAAAAAAATTGTAACCAGTAGATTATCTACCACAAGATGTGTCTGAGCTTGACCTTCTGTGGTCTGAGTTCACCCATCAGGGCAACTCAAAGGAAAGTGTCCCAGGATGAAAGTAATAGAGAATACAGCCTGAAACAGGTCAGGACTTAGGGGACAAATCAAAGACACATATAGAAGAAAGAATTAGTGTACAAAACAAACAAAATTCGATAGGAAACTAAAAAGAGCAAGACAGATGGGAAATCAAAAAGAAGGCAAGGGTGAAATACATGAAGAGTCAGAGGAAAATTAACAAAGGCCTCAGGGGTTCAGATCTTGATTGAAATAAATCTCAAAAACAATAAGCCCTTTCCTGGGTTTCTTCCTCGGTAGTCTGTAAAGATGGCAGTCTGCCCCGGTTTGCAAACAGCAAATCTCGTGATGATCGAGTGATTTAGGAGCACCCATTCTCCCATCTCCCAAAGGCAGGGGATTGTTTTGCAAAAAGCGTTAAGAATTAATTTACAATTCAGGTCAAGTTCAGGATATATTTGAGCTGTGCCAGGACTATCACTACAAATACATTTCTAAAAACGGATAGCTTTGGGCCTCACTTGGCGGTCCTATGATATTCACATGGGTAAAAAAGACAGTTAATATCTTAGAACATTTAGTTGGAAATGATGTACTCTTGACCTTACCGAAGAACCTGTCGATATGTAAATAACCAATGTGTTTTTCGTCTGTCCAGAGCTTTGAAGAAGCAATCTCAATCTCTGAGCATTTTTTATGTTTTTTTCAATGTATCCCTCTGAAGTTTTTTCTTGATAAACATGAGTTCCTTTTTATTATTATTAATGCAGCAATGCAAAGCAACAGTGACAGAAGGGTTGATATAGGGATAATGCGCTGAAAGCGATGAATTTCTGTCTGAGGCAAAAACCTGACAGCAAAAAGCTCCCTGTCATGAAAATAAGTGAGATGTGGGAAGCATTTATAGGAAGAATGACATTTCCTCCACCATCACCTGGGCTTGTGAATGGCTTTATCAGAGCTTCCTGGCAACAACATTAATTATGAAGTGTCAAGGTTGGTGCTTACACAGGGTGACCTGGACTGGAGCCAGGCCCCCCACTGAGCCTGTGCTGAGCACCCAGGAGCAGGTTGAATGAGGGATCAATGACTTGCAGGGTTCCAGGCAGAATAAGGAACAGAAGTGGGCCAACTGCAAACAAAAATCAGCTGCAGACATGAGGGCTCTGAGGGTGAGCGGCTCACGGCAGGCGCAGCTGTAGAAAGCTGAGCCATTCGGGGAGCCATTCGAGGAATAGGACCTGTCCTGGGCTCTGAGGGTGAGCAGCCCACAGTGGGCGCAGCTGTAGAAAGCTGAGCAATTGGAGAAATAGGACCTGACCTGGGAGGTGCTGACTGGGGATGACCTGGCTCCTCTGGGGCTCACTGCAACCTCCGCCTCCCGGATTTAAGCGATTCTCCTGCCTCAGCCTCCCAAGTAGCTGGGATTACAGGCATGTGCCACCATGCCAGGCTAATTTTTGTATTTTTAGTAGAGACAGGGTTTGGACACGTTGGCCAGGCTGGTCGCAAACTCCTGACCTCAGGTGATCTGCCCGCCTCGGCCTCCCAAAGTGCTGGGAATCCAGATGTGAGCCACTGCACCAGCCAAGGCTGATGAACTTCTAACCCTTCTCTGCTTTTAATGAAATGTGTCAGTGGGGACTTGCTTTATCCTAGGAGCCATGCTTGCCCTGGAAATGCTATGAAGAACAAAGTCAACATTGTCTCTGGCTTGATGACGCTTCGAGTTTGTGAGATGAGGCACATATGAACGGCGTCATTGCACAGATACGTGTCATATTGAAACGTGCTGAGTGGGCCAGGCACGGTGGCTCACATCTGCAATCCCAAAACTTTGGGAGGCCAAGGTGGGTAGATTGCTTGAGCCCAGGAGCTCAAGACCAGCCTGGCCAACATGGTGAAACCCGTCTCTACTGAAAATACAAAAATTAGACTGGCATGGTGGTGTGTGCCTATAGTCCCAGCTACTTGGGAGACTGAGGCTGGAGGATGGCTTGACAGAGTGAGACCTTGTCTCAAAAAAAAAAAAATGTGGCCAGTGGCATGGAGGAGTGACACATGGCATAAGAAAGCACACATAGCAATTTCACCCAGTTGGTCTGAAAGGGCAGAAACAGCTTCCAGATGAAGTGACAGTGGAGGCACAACTGGAAGGCAGAGCGGAGTTCTAGAAGAGATGGTAAAGGCCTTGTGGGGGTAGGGAACCCTGGACACTGAGAGGAGGTCACCATGCTGGAGGACACAAGGCCGGGGGCAGCGGCATGCGGTAGGAGAGGGGCTGGAGAGGGAGTGCGGGCCAGGCTGTATCGGGTGCAGAGTCCATGGGAAGAACCTGGGTCTTTATCCTAAGAGCACCGAGAAGCATTGAAAGCAGGGGTGTCCCGTCTTTTGGCTTCCCTGGGCCACATTGGAAGAAGAATTGTCTTGGGCCACACATAAAATACACGAACACTAACGA
Source organism: Homo sapiens (assembly GCF_000001405.40). Taxonomy (NCBI): domain Eukaryota; kingdom Metazoa; phylum Chordata; class Mammalia; order Primates; family Hominidae; genus Homo; species Homo sapiens. The sequence goes on along the minus strand of NC_000004.12, from coordinate 186,350,442 downwards.
TAGCTGATGAGCTAAAAAGAAAACCTGCCAAAAATAATCTTATAATCTTTTAAGAAAGTTTACAAATTTGTGTTGGGCCACATTCAAAGCTGTCCTGGGCCAGATGCAGCCCATGGGCCGCAGTTGGACAAACTTGATTTAAAGTGATTTAACATATCAGGTTTTGTTTTGTTTTTGTTTTTGTTTTGTGATGGCGTCTCGCTCTGTTGCCCAGGCTGGAGTGCAGTGGTGCGATCTCAGCTTACTGCAGCCTCCACTTCCTGGGTTCACCTGATTCTCCTGCCTCAGCCTCCCGAGTAGCTGGGACTACAGGCGCCCATCACCATGCCTGGCTAATTTTTGTATTTTTAGTAAAGACGGGGTTTCACCATGGTGGCCAGGATTACCTCGATCTCCTGACCTCGTGATCCACCTGCCTCGGCCTCCCAAAGTGCTGGGATTACAGGCGTGAGCCACCACGCCCAGCCCAGGTTTTCTTTATGAAAAGACCGTTCTGGAGTGAGTAGATACATTGCTAACCTAGAGGCTCCAGCCACACACAGTGCAGAAAGCAATCGTGCACAGCTTGAGGAGTCCTAGCTGTCAGCTCTAGCAGAACAGGAAACACAGGGGAACCTCTAAGGCCGGATCAAGACTTTAAAATAATGATCTATTTTCACCTGTCCAATAGGGATTGCCACCCAGGCAGGCATCCTACACCAGAGCTAACCCCTCCGACTCCGTTTGCTGAGACAGGAGCCATGCTGAATGCCCAGCTGAGTACAAGACCAACTGCCCGTATTATAGAAAGAGACTCTTGTTACAAAAGCAAGACATGCCGATGGTAGATGGAGTATGTGACTGATGCACCTGCACCTGGGAAGTCACTGCATCTTAAATTGTTTAGATTTTTTTTTCTTGGTTGCCTATGCATAAGGCCTTTCCATTTGCTTCCATGCCAAGAATTGCTTCAGAACGCTCCTTCATCTGGCCATAGCCAAATTACGCTTGCTCAGCTGGGGGAAATTCATTCTTCACTGAAGTCTTTTACAAGTATTAATAGTTTTATGTAGGACATTTGGGAAGCAGAAGAAGCCACAGAGTATTCTGGCAGAATTTATATTATCTTTGTATGATGTATTATCAGAGTAAATTATCACCAAGTTCATGTATATTTCTGGAGTTATCTAATTAATAATTACAAATTATGATTAACAATCGCTGTGAGACTTGGTGTGATGGCTCACACCTGCAATCACAACAATTTGGGAGGCTGAGGTGGGAGGATTGCTTGAGCCCAGGAGTTTGAGACCAGCCTGGGCAACATAGCAAGACCCCATCTCTACAGAAAATGCAGAAAAAATAACCAGGTACAGTGGTGCATGCCTGTAGTCCCAGCTACTTGTGAGGCTGAGGCATGAGAATCTCTTGAATCGGAAGGCAGAGGTTACAGTGAGCTCAGGCTGGAGTTCAGTGGTGTGATCTACACCAGCCAGCCAACATAAGATAGGATAAAACAAGGTTTGTATTACTGAATTGTATGCTTTACTGGCATTTATTAATAGAATTCTACTGATACATAAAAAGTAGTAAAATAATAAGTTTTATACTAATCGCCCAAGTGGGGAAATTAGGAGTAGATGATGATTGTGTTGAAAGGTAAATTGTAACCTCCTTTGATGCGGTTGCTGTTCTTATTTCTTTGCGTAGCCTAACACAAAGTGCTCATATGTGAGGCACGCCAGGACCGAAGCCAACAGGAAGGAGACAGAAGCTGGGGAGGGAGCCTGGGAAACACACCGTCGTAGTACAATGGTGCCCCAGCTGTGGCAGCTCAGTGCTTCATTGTACAACAGTCAAGCCTAGTGCCCCGCTGAGGCAATTTCTGAGATCCGAGGTGCTCAGCTGATAAGTGGGGCAGGGATACGGAAGGAAGTCACTGTGTCCGCTGATTCTAAAAAGCAAGTGGCATCAGCATCATTTTGATGATTTTGTCCATGACAGAAATACAACCAGTGGCTGGGGAGGGGGGGCAGGTGGGAAGAGGGGAGTGGGCAACGGTATTGTTGACAGGGGTAAAAGGCAGATCCAGCCTCTGGATGGGAGTAGGGGGTGTGGGGGGAGTTTGGCAAAGCTTAAAAAAGATACACAGAAATTTGGGCAAGGTTCAAGTCCTGGTTGGCAGGAGGGTCAACAAATCTTAGGCAGAGGAAACCGAAGCTTCATATCACCGAGATGAACCTGCCCAAGTTGTACTCCCATTATTAATAATAAACACAAAAATCATAGCTGCCATCCACTGGATACCCGTTGCACACCAGTACATCGTATGTATCATCGCGTTGGAATTGAGTCCTTACAGCAGTCCAGTGAGGAGGTTACTAGGGCTCCATTTTCAGAGATGAGGAAAGTGAAATGTTGAAAACGTATTCACCTGAGCAAAGTCGCAGTTTCTCACAAGGAAAGGCGGCATTTCAGTGCAGGCTGGCTGACCTCCCGCGTCTGCACGCTTGGCTGCTACCCAACACTCCCGGGTCGACTTCTCTGACCTACTCTGTGTCCCGGTTAGGAGCTGACAAGTAACCAGGTATCCCCAGTCAACTGCTGGAGGGCATCAGAGACTTCAACTTTAAGGGCTTGTAAGACATTGTCTCTTCCATAACAAAGAACATGGTGACTTATAGTCACTGTTTTTTTTTTTATTGAGTTTTTAAATGCAAGGTGGGAAGATTAAGGACAGAAACAACAATAACAACAAGACACCCACAAACTCTCTTCTCTATTACCTCAGGATGGAGACTTACACTCTCTGTGAAAAATGAATTTTCTTCCCCATAGAGGCAAGGTGTGATGTATGCCTTCTCATAAGTCATGACCATCGGGATCCACCGGCTCTCTCCGTCTGCACAATTTTTAACAGTTGGCTAATTACATCAGTTGACCCGATTTAATAAATTTATGTGTAACTTGAGTTAGAAACCCGTTAGGTAGCCAAATGAATTAAGGCTGTTTGTCTTTTCAGATAAAGGTATTCTCTGTTCCCACATGTGCCTGACACATGGTAAGCACACAGGAAAAGTTGGCTGAGTTATTATTATGTGCAGAGTAGTCAATGTTACAGCTGCAAATGTTTTAGACTGAGAGCCCTTATTAAAGTGCTTCTGTATTTCTAGCAGCCATTAACCAGGAGATCATTAAAGACTGTGGAAAAAATTAGCTAATGAGCAGCTCAATTCATTAATAAGACAACTCAGCTGTGTTTTTTCTTCCCTTAACAGTAGATCTTCTTACTCTCCAAGGCACTATTTAAACTATTAAAATAACTAATGATAATCATTACTGTTGTCAGAAAAGTCCCAGCCTGTGCAGCTATCTTACTAGTAAATGTAAAGTATTCGCTCTAAGTAACTTCTTCCACGCTTAGTAGAATCCGAAGAGAGCCAGGTAATCGCAGAGTGGAGAACCAGCTCCAGGGTGCCCGCGTCCACACAGCGGCAAGAGTGCCATATCCCAGCTTTACAGTTTTCCAGTCAGATGTGCAATTAGAGTCATTCCTTTGTGTGAAGACAATTGAAGGTTGGATTTTTCTGTGACTTTTAAATCAAATGAACACAAAATCCTTAATTGTCAATCAGACTTACATGAAATACATGTCATGTCCAGAACCATGGATTTATCCCTGCTCCACTTCAGAGCTGGGCACCCTGAGATCTCAGAATAGCCTCAACAGAGGCGAGGCTTGCCTTCTCTACAGTGTAGTGCTATTTCTGTCCTCATTCCACTGACTACAAACTGGGTGCATGGCCCCACATAACTGGAACATGCAATCTTTCAGGGTGCCAGGAGGGACATGAAATGGATATGGAAAACAGAATTGTTCTGATTGTGCTCTTAGTAGTTAAAATTAAATTATATCTGTAATGTCAATAAATTATTTAGTTTTTTTTCTTTTCCTTTTTCTTTTTTTTGAGACGGAATCTCACTCTGTCACCCAGGCTGGAGTGCAGTGGCACAATCTTGGCTCACTGAAGCCTCCGACTCCCGGGTTCAAGCAATTCTCATGCCTCAGCCTCCAGAGTAGCTGGGACTAAAGGCACCCGCCACCACGCCTGGCTAATATTTGTATTTTCAGTAGAGATGGAGTTTTGCCATGTTGGCCAGGCTGGTCTTGAACTCCTGACCTCAGGTGATCCGTCTGTCTCGGCCTCCCAAAGTGCTGGGATTACAGGCGTGAGCCACCACACCCAGCCTCTATTTAGTTTTTAGTATCCTTATGTCAATACTTTCAGCTGTTTTAGATCATAAAGGGTAGAACCAAGGTCTGTATACCCCTCAATGCCCAGCACCTGGTACATAGATAGGGAGGCAATGGAATACATACCCCTCATACTGATGTTCAGAATGAAAATAATAATGCATTTAGATGTATGTTCCATAAATATAGATGATCGTGGAGATGGGGAGGGAGAGGGCAGACTGCCCCATTGTCACAGCCATGATGACAACGATGATGTTATTATTAACAGACTACAGTTACTAATAACTAGTGGATTGTATATGTTACACACTGTTATTGATAATTAGTAGATTATATATGATAAAGTAATAGCATGTGCAGCATCCATATCTAGGAGTTCCCCAGCCCATCCGACGTGGCTTCCTGAGTGCCCTTCTCTGCCAGGAGGAGTTTTGGCTTCCGAGGGAGAGTGTGGTGTTGGGGATAGGATAGTACAAAGCTGCCACTGAGCTTGGGGGTCTCTCAGCTTGTTCATCTTCCATGTCACAGAGCTCTTTCTGGTGAGATTTCCAACATTCATTCTTCAACGCAGCTGCAACAAATCACAGGTTTGTTGACAATAAACTATCTGTGCCAGACAGACCAGGAATATCTTGCTTGCTAAAAGCATTTCTCGATGAGTAATTGGTACAGGAAACCCCTGAAAGACCCCAGTTTAGCAGTGGATGTTTGCAAGGAGGTCTGCTTAGGGTCAAGCTTGCTTCAGGTGTTCCCAAGGAGGGAGAAAAGGGTTACAGACCTTTTCCTATCTGAGAACAAAGAGCCATTAGCTGGGTTGTAAAATTCATTTGAAATACAAAGCAACCAGCTGTTACTATCAGAGCACAAATGCCATCATGAGTCAACTGTTTAAGGTCCACCTGTTTTGACCTGAACGCAGCAAAGTATTAAAACCACCATTGCTCGAGATCAGGATAAACTACAAATAAGGTCAATTTAAGTAAGTCTTCATGATAGTTCTGTAAGAAAAAAAAAGTTACATTTTCTTGTACTGTAATCCTTTTTAAATTCAACCTGACTGCTCTCAGAAGAAAACAAACATTTCGTATAAAATACAACCCATTACAAAGGGTTTTGTAATATTTGAATCCCCTCAAAGAGTATACTTCAGATGTAAATATCCGAAAGGACAGTGTGGTTAGTCATAGTTCTCATATGAGAACTATAATAAAGTTCCTTTATTTTACCTGTTCATTGGGTAAAATGCAATATTATTAAATACTACTGTAATCTTAAAATTGACATACACTTGTAAGAAATTTGGTTACAGTGTATGAAAATCTCATCTAACCAGAACAATATTCCATTTTATAGTAATAAAAAATTAAATATTGGGGGTAAGAAGAAATGAATATGACTTTTCATTTTCATTATTTTTCTTATTCTTTATTGTGTGCTTAGGCCCAAGGTGTCTTAAGTGTTAGGGACACAGGATTCACATTAGATCATTCGACTTCTCCAGTTTTCTTTCTCCAGTTTCCAGGAATAAAACAGAAAACAAAAAAACAAACTGGCGGCCAGGTGAGGTGGCTCATGCCTGTAATCCCAGCACTTTGGGAGGCCGAGGCAGGTGGATCACCTGAGGTCAAGAGTTCGAGACCAGCCTGGCCAACCTGGTGAAACCCCCATCTCTACCAAAAAAACAAAAATTAGCTGGGTGTGGTGGTGGGTGCCTGTCATCCCAGCTACTCGGGAGGCTGAGGCAGGAGAATCACTTGAACCTGCAAGGTGGAGGTTGCAGTGAGCCGAGATTGCGCCATTGCACTCCAGCCCGGGCGACAGACCGAGACTCTGTCTCAAAAAACAAAAACAAAAAACAAAACAAAAAACCAAACTGACTACCAAGCCAGGGCTGGAGATACATAATGTGCTGCAAACACTCAACCAAACCCTCAGGCCAGACACCTTCCTAAGTTGACTGTTCTAGATACGTACTTTCTTTTGGTGAATTTGAGGAATCTGACTGTTACCTTCCTTGTACTTTGAATCTGTTTTTGGGTGGGATGCTGGGGAAACATAAAGGATCAACAATGTGTCCCATGTTTATTCATTCAACATTTTAAAGGGCCTTTTATGTGTTTGCTGCTGAGTGTAAAGGGAGGACCAAAGTAACTTCCCTATGAGGTCCCATCATCTGGAAGGGAAGTTAAATATCTAAAAAGGTAAGGATAAGCCAGTAAATCCTGCACTATAGAATGAGGAAATGCTACAGGAAGACAGAGAAGTGAGTGCATAATTGTGCCCAGAGGAAATTGTAACCGAAGTGGTTAAGATTTGTGCTGAGTTTAGAATGGTGCTTAGGAGTTTCACAAACATAAACAGAAGGGGCCGGGCGCAGTGGCTCACGCCTGTAATCCCAGCACTTTGGGAGGCCGAGGCGGGCAGATCACGAGGTCAGGAGATCGAGACCATCCCGGCTAACAGGGTGAAACCCTGTCTCTACTAATAATACAAAAAATTAGCTGGGCGTGGTGGCGGGCGCCTGTAGTCCCAGCTACTCAGGAGGCTGAGGCAGGAGAATGCCATGAACCCAGGAGGCGGAGGTTGCAGTGAGCCAAGATCGCGCCACTGCACTCCAGCCTGGGTGACAGAGCGAGACTCCATCTCAAAAAAAAAACAAAAAACAAAACAAAACAAAAAAAAACACAGAAGGGTAGGGAATAGTATTATATGTAGAAGAGAAACCATAAATACATACAATTTTTATTTGTCAATCAAAAAATTAGTTATTTTGTTATTATTATCTTTGTCTTGGAGCTCCAGCTCAAAGGAAGTTATTTTAAAAGAGCAATGCAATGACACAAATATCTGAAGTGCCAGGCAGCCTCTCTCCCCTGGACCTTGTCTGGGAAGGATTTTGGGAGTTTCGCATCCTGGCAGCTTGCAAGCCTGCTTGTTTAAATTGTTCTCACCAATCAGGAGGGTATCGTGGGGAGGCAATGAAATATTCATAAGACAAGGGAGTGGCGGAGGAAGTGTCTCTTTCTCATAGTTTAGTGATGCTAAAATCAAGGGGCTATAATGAGATATAAATTAGGGACAACTAAAGATTATTGTTTTTTTTTTTTTGGAGATAGATAGGATCTTGCTCTGTTGCCCAGGCTAGAGAGCAGTGGTTCAATCCTACTTCACCGCAGCCTTGATCTCCTAGGCTCAAGCGACCCTCCCACCTCAGCCCCCTAAGTAGCTCATACTACAGGGGCATGCCACCACACGCAGCTGAGTTTTCTATTTTTTTGCAGAGACGGGGTCTCACCATGTTGCCCAGGCTGGTCTTGAGCTCCTGGCTTCAAGTGATCCTCCCACCACAGCCTCCCAAAGTGCTGGGATGACAGGCATGAGCCACCGTGCCCAGCCTAAAGATGAGTGTTTAAGGAGGAGCCAACTCAAATGGCTGAATACCTGTGTATATGAGTCATATAATCATGATTGTGTTTGTGTGTGTGTATGGTTTTAGCTGTTTCTTTTTACCTTATAAGAGTAATAAATAGCCTGGTATCAGAGTAGCAGCTCTAGAGGACTGAACATGGGCAGCTGCCTAGGCAAGATGACCCGTCCTTTTCGGTGGGTCCTGTCTGTTACTGCTGAGTGCCCAGAAGTGTTCCTGAATAGGGTTTAGAACCCTGGGAATTCCTCTGCCTACCCAGTGTAGCTGATCTGCATGCCACAAGTAATAGCTACATATTTTGCTGCAATAAAAGCGAACTTTTGGCAAGCTTTGTGACCTCATTGGGTTTGAATCCACCAAACTGATCCAGTACGGGGTGAAGAGCTTACATAGAAGCTGAAGTTGGTGAATTCACCACATCAAATGGCTCTCCAGAATGGATGGGTATTGAGAGCCCAGGAATAAAATGCCAGAGACACACAAAGCAGGCACAAGCGGGTGAGAGACCCATGAGAAGACAGTTCTGGGTGCATAGTTGGGCCCATGCTGGGCTCTCACCCGGCCTCACATGCTGGGCTCTCACCCGGCCTTAGTGCTCACCCTCCCAGGAAGGTGGCTGTTAGGACTGAATGTGTCTCCCCCAAATTCATATGTGGAAATTTAATCCCCAGTATGATGGTACTTAGAGTGGGGTCTTTGGGAAGTAATGAGGCCATGAGGGTGGAGACCTCTTGAATGGGATTAGTGCCCTTACAAGCTAACCGGCTCTCTTTCTGCCATGTGACAATACCATAGGAAGTCAGCAGTCTGCAACCCAGAAGAGGGCCCTCATAGAACTTGACCATGCTGGCACCCTGATCTCAGACTTCCAGAATCCAGAATCGTGAGAAATAAGTGTCTGTTGTTTAAGCCACCCAGTCGGTGTTATTTTTGTTATAGCAGCCAGAGATGACTAAGATGGCCGTCTTCATTTAAAGGGCCAGCAACAGATCTGGCCCGATGTAAATCACCTCTGGCAGGTCTCTGTACCTTCACAGGACATCACATCCTTGTTGACAGAGGTATCAAAGACCCCAAATTTGGATTATAATAAGAAAATGCAAACTCCTAGGCAATGGGTGCAGAACCTTGCACTCTAGCTTTCTCCACAGTGCTAACAAACTTTAGCTTTTCCCTCTATCTCTAGGCTCCCTCTTTTGAAGATTCCAGAATCTCAAAACTCAGTTTGCAGAGCCTCTTCTCTCTCTCATCTCCCACCTTTCTGCATCTTGTGCTCTGAGTGCTATTGATGTTGGCTTGAAGGATGGCACCTTACTCAAGTATTCTGTTTATGTTAAACTTGATGTTGCCCTTTTCTCCTACTCTTATGGAAGTTTTGATGTTCAGTGCATGGTTTACTAACATATATTTAGTAAAATATATGATCCCTATTCTCAATATTAACTTATAGGAATTCATGTGGGTGCATTCAGTGATATTGTGGCTTTTATTAAATAATTTAAACTATTAAATTATGTATTTTCTAAACTCAATCTCTTATCAAGCACATATATTCTCATTTTTAAGTCTGTCCCTGTTACAAGAGGAATTTTGTCCATATGTTCCTAATTAATTTGTATTTAACTCACCAAATGTGGACACGAAATGTGGACTTTCAATACAAATAATGACCTGAAATTAGCTTGCTTTCACATTTTGCAAGTAACAGATTACTTCCAGTATGTATCTTGGTGTAGTGACATATGCCAACCTAATCATTACTTATCAATAGATAATATAAGGTGAAAGATGATTTACCTAGCAGTCATTTGAATTCCAGTCCCAAGAAAATCAATGAACCAAAAACAGCAAATAATCTAAACTGAGGAAATCGATTATGTTTAATTCATTTCAGTACTTAATATACCTCCTGTTCCATTAGGATTTGAGGTGACTTACAAAGGAAAAAAAAACACCCACATCATAAGAATATGAAGTTAGCCATAGATAGTGTCTATTGATTATCTTAAGTCAAGCAAATAGCACATTTTAAAGGCTTTAGCTGAAGTCCTACCCTTCTCCAAACAAATACCTATTCAGGAGCACAGGCGGTTATCAGGAGGCTTGGGCAATATTTTTCCAAAGGGATGAACAGCAGGAATCAAAGCCCTTGGCACACCTGAGCGTGAGGGTGAAACCTGGTTGGCCTGCTTCTGGCCTGGAAGGCTGTCTTCACGTCCTGTTCTCAGAACTCTTCTAGTGATGAAATGGAGGTGGGTACAGTGACCCAGGCGGTAAGCTTAGGTGGGGCCACAGTGGATATTGCTGGCAGCTACCTCTGTCCTCACTCAACTTCCAGTGAAAAAATAGGGCAATCTTAAAGGTCACTAAGCAGGACTGAAATATCAGAGACTAATAAGGAAGTGCAGACTCCTAAGTGGAGGTCATGGAAACATCCACCCATCTTTCTCCATGTAACTTTCAGCATCTCCTCTTCCTCTCCAGTCTCACTCTCTCACATTCCCCCAAACCCAAAACTCAGTCAGCATCACCTGTTCTCTCTCTTTTCTACTCTTCAACCGAGCCCGTGTCCCACCAAAGAAAAGATTTAGAATGTAGAATTCCACAGCTACGGCAGATTGAACTCAAGCAACTAACTTTGCTCCCTTGCAACACTGAAACTCTATCAAATGTCAGTAAAAGTAATTTTTAAAAATGAAGCCAGGAGGATGGAGAGAGTAAGAGAAGAGAAAAATGGCACATTTATGTAGGTGACAAGTAGGCCTGAGACAATCCTACTTAGGAAACTCCGGAATCCAAATTCTAAACTATCAGGAGAAAGCTAAAAACTAGTCTCATTTAAACCCCAGAATTTCCAAGAGACTCAGAAATGGGTGGCACCAAGTATCTCTGAAGTAAAAGTAAAAGGAAGCAAGGAAGCAAGCTAACATACAGGAAATGGATTTTTTTTTTTTTTTTGACAGTCTCGCTGTTACCCAGGCTGGAGTGCAGTGGCACGATCTCAGCTCACTGCAAGCTCCACCTCCTGGGTTCAAGCGATTCTCCTGCCTCAGCCTCCTGAATTAGCTGTGATTACAGGTGCGTGCCAGCATGCCCGGCTAATTTTTTGTATTTTAGTAGAGACAGGGAGGAGACGGATTTGTAAAGCTCTTTAGCTAGAAATGTAGCTCATATTCCCCATTTAACATCACTTAGCAACTTCCTCACTCCATGGCTATAAAAGAGGAAGCTTATACTCCATGGGAGCATGAAAGAAGAGGGGGGGAGGTCTCTCCTTAAAGGTTTCTCCTTAAAGTACAAAAGGCACAGTGGAGGCCTAAGGACTGAGGCAAAAACTAAAGGGCGAAGTGAGGACACACATGCACCCTGAATGCCAGTGCTCCCTCCAGCCCCTCTTGCCACTCAGCTTCCACGTTTCACCTCCAGTAGAATATGCAGGGAATCTTCTCCAGGGAACATGACTAGCACAAAAGGGGGAAAAAACCCATCTGATTATTTCCAACACCAGGATATCCCCAAAACATGTTTCCAACACCATACAATTGCACTGACAAGAACTTCAAGTCACATTGTTCATTTCTCACTCATATGTGATCAGATAACCCAAGATTACTGACATCTGAAGAAGGCCTTTAACAGCAAAGATAAACACCAAACAAAGCAAATTAACAGCTAAAAAGAAACCTGGGATAAAAAGTAACAGAAATTATGCAGAAAAAAAGTAAATCTAAATAATAAACTATTCTAAAAATACGTTGTTATTTATATATTTGTAGTGATAAGATGTTGCATTCATGAATCAAGAGCAGAATGAGATGAAAAGGAGGAAATGTGGAAATTAAAAAGATCTCTTAGAACTTAAGATTATGGCATAAATAAAAGTACAATAGGCTTGAAAAGTAAAATTGATTAAAAAAAGTCTCATTAAATAGAGTAGAAAGAATAATAATAAGAAACAGAAGTGATATAAAAATTAAAGGGTCAGAGCAGAAGATATATCATCTGAATAAGAGGAATTCCAAAAGATGACAGAAAAGTTAAAAGGCAGTTCCATTTACAATAACTACAAAACATAAAATAAAATACCTAGAAATAAATTTAACCAAGGTGGTGAAAGAGCTTTACAAGGAAAACTATAAAACAGTGATCAAAAAAATTGAAGAGGTATAATGGAAAGACATCCATGTTCATGAATAGAAAGAATTCATATTGTTAAAATGACCACATTACCCAAAGCAATCAATAGATTTAATGCAATCCCTATCAAAATGCCAATGACCTTCTTCACAGAAATGGAAAAAACAATCCTAAAATTCATATGGAGCTACAAAAGACCCAGAATAGCCAAGGCAATCCTGAGTGAAAAGAAGAACGCTGGAGGCTTCACACTACCTGACTTCAAAATATACTACAGAGCATTCATAACCAAAACAACATGGTATTAACATAAAAACACACACGTAGGCCAATGGAACAGAATAGAGAACCTAGACATGAACCCACACATTGACAGCCAACTGATTTTTGACAAAGGTGCCAAGAACACACACTGGGGAAAGAGCAGTATCTTTAATAAAAGGGTATCTTTTATCCTTTTATTAGATATCCACAAGAAGAAGAATGAAATAGACCCCTTATCTCTCACAATTTACAAAAGTCAACTCAAAATGGATTAAAGAATTAAATGTGAGATTAGAAGCTATAAAACTACTCAGGAAAAAAATAGGGGAAATGCTTCATAACCTGGGTCTGGGCATGGATTATTTTGGAGAAGACCTCAAAAGCACAAGCAACCAAAACCAAAGCAAAAATAGACAAACAGGGTTATACGAAATTAAAATGCTTCTGTCCAGCAAAAGAAATAAACAACAGAGTAAAGAGAACCTACAGAATAGGAGGAAATACTTGGAAACTATGTACATAGAGAGCAGTTACTATCCAGAATATATATTTTTCTTTAATTAACAAAACTTAAAGAACCAATTCTTTAAAGTGGGTTCATATATAATCTGGATAAACATAAAAGCTTTTAAAAAACAGAAAAAGAAATAAATAGTTTCTTTAAAAATTAGAAAAACCTGTTGCTAATAGTTGTTTTTAGCCCTGGGAACATATGAGAATTAACTAGGACCGCCTAAAATTAGAGACATACATGTTTGCATCTTACGTTCCCGTGATTTTTATTTTTTATTTTTTATTTTTTATTTTTTGAGATGGTGTCCCGCTCTGTCTCCCAGGCTGGAGTGCAGCGGCGCGATCTCAGCTCACTGCAACCTCCGCCTCCCGGGTTCACGCCATTCTCTTGCCTCAGCCCTCCGAGTAGTTGGGACTACAGGCGCCCGCCACCACCCCTGGCTAATTTTTTGTATTTTTAGTAGAGACGGGGTTTCACCGTGTTAGCCAGGATGGTCTCGATCTCCTGACCTCGTGATCCGCCCGCCTCGGCCTCCCAAAGTGCTGGGATTACAGGCTTGAGCCATCGCGCCCGGCCACGTTCCCATGATTTTAATATGCAGCCAGCTTTAGAGTGGAGAAAAACACGAAGAAAAGAGGATCAAGCTCTGAATACAGGAACATGTCAGTACTTACGAGTCTGGAAGAAAAGAAAGAAACAAAATGAAGAAGAGAATCAGCCAGTGAGGTAGGGGGAAAACCAGCGGCATATGTGTTTTAAGAAACCAAGTGAAGAGAGTATTTCTAGGAATAGACATTGATTACATTTTTCAACTACTAAATAAAAATAAAGCCAGACAAAAACAGAACTGACATGGTGGTGAGCTCCTGGTGTTTCCTTTTGCCTCAGGTATTTCAGCTGTGGTATTGAAGAAGCTGGCAAACTGGACATGCGTAGGGGGGAAAAACTCGGACAAAAATGCTCTTCTAGCCAAAGAAAAACGAACAAACCAACAAGACGATATTTTGAAATGATACATGCGTACCTCGGAGATGTTGTGGGTTCAGTTCTAGACAACCACACGAAAGCAAGTATCACAATAAAGACAGTCACATACATTTCTTTGTTTCTAGTGTATTTAAAAGTTATGTTTACACAATACCATAGTCTATTAAGTGTGCAATAGCATTATGTCTAAAAAAAACTATGTACAGGCCATAATTTTAAAAACATTTTATTGCTGAAAAATGCCAATGATCATCTGAGTCCTCAGTGAGTCGTAATCTTTTTGCTGGTGGAGGGTCTTGCCTCAATGTTGATGGCTGCTGGCTGATCAGTGTGATAGTTGCTAAAGATTGGGGTGACTGTGGCAATTTTCAAAAATAAAACAGCGATGAAGTTTGCCTCACTGATTAGCTCTTCTTTTCATGAAAGATTTCTCTGTAGCATGAGTTGGTATTTATAGCTTTTTACCCAGAGTAAAGATTCTCTCAAAATTGAGTCAATCCTCGCAAACTCCGCTCCTGCTTTACCAACTAAACTTGTGCAATATTCTAAATTCCTTGTTGTCATTTCAACAATGTTCACAGCATCTTCACCAGGAGTAACTTCCATCTCAAGAAACCACTTTCTTTGTTCATGTGTAAGAAGCAAGTTCTCATTCGTTCAAGATTTATCATGAGATTGCAGCAATTCAGTCAGAACTTCAGGCTGCACTTCTAACTCTAGTTCTCTTGCTATTTCTACCACATCTGCAGTGACGTCCTGCACTGAAGTCTTAAACCCCTCAAAGTCATTCATGAAGATTGGAATCAACTTCTTTCAAATTTTCATTAGTGTTTATATTCTGACCTCCTTCCAAGAATCATAAGTGCTTTTAATGGCATTAAAAGGAATGGTGAATCCTTCCCAGAAATTGTTAAATTTAATTTTCCCTAATCTATCAGAAGAATCACTGTCTATGGTAGCTACAGCCTAACAAGATAGATTTCTTAAATAATAAGACTTGAAAGGTGAAATTACTCCTTCATCAGGGTGCATAATGGATGTTGTGTTAGCAGTAAAACAACATTAATCTTTTTGTATGTCTCCACCAGAGCTTTTGAGTGACCATTGCATTGTCAAAGAGCGCAAATATTACAAAAATAATCTTGGGTTTTTTCTGAGCAATAGTTCTCAAAAGGGGGCTTAAAATATTCAGTAAACCATGCTGTAAAAAGATGTGCTGTTATGCAGGCTGTAATCCATATCTAGAGCGCAAGCAGAGTAGAGTCAGCATAATTCTTAAGGATTTTTGGAATGGTTAAATGAGCATTGGCTTCAACTTAAAGTCACCAGCCACATTAGCCTGTAACAAGAGTTACATGTCCTTTGAAGTTCATGTCTTTGAAGTCAGTCATTGACTTCTCTCCAGCTATGAAAGTCCTGATGGCATCTTCCTCCAGTAGAAGTCTGTTTCATCAACCCTAAATATATGTTGTTTAGTGTGGCCACCTTAATCAAGTATCTTAACTAGATCTTCTGGATAACTTGCTGCAGCTTCACCATCAGCACTTGCAGCTTTACCTGCACTTTTACGTTATGGAGATCACTTCTTTCCTTAAACCTCATGATCCAACCTCTGCTAACTTCAAATTTTTCTTCTGCAGCTTCCTCAGCTCTCTCTCAGCCTTCACAGAATCAAAGAGAGTTACAGCCTTTCTCTGGATTAGGCTTTGGCTTAAGGGAATGTTGTGGCTGGTTTGATCTTTTATCCAGACTGTTTTATCATTCATGTGTTCACTGGAATAGCACTTTCATTTCTGTCAAGAACTTTTCCTTTGCATTCACAACTTGGCTGACTGTTTGGTGCAAGTGACCTAGCGTTAAGCCAATGTCAGCTTTTGACATGCCGTCCTCAGTAAGCTTAATTATTTCTTGCTTTTGATTTAAAGTGAGAGATGTGTGACTCTTTCTTTCGCTTGAACATTTAGAGGTCACTGTAAGATTATTAACAGGAAATAGGAAGGCCTGAGAAAAGGGAGAGAGATGGGAGAAGGGCTGGTCAGTGGAGATGTCAGAAGATGCACAACATTTATCTATTAATTTTGCTGTCTTATATGGGCATGGTTCATGTTGCTCCCAAACAATTACAATAGTATCATCAAAAATCACTGACAACAGATCAACATAACAGTTATAATATTAATCAAAGGGTTTGAAATACTGCAAGAATTACCCAAATGTAACAAAGACACAAAGTGAGCACATGCTGTTGGAAAATAGTGCTGATGGACTTGCTCAACCTAGGACTGCCACAAACCTTCAATTTGTAAAAATAAAAAAAAAAATCTGCAAAGTGCAATAAGACAAAGCACTGAAAGCACTTTGATAAAATGAGGTGAGCCTCTAAAGCCTCAACTCAAAGCAGACATCACAGAAAAAAAAATTGGCCTTATCCCCACCTAGGCCAGCAAAGGCTGCTTAGGGGCACCTAGGCTTCCACCTTTGTGAAACTGCACCAAGGTACAACAGAATGCCAGGGTGGCATCAGAGAAGGCCAAGTAGGGAGCTAAGACTTTCATAATAACTAGTCAGTAACAGCAGTGTTACCTCATTCCACCCTTCCTCCCAGTGTCAATGGAGACCATGCAAGCAAACTGACTTCCACCCGTACTCGGCAATCATAAGATTCCTCACTCCCCTAAGAACCCCCACACTTGGGTGGCATCAGAGGAAGACTAGTGGAAAGTCAGGACTTTACCCATCATCCCAGTGTAATGAGATCACTGTGATGTCAGTGGAGATCAGGCATAGAGCTAGAACTTCTAGCCCCACTCAGAATTACAAGAAACCACCTCTCAGATGCCAGTGAAGACCAAGTGAGGAACCTGGGACTTCTACCTCCACTTGGCAGTAACTAGACAGCACCCTCCACATTTTTTTCTGCCGGAATAGTGTCAGGAAAAGCCAGTTAAGACAGAAGGCTTAAACAAAATCCAGAAGCTCATAGCATAATACAAAAATGTCCACATTTTAATTGAAAGTAACTTGTCATGTGAAGGACTAGGGGGATCTCAAACTAAATGAAAAAAGAGACCCTATAGATGCCAACACCAAGGTGACAGAGATGTTAAAATTATCTGACAAAAATTTTAATGCAGCATGATAAATATACTTCAACAAGCAATTGCAAACACACTTGAAATAAAATAGAGGTATTTAGCAAAATTATAAAATCTTAGCAAATAAGTTGAAGATATAAAGAAGCATCAAATGAGAATATTAGAACTGAAAAATACAATAACCAAAATATGAAGCTCAGTGGATGCGCCCAGTAGCAGAATGGAGGGAACAGAGAAAATACATCAGTAAACTGGTAAATAAGATGATAGAAATTACTCAATCTGAACAACAGGGAGAAAGTGACTGAAAAGAAAATGCAAACAGCCTCCAAGAGAGGCCTGTAACAAAAGAACTAACATAATTGTTATTTGAGTCATAGAAGAGAGGAGAAATAGGGAAGAGCTGAAAAATATTTGAAGAAATAGTGGCGAAAAGCTTTCTAAATTTTGCAAAAGACATAAAGCTATCAGTTCAAGAAGATGAAAAAACCCTAAACAAATCCACACCAAGTCAAACTGTAATTAAAATTTTAAAATATGAAGAAAAGGAGACATCTAAAAAGCAGTCAGAGAAAAACAACACATTACTTATAGGGAAATTATCACATTAAAAAGGTTTCTTATCAGAAACCATAGAAGGCAGAAAGAAGTGGCATAATATTTTTCAACTGCTGGAAGAAGAGAATTGTCAACCCAGAATCTTATACCCAATCAAAATATCCTTCAGCAATAAACTGAAATCAAGACAATCTCAGGTAAATTAAAATAAAAAGAATTTGTTGCTAGTATATCAATTTTTAAAGAACAGCTAAAAGAACTTCTCTTAGACAAAAGGAAAAGCCAAAAAAAGCCAAAACAAAACAACAAAAAAAGACCATGGAACATCAGAAAGGAAAAAAGGACACTGGAAGCAAATATATGGGGAAATACAATAGGCTTTCCTTCTACTCTTGAGTTGCCTAAATTATGTTTGACAGCTGAAACAAAAATTATAGAACTGGCTGGGCATGGTGACTCACGCCTGTAATCCCAGCACTTTGGGAGGCCAAGGTGGGCAGGTCACCTGAGGTCAGGAGTTTGAAACGACCAGCCTGGCCAACATGGCATAACTCTGTCTCTACTAAAAATACAAAAATTAGTTTGGTATGGTGGCACATGCCTTTAACCCTAGCTACTCAGGAGGCTGAAGTAGGACAATCACTTGAACCCAGTAGGGGGAGGTTGCAGTGAGCCAAGATTGTGCCACTGCACTCCAGCCTGGGAGACAGAGTGAGACTCCATCTCAATAACAACAAAAAAATATAGAACTACTTTGATATGGCTCTAAATATACATAGAGAAAATGTTTAAAACTGTATTAAAAAACCAGGGGAGGCCGGGCACGGTGGCTCACACCAGTAATCCCAGCACTTTGGGAGGCCAAGGTGGGTGGATCATGAGGTCAAGAGTTTAAGACCAGCCTAACTAATATGGTAAAACCCCATCTCTACTAAAAATACAAAAATTAGCCGGGCATAGTGGTGTGCACCTGTAGTCCCGGCTACTCAGGAGGCTGAGGCAGGAGAATTGCTTAAACCCAGGAGGTAGAGGTTGCAGTGAGCCGAGACTGCACCACTACACACTAGCCTGGGTGACAGAGTGAGACTGCATCCCAAAAAATAAGTATAAATAATAAACAAAAATAAAAAATTGGGGGAATACAGGGACATAAAGGAAGATAAGGTTTTTATACTTCGCTCAAACTGATGAAATAATCACATCAGTAGATTCTAATGTTATGTATATATTGTAATACCTAAAACAACCACTAAATAGGCTATACAAAGAGAAACACTAAAAAAAATAGATAAATCAAAATGGAATTCTAAAAAATGTTCAAACACTCACAAAAAATCATGAAAAAGCAGAGTGCGAAACAAAACAAAACATAAAAACAGAACAAGGGGAAAACAAAATATAAACTGGCAGTTTTAAACCCTAACATATCAATCATGACATTAAATATAAATGATCTAAATACAACAATTAAAATATAGAGATTGGTAGCATATATTAAGAAACATGGCCCAAATACATGTGTTCTTCAAGAAACTCATTTCAAATATGGTACAAGCAGGTTGAAAGTAAAAGGATGGAGAAAGATATATCAAACAAACATTAATCAAAGGGAAAAAAGGATTGGCTATACTAATATTAGATGAAACAAACCTCAGAGCAAAGAAAATTACCAGAGACAAAGAAGGACATTTTATAATGATAAATTATAAATGTCTTTCAGCAAGAAGATACAGCAATACTAACTTTGAATGCACCAAACAATAAAGCTGTAAAATGTGTGATGCAAAAACTGACAGAACTGAAAGAAGAAATAGAAGTATCCACAATTCTAGCTGGAGACTTCAATTCCCTTCTCTCAACAGTTGGGAGAACAACTAGACAGAAAATCAGTGGGAATATAAAAGAATTTAACCATATCACCAACCAACAGGGTCTAATTTACATGTGTAGAACACTGCACCCAATGACAGCAGTATAAACATTCTTCCCAAGAGACCATGGAGCATACACAAGGATAGACCATATCTTTGGCCATAAGAAAAAACTCAACAAATTTTAAATAATTTGGATTATGCAGAGGATGTTCTCTGACCACAATGCAATCACTAGAAATAAAAAACAGAGAGATAAAGGAAGCTGTCCAAACACTTGGAAACGAAACAATACACTTCTAAATAATTTGTGGGTTAAAGAGAAAGTCTTATAGCAAAATTTAAAAATAGATAGAACTAAATGAAAATACAACAGACCAAAATTTGTGGGACATTGCTAAAGGAATGCTGAGAAAAAAAAAATTTAACATTACTTTCAATGGCAAAAACCACAAATATTTTTGTGCCAACCTAATAATATTAATATATTAGTAAAGAGAAAAAGTCTCAAATTAGTAAAGCAAGCTGAAGGAATCAAATAATAAAAAGAAAAATCAGTAAAATTGAAAACATAAAAAAATGGAGAAATTAATCAAAGAACTGGTTATTTGAAAAGACCAACACAACCGATAAACCTCCAGCAAAATAGACAAAGACAAAAAGAGAGGGGAGGCAAAATATTACTATTAAGAAGGAAACATGTACTACCACTACAGACTCTTGAGACATCAAAAAGATAATAAAAGGCCATTACAAATAGCTCTATTTACATAAATTTGACAACGTAGACAAAAATGGACTAATTCCACAAAAAAAAACCCACACGACCCCAACACCCAATATAAAACAAAATGCAACTATTAAGAAAATTGAATTCATACTTTTAAAAAATTACAAAAAAGAAATTCCCAGGCACAGAGGGTTGCACTGGAAAATTCTATCAAACATTAAAAGAGAATTACCAAAAATTCTACACAATCTTTTTCAGCAAATAAGACAAGAAGGAATACTTTTCCATTTATTTTATGAAATGAGTATTACTGTGATACCAAAACCAGATGAAGACAGAGAAAAAAGAAAACTACAGATGAATATTCCTCATAAGTATACAAGCAAAAATCCTTAACAAAATATTAGCAATTAGAATTCAACAATATAGGGAACAGGCCGGGTGCTGTGGCTCACGCCTGTAATCCCAACACTTCGGGAGGTGGAGGCGAGCAGATCACTTGAGGTCAGGTGTTCGAGACCAGCCCGGCCAACATGGTGAAACCCTGTCTCTATTAAAAATAAAAATAAAAATAAATTAGCGGGGTGTGCTGGTGCGGGCCTGTAATCCTAGCTACTTTGTAGGCTGAGGCAGGAGAATTGCTTGAACCCGGGAGGTGGAGGTTGCACTGAGCTGAGATCGCGCCACTGCACTCCAGCCTGGGCGACAGAGTGAGATTCTGTCTCGAAAATAAAAGAAAAAGAAAAAAATGTATATGAAACAAATTATAGGCTATTATCAAAAAGGGTTTATTCCAGGGATGCAAGGCTGGTTCAATATTCAAAAGTCAATCAGTAATTATCCACCATATTAATATAGACTAAAAAAGAAAAATAACATTACATCAAATCAAGGCAGAATAAACAGTTTATAATATTTGTATACTTATTCATAATGAAAATTTCCGCCCTGCAGCCCCAGAGTCAAAGCCGGTTCCCGCCCAGTCCCATCCCGCAGCCGCCTGCCTCCTCTTCCTTTCAACATGACAGATGCCGCTGTGTCCTTGCCAAGGACTTCCTGGCAGGTGGAGTGACCGCGGCCATCTCCAAGATGGCGGTGGCACCCACGGAGGGGTCAAGCTGCTGCTGCAGGTGCAGAGTGCCAGCAAGCAGATCACCGCAGATAAGCAATACACGGGCGTTGTAGACTGCATGGTCCGCATTCCCAAGGAGCAGGAGTCCTGTCCCTCTGGCACGGTAACCTGGCCAATGTCATCAGATACTTCCCTACCCACGCTCTCAACTTTGCCTTCAAAGATAAAAACAAGCAGATCTTCCCGGGGGGTGTGACAAGAGGATCCAGTTTTGGCACAAGTTTGCAGGGAGTCTGGCATCAGGTGGTGCCCCTGGGGCCACATCCTTATGTTTTGTATACCCTCTTGATTTTGACCGTACCCATCTAGCAGCTGATGTGGGTAAAGCTGGAGCTGAAAGGGAATTCCAAGGCCTTGGTGACCGCCTGGTTAAGATCTACAAATCTGATGGGATTAAAGGCCTGTACCAAGGCTCTAACAGGTCTGTGCAGGGTATTATCATCTACCGAGCTGCCTGCTTCGGTGTCTATGACACTGCAAGGAGAATGCTTCCAGATTCCAGGAACACTCACATGTCATCAGCCGTATGATCGCGCAGTCCGTCACTGCCGTTGCTGGGTTGACTTCCTATCCATTTGACGCTGTTCGCCACGGAATGATGATGCAGTCAGGGTGCAGCTGACATCATGTACACAGGCAGGCTTCACTGCTGGAGGAAGATTGCTCCTGATGAAGGAGGCAGAGCTTTTTTCAAGGGTGCATGGTCCAATGTTCTCAGAGGCATGGGTGGTGCGTTTGTGCTTGTCTTGTATGATGAAATCAGAAGTACACATAAGTTATTTCCTAGGATGCTTCCCCCTGTGAACAGGCATGTTGTATTATATAACATATCTTGAGCATTCTTGACAGACTCCTGACTGTCAATTTATCAGTGGCAACTGTTTCGTGGTTGAAAATGGGAGGCAATAGTATTCATCTGATCAGTTTTCTCTTAAAGCCATTTCCATGATAATGATGACAGGGCTCAATTATATTTTTTATTTCAGTCACTCCTGATAAATAACAAATTAGGAGAAATAAAAATATCTAAAATAAAAAAGAAAATTTTCAGAACATATACAGAACTTCCTTAACTTGATTAAAGGACATCTACAAAACACCTACAGTAAATATTGTAGTCAATGTTGAAAGGCTGAATTTTCCCCCAAGACGAGAAACAAAACAAGCATACCTACTCTCATCACTCTTCCTCAACACAGTACAAGAAGTTCCAGTCAGGAGAATAAGACATAAAGTAGAAAAGAAGACAAACAGATTGAAAAGGAAGCAATAAACCTGCCCTTATTTACAGGTGACGTGACTTTCTACAAAGAAAATTTCAAGTAATTTAAAAGCAAAAACAAAAAACATTACCAAAAAACCTTCATAGTTTTTGTATATGTGTTTGCAAATATTTTCTTCCATGCCATAATTTTTTTTCTCTTTTCAGGATCTTTTGCAAAGCAAAAGTTTTAGTTTTGTTGAATTGCGATTTTTCCATTTTCCTTGTATGTACTGTGCTTTTGGTATCAAGTCAAAGAACTCTTTAGGCTTAGCCCTAAATTCTGAAGATTTCCGTAATTTTCTTTTTCTAAAAATTTACACATCTACCTTTTACATATAAGTTCGTGACTCATTTTGAGTTAATTTTCTATAAGATGTGATATTTGGGTGAATAAGTGAATTCAACAAGATAAAGAATAATTTGTATTTCCATACACTGGCAATGAATACATGGACACCAAAAATTAAGATAGAAAGCACCATTTACAACCACTCAAAAAAATGAAATACTTAGGTGTAAATCTAGAAAACATTTATATGTGCTGACAACTACAGAATGCTGATGAAGAAATCAAGATCCAGATAAATGGAAAGACATTCTGTGTTCACAGACTGAAAGACTCAACAGAGTAAAGATATTTATTCTCCACAAATTGATGCGCAGGTTTGTTAAGATTCCTATCAAAAGCCCGGAGCAATTTTTATTCATACAGGTAAGATCACTGTAAAATTTCTATGAAAAAGCAAAAAACAGAAATAACAAAAACAGTTTTTAAAATGAAGAATAAAGTGAGAAGAATCAGTCTACCCAATTTCAAGACTTTATATAGCTACAGTAATCAAGGCTGTGGTATTGGCAAAGGGATAGATGTGTAAATAAGCAGAACAGAATGGTGAACTAAAAAAATAAGACCCCCATAAATATGCCCAACTGATTTTTGGAGCAATTGGATATCCGTAGGCAAAAACAATGTACCTTGATCTATTCTCACATATTATACAAAATTAATGAATCATAGACTTGAATGTAAAATGTAGATGTGCAAATTTTTAGAAAAAATAAATTAAGGAAATCTTCAAGATCTAGGACTAAGCAAAGAGTTAGACGATACCAAAAACACAGGACATGACATGAAACATTGAAAACTGAACTTCATCAAAACTAAAACTTTTGCTTGCTTTGCCAGTGATCCTGAAAAGACGGGGAAAAAGCAAATTAGAGAGTGGGAGAAAATATTTGCAAAACACATGTACGGCAAAGAAATAATATCTAGAACATAAAAGGAACTCTGAAAACCCCACAGTAAAAACCAAAAATCCAATTAGAAAATTGGCAAAAGACACAAACAGACATTTTACTGATGGCAAATAAGTATATGAAAAGATCCTCAATAAGTTAGTCATTAGAGAAGTGTAAAGTAAAATCACTTCGCATCGCTATATACCTATTAAAATGGCTACCAAAAAAAAAAAAAAAGGACACCAAAAGCTGGCAAGGATTTGGTGGGACCACTCACGCAGAGCTGGTGGGAATGTAAGCTGCTACAGCCACTCGGAAAACAGTTTGAAACGTTTGGCAGTTTCTTAAACACAGACACACACACACACACACACACACACACAATCATATGACCTAGCAATTACTGTTTTGGGCACTGATCCCAGAGAGATGAAGACTGTTTATACAGCAACCTATACAAGGATGTTTATAGCAACTTGATTCATAAGAGACAAAAACTGGAAATAACCCAGTTGTCCTTCAGCAAGTGAATGGTTAAACTGTGTTACATCCATATCACAGAACACTATCCAGCAATCAAAAGGAATGAACCACCAATACATTAAAGAACCTGGCTGAATCTTCAGGGAACCACGAGTGAGGGAGGGGGACGCCAATCCCAAAAGGTTCCCGTGCTAGATGATTCCATTTACATAACATTCTTGAAATGACAAAATAATAGAAAAGCAGGCTAGATTAATGGTTGTCAGGGTTCGGGAGGGGTGGGGGCAGGTGGACAGTGGGGTAGGCTATAACCGGGCCACATGAGAGATGCTTGTGGTCTTGGGAATGTTGTGTCTCCACTGCATCCATGTTAGTATCCTGGTTGTGCTATTCTACTGTAGCTTTGCCCAGTGTTACCACTGGGGAAAACTTACCAGAGTACCTGGGATCTCCCTGTATTGTTTCTTAAAACTACATGTGAACTTACCAATATCTCAAAACAAAAAGTTTAATTAAACAACAGTAAAGTTGGGCAAAACATTTTTCTCTTCACCATCTTCAAGCTCTTCAATTTATTCAAAGACCTTTTCAAAGTCAGATCAAATACAGATGGGAAATAGACAATGGGGAATGAGACTCTGGACACTTTGGAAAATACTTTAAAAATTTTCAACCAACATTTTATTTCTTGCTCAGGACTAATTTATGTTTTATTTTTTAAGAGACAGGTTCTTGTTCCCTCACCCCGGCTGGAGAGCTGTGATGCGATCGCAGCTTATGGCAGCCTCGATCTCCTGGGCTCAGGCAGTGTTTCCTCAGCCTCTTGAAGTGCTGGGATTACAGGCGTGAGCCACCATGCTGTGTCCGGAATTGGTGGGTTCTTGGTCTCACTGACTTCAAGAATGAAGCCGCGGACCCTCGCGGTGAGTGTTAAAGCTCTTAAGGTGGCGCGTCTGGAGTCTGTTCCTTCTGATATTCGGATGTGTTCGGAGTTTCTTCCTTCTGGTGGGTTCGTGGTCTCACTGGCTCAGGAGAGAAGCTGCAGACCTTCGCGGTGAGTGTTACAGCTCATAAAAGCAGCGTGGACCCAAAGAGTGAGCAGCAGCAAGATTTATTGCAAAGAATGAAAGAACAAAGCTTCCACACTGTGGAAGGGGACCCCAGCGGGTTGCCACTGCTGGCTCCGCAGCCTGCTTTTATTCTCTTATCCGGCCCCACCCACATCCTGCTGATTGGTAGAGCTGAATGGTCTGTTTTGACGGCGCTGATTGGTGCGTTTACAATCCCTGCGCTAGATACAAAGGTTCTCCACGTCCCCACCAGATTAGTTAGATACAGAGTGTGGACACACAGGTTCTCCAAGGCCCCACCAGAGTAGCTAGATACAGAGTGTTGACTGGTGCATTCACAAACCCTGAGCTAGACACAGGGTGCCGATTGGTGTATTTACAATCCCTGAGCTAGACATAAACGTTCTCCACGTCCCCACCAGACTCAGGAGCCCAGCTGGCTTCACCCAGTCCCGCGCCGTGCGCCCGCACTCCTCAGCCCTTGGGTGGTCGATGGGACTGGGCGCCGTGGAGCAGGGGGCGGCGCTCATCGGAGAGGCTCGGGCCGCACAGGAGCCCGTGAAGCGGGTGGGAGGCTCAGGCATGGCGGGCTGCAGGTCCCGAGCCCTGCCCGGCGGGAAGGCAGCTAAGGCCCGGTGAGAAATCAAGCGCAGCGCCGGTGGGCCGGCACTGCTGGGGGACCCAGTACACCCTCCGCAGCCACTGGCCTGGATGCTAAGCCCCTCATTGCCCGGGGCCGGCAGGGCCGGCCGGCTGCTCCGAGTGTGGGGCCGCCAAGCCCACGCCCACCCGGAACTCCAGCTGGCCCGCAAGCGCCGCACGCAGCCCCGGTTCCCGCTCGCGCCTCTCCCTCCACACCTCCCCGCAAGCTGAGGGAGCGGGCTCCGGCCTTGGCCAGCCCAGAAAGGGGCTCCCACAGTGCAGCGGTGGGCTGAAGGGCTCCTCAAGTGCCGCCAAAGTGGGAGCCCAGGCAGAGGAGGCGCCAGGAGCGAGCCAGGGCTGTGAGGACTGCCAGCACGCTGTCACCTCTCAATGCCAGGCTACTTTTTTTATTTTTTGTAGAGACAGGGTCTTGCTATGTTGCCCAGGCTGGTCCTCCTGCCTCAGCCTCCTGCATATGACTTATTTGTCTTTGCAAAGTATAACTACCACCACTTGACTGACTTTTAGGAGTGCTGTGCTGTGCTAAGCACTTCATAATTTATCTCAGTCAATCCTGTGCTATGTCTGAGATAAGTAATTGTGCCTAATTTGCAAAGAAGAAATGATTCTCTCAAAGGAAAGTGATTGTTAACCAAAAACTGGAGAGTGATGAGTCCAGAATGTAAACTCATGCTTTTCTCATTGCAATTTCACTACATCATGCTGTTCCCTCTGTATGACATGTTGATGTTGTGCTCCTCCTGGAAAACTCCTATCTGGCTCAACTGTAATTACTCCTGTTAATTCTTTCCTAACTGAGGCAGAAGTAATCACTCTTGGTTACTGTCCTGATTCTTTGTATGTACATATTTCAAAGCACTTTTTACCCTCCTGCAACTGTTTATCTAATTCTTTGTTTTGTTTTTGTTTTTGTTTTTGGAGACAGAGTCTTGCCCTGTTGCCCAGGCTGGAGTGCAGTGGTGCAGTCTTGGCTCACTGAAACCTCCACCCGCCACGTTCAAGTAATTGTCTTGCCTCAGCCTCCCAAGTATCTCGGATTACAGGTGCCCACCACCACACCTGGCTAATTTTTGTATTTTAGTAGAGACGGGGTTTCACTATGTTGGTCAGGCTGGTCTCGAACTCCTGACCTTGTGATCCCCCTGCTTCGGCCTCCCAAAGTGTTGAGATTACAGGCGTGAGTCACTGTGCCCAGCCTGTTTATCTAATTCGTATAGGAGAATCAGAGTTCCTGTAGGGCTGGTACCTAGTCCCTTTCTTTTAGTTGTGTTGCTGAACATTACAGCATAGTATACATTTGTAAGTTCACAAGAAATGTTTGTTATTTGAAAAAGAGTAAATGGTGAAAACTTTTTCACAAACCAGATAGAATGGAATCCAGATTCTACGTGCATGAAATATAAAATCAGGGCAAACACAAGCCTGCGTGTTCATTAGGCTGCGTCTATGTATTTCCTATGAGTGATACTCCCCCAGATAAACTTTGGATATTTCCACTTATTTGATGGACTCTGAGTGTGTGTGTGTGAATGTATGTGTGTGTTAATGTAAACCAAGCTACAAATTAGTAGATAGAACCATGTTATTTTTTATTTGAAACATCATAAATAGCCAAGCTTACGCAGAAAGGGGATAAGTTGTATCCTTTACTCCCAGCCCCCTCTGAAGAGTTCGGTACAGCAAACATGTACCAGGCTAGCTGGTTGACATAGTGATGCACGAGGCACAGTTCTCACATTCAAGAGTGGTGAGTGACAGGAGCCCTTGGAAACATGCTTGAGAGTCATGCCCAGATATTCAAGTCCACATCAATAAGGGTGAGCAGACGGCTTGGAAAGGTGGGAGCACGATCACAAACTGCAGCTTGGCCAGTCCAAGCTGGGCACACCTGCCGCATGCAGGCCTCACTGGAATTCAATAATGATAAGCAAGGCAATCCTTCCAGTGAACGCAAGTAAGCATATACATAAATAGGAATCGTGTGACTGTATATGGTGCCTACATGTGGTAAGCATTCCATAGTATTGCTGTTGCATTGAGATATTTCCATTGTGCCATTCTGAGTGGTAGATGTGTAGAAAACTTGGGGGGCAGTGGCATTGCAAGGGGTGGCTTAATCACTGCCTATCTTAAATAAAGATCTTTCTTTTTTAAGACTGTGATTATCTCTAAATGAAAGGGAACGCTTCTCAGCTACCCTTCATCACACTCAGCATTGCAAAATTTGTTGTTGTTGTTAGGAATTGGGAGCCGTGAATAATGCCAAGTGCCTACCTAAGAGCCAGTCTGGAGATGTTTATTTTTGGCAGAAGTTCAGGCTGGATATTCTAAAGAGTCCTTTCCCTGAAAAACATCTACGTCCTCCATACAACATGTTTTTTTTTTCTTTTGTGCATTTCTGAGCTCACCGGAAATCAGAGAAATATCAAAAGGGGCAATTACAAAATAAAGAAAATAAATTTTTATTGTAATAACTTGAATTAAAATCAGGGCCCTAAGTACTAAGTATTAGTCACATAAACTATTATTCAGTAGGTATTATTCACATAAAAGTATCTATCAATCACTAGGTATTATTCACAGAAAAGTATCATTCACTAGGTATTATTCAC
Organism: Homo sapiens; assembly: GCF_000001405.40. Classification (NCBI taxonomy): domain Eukaryota; kingdom Metazoa; phylum Chordata; class Mammalia; order Primates; family Hominidae; genus Homo; species Homo sapiens. Next base: position 186,322,159 of record NC_000004.12, on the reverse strand, counting down.
ATAAAATATCATTCACTAGGTATTATTCACAGGAAAGCTTGGTTTCTCTGAGGGCCATATGCCAGCAGCAATCCAGAGGCAGCAGGGCCGTGGGCAGGGGAGGGGGACCCCACAAAGGCGCTGAAGTGGCTCTAGCTCAGACGTGCTCCCTGGCTCCCAGCAGAAGAAAATTCAATTCCTCTCTGCAGAAAAGTATTTTTAACCGCTTAGTGTCTTTAGACATTCTATTAAGACAAGTATTTTTGCCATTAAAATGATTGAATCTATAGTCAAAATTGTTTGTACAGAGAAATCAGCAGGCCCGGGTGGCTTTACAAGTAAAACATATTAAAAAAAACAAGACATCCAGAAATACAATTAGTGAGAGATGTTTGAAACCACTATGGAGAACAAAAAAAAAAAAAAAAACTATACTGAAAGATAATGATAAAGACAAAAGAAATGAAAAGATTCTGTAATATGTTCATGGATGGAAAGAATCAATATTACCAAGTTTGCGACAGTACAATCAATAGTATAGGCTAGACTCAATCCAATTCCAGTCAAACCCCCATAGATTCTTTTCTTTCTTCTGCCACTTTTGACAAACATGACAAAAATATGATTCTAAAGTTAACATGGAATAACAAACATATAATAGACAGGACTCTGTTGAGACTCTGAGAGCAGTTCTTGGCGGATATCAACACAGGCTGTAAAGCAATGTTAGTTAAGGCACGGGCAGTAGGATCCACAAACTGAACAGAGGAACGAAATCACAAGTCGAGAAATAGACCCTCACAGATAGAGAAAACTGAAATAAGACAGCAGTGGTGACATTGCCTGTAACTGAGGAAAAGATCAGGTTTCCAAAAGATCAGGTGGGGACAGTTGGTCATCCATGTGAGGAAAAGCTGGATCCCTACTATTACCATACACTAAAGTAAATTCCTGATGGGTTAAAGACTTAAATGGAAAACAAAACCCTCTTTACATGTTTTAGAAAAACAATTTTATAAACTTAATAGTGAAGAAGGATTTTTCATATGACCTAAAAGTATTAACCATAAAAGACTGTTCACTATATGAAATATTTGAGTACATGAAAATGCTTTAGGCCGGGTGCAGTGGCTCACGCCTGTAATCCCAGCACTTTGGGAGGCCGAGATTAGTGGATCACCTGAGGTCAGGAGTTCCAGACCAGCCTGGGCAACATGGCAAAACCACGTCTCTACTAAAGATACAAAAATTAGCTGGGCGTGGTGGTGGGCGCCTGTAGTCCCAGTTACTCGGGAGGCTGAGGCAGGAGAATCGCTTGAACCTGGGAGGCGGAGGTTGCAGTGAGCCAAGATCGCGCCACTGCGCTCCAGCCTGGTGACGAGAGCAAGACTCTATCTCAAAAAAAAAAAAAAAAAAAGGAAAAGAAAATAGAAAGGAGATGAAAAGGAAAGCCATAAACTGGGAGAGGATACATACATACACTACATTTGACCAAAAAATCCCTACCTAGCAAAGAAAACAAAAAACAATGGGCAAAAGACATGAAGAATTATTTCAGAGAAGAAAGCCCAAATTACAAATAACCACAAAAAGTAATTTACCCTCATTAGCTTCTCAGGAAATACGTCCTGAGATCTCAATGACGTATTATTTTATCAACAGTAGACTGGAAAAAACTAAGATCTGATAACTCAAATTGTCACAACAGCTTTGGAAACCAGTATGGCAGCATTTCATGAGTTTGAATACTTGTCTCGTCCTTAACCCACCAATTTCATACCCAGTTGTAAATACTTACATGGGTGCACAGGAGACAAACATGAAAATTCCATTTATCGTTGTTCACAACAGAAAAAAGTTCTCAACAACCCAAATGTCCACTGATGCAAAACAAATGCATAAATATTTTGTGCTATTTCACATGATGGAATATGATTTAGCAGAACATGGATAAACTGTTACAGAAAATAAAATATCTTAAAAATCAAATATTGAATGAAAAGAGCAATTTGCTGAAGACAGCATACAGCCTGGAAAAATATTTAGTGTAACTTAAAAACAAACAAAGCTAAACAACATAATGTTAGAGATACAGATAATGTTGGGCTAGCTTTTAAAAAATAAACATTTTTAAAAGAGATAATGATAAGCATTACCTCTGGGGGAAAGACAAAGTAATAATATGAAGAAGACACACAGGTAGCTTCAAGGTATTTTGAGAGGATGAGTTCACAGGTGTTTATTTTATTATTGTGCTTCATAATAGGTAACATATAGCTTACTTATGTTCTTTTGCCTATATCAAATATTATAAAATACTTTTAAAGAATTATTATTAAGACATTATTTCTTTAGCCAAACAAATGACTTTGAATCAAGCATATTAAGTAGCTTCTGTAACACCTTATTTCCAAATAGCAACAGCAAATGAGGCCGCACCAGATAAAGAAGCCAGGAGACTTGTGTCAAAACCCACTTCACACACGGATTGGCTCTGTGAATGTAGGTGAGTCATGCAACTTCTCTGAACCCCAGTTTGCCATCTATAACATGAAGATTAAAATAAAATTCTGTCCTGTCAACTTTATAAGCCTATTACAAAGAGGTAATATAATAGTGATTTGAAAATTGTTTAGTGTGAAGGTGCTATTATGTTAGTAAGTAAATGTCATCGCCCACGTGTTGTAAAATTTTGATATGCAGCGTTGTAGACATAGAACAGCAAATGGGAGCAACTTCTACAAAGAGTGGCAGCTGGAAACATTTTCTCCCAAAAAGGCGCTGACTGATGACCGTGGAGCATTGAGGAGGGACTCCGGAAAGAAAAACCAAATTATCTTGGTTTCAATGCAAATGTGGGGTCTTTAGGATTTTGAAACCGTTACTGTGACTAATAATAACAGTGGCAGCATATATAATAAAATGAGTCCTGAAGTGAGGTTTAGAGCCACAGCTTGAACTCAACTTTATCACTGATTAGCTTTGTGACCAGGGAAACTCAATCTTTGAGCACCTCTTACTCCACATCTGTAAAGTGCGGCTGATTTTATGAGCACTGATGTTTTCTCCAATGCTGATACTATATAATTCCAAGGCTCTGTAGAAATTTGTTTGACAATGAGCTGAAATGTGCAGTAAAAAAAAAAGACGATCCTCACAAACAACGTCTTGAATGTTTGGCTTTTACAATCTCCTAAGTGGTTTTACATGTCACCTTCTTTCAGACGATCCCAAAATTCCAGCACATTACAGAACGTACTATTTGATCATCCTTATAATGCCGTGTTTCTTTTCAAAACCAATACTGAATACTGAATTCATCCATCAGTCTGTGCTTGGATACTTGAGCGACATGAAACTATTTCAGAAGAGAGCCGAGTCCCATTGTGAGTGGTTCTTACTAGTAGAAATTATCTTATGAGAACTCTATCTAATGTTATAACCATCTGGAGGCACTTGGCCATCTGCTCCCCATAGATTTTCATCTGCCCTTTCAAACCAGCCCTATGGCCAGGCACTGTTCCTGCTATTTTCCACACGTCATTTGTCCCAGCTCACTCAAGCAGTCTGGACCCGGAGTTCAGGCTTACCCATCACGTTTTGTGTAGTAGGACTTATTTCCAAATCGGTGTACACTTTTAAAAATTAGTAGACTTTATTTTATAGAGCAGTTTTAGATTTGCAGAAAAATTAAGCATAAAATACAGAGGGTTCTTATGTATTCTTCTCCTACCCTTCCAGGTTCTCCTAACATCTTGCATTAGCGGAGGACATTTGTTAAAACTGATGAACATATTGTTACATGATTCTTAGCTAAAATCTGTAGTTTACATTAGGGCTAACTCTTGGTTACATGTAGATGTTATGGGTTTTGACAAATGTATAATGACATACAACCGTCATTATAGCATCATGCTGAATAATTTCACAGCCCTAAAAACCTCGTGTTCCACCCATCCATCCTTTCCTTCCACCTCACAAATCCTAGACAATCACTGATTTTTTTTTTTTTAGACGGAGTTTCACTCTTGTTGCCCAGGCTGGAGTGCAATAGCACGATCTCAGCTCACCACAACCTCTGCCTCCTGAGTTCAAGCGATTCTCCTGCCTCAGCCTCCCGAGTAGCTGTGATTACAGGCATGCATCACCACATCCAGCTGATTTTTTTGTATTTTTAGTAGAGACAGGGTTTCTCCGTGTTGGTCAGGCTAGTCTCGAACTCCCGACCTCAGGTGATCTGCCTGCCTCAGCCTCCCAAAGTGCTGGGATTACAGGCATGAGCCACCGCGCCTGGCCACTGATTTTTTTTTTACTATTTCCATACTTTTGGTTTTTCCAGAATGTCATAGTTGGATTGACGCAGCATGCAGCCTTTTCAGATTGGCTTCTTTCTCTTTTTTTTTCTTTTTCTTTTTTTTTTTTTTTTTTTTTTTTGAGACAGAGTCTCACTCTGTCACCCAGGCTGGAGTGCAATGGTGCGATCTCGACTCACTGCAATCTCTGCCTCCCAGGTTCAAGTGTTTCCCCTGCCTCAGCCTCCTGGGTACCTGGGATTACAGGTGCATGCCACCATGCCCAGCTAATTTTTGTATTTTTAGTAGAGACGGGGTTTCACCATGTTAGCCAGGATGGTCTCTATCTCCTGACCTTGTGATCCGCCCACCTCTGCCTCCGAAAGTGCTGGGATTACAGGTGTGAGTGCCGGGCTTAGATTGGCTTCTTTCTCTTAGCAATATGCCTTTAAGATTCCCCCATGTCTTTTAATGGCTTGATAGCTTGTTTCTTTTTATTGCTAAATAATATTCCATTACAACCTTGTCCTACAGTTTGTTTATTTATTCTCCTATTGGATAACATCTTAGGTGCTTTCTAGTTTTGGCAATTATGAGTAAAGCATATACAATCTACATTCAGGCTTTTATGTGTGCATAGTTTTTCAGCCCTTTCGGATAAATACCAAGACATGCATTTTCCATGTTATATAGTAAGAGTTTATTTAGTTTTGTAAGGACAAAACAATGAATGAGAGCTCCTGTTGCTTCACATCCTCTCTAGCATTTGGTGGTGTCAGCATTTTGGATTTTAGCCATTCTAATAGGTATGTAGTGGTGTCTTATTGTTGCTTTAGTTTGCATTTCTCTAATAACATGATGTTGAGCATCTTTCCATATGCTTATTTGCTACCTGTATATCTTGGATGAGGTATCTGTTCAGATCTTTGGCTCATTTTGTAATTGGGTTGTTTGTTTTCTTATTGTTGAGTTTTAAAAGTTCTTTGTTTGTAATCCCAGCACTTTGGGAGGCCAAGGCGGGAGGATCACGAGGTCAGGGGATCGAGACCATCCTGGCTAACACAGTGAAATCCCGTCTCTACTAAAAATACAAAAAAATTAGCCCAGCATGGTGGCACATGCCTGTAGTCCCAGCTACTCAGGAGGCTGAGGCAGGAGAATCACTTGAACTGGGGAGGTGGAGGTTGTAGTGAGCTGAGATCGCACCACCGCACTCCAGCCTGGGCGACAGAGGGAGACTCTGTCTCAAAAAAAAAAAAAAAATAGAGTTCTTAGTGTATTTTGGATTCAAATCCTTTATCAAGTGTGTGTTTTTGCATGTCTGTGGCATGTCTGTTCATTCTCTTAACAGAGTTTTTTGCAGAGCAGAAGTTTTTGATTTTAATGAAGTCTGACATAATTTTTTTCTTTCATGGACCATACTTTTGGTGTTGTATCTGAACAGTCATCGTCATACCCGAGGCCACCTGGATTTTCTCCTATTATCTTCTAGGAGTTTCATAGTTTTACATTTTACATTTAGACTTTTGATTCATCTTCAGTTAATTATTTGTGAAATATGTAAGAAATATGTAAACTCTGTCTAATTCATTTCTTACGCATGCAGATATTCCAGAGCCATTTCCTGAAAAGACTATCCATTCTCCACTGAAACGTCTTTGCGCCCTTTTCAAAGATTGCTTGATGGGATCTGTGCGGGTGTGGGCTGTCTACTCCGTTCCGCTGCTCGATTTGTCTATTTCAAAGATTGCTTGATGGGATCTGTGCGGGTGTGGGCTGTCTACTCTGTTCCGCTGGTCGATTTTTCTATTCTTTCACCAATACCACATTGTCTTGATTACTATAGCTTTACGATAAGTCTTGAAGTTAGGTAATGTCAACTCTTCAACTTGGTTCTTTTCCTTTAATATTGTGTCTAGTCATCTGGATCTTTTGCCTTTCCTTGTAAATTTAGAAGATGGGTCTTGTTAAGGAGCACAAAATGCTCTGGGCATATCTCAAAACGGCTCCCTTTGGGAAGCAAGAGGGGATTTTTCTCTTTTCTCACCATGAGAACCGCAGGGCTTCTGGAGGTAAAACTCACAAAAGTGTGCCCCCACCCCAGACCAGGCCCCCTTCTGGCATTTTTAATGCTCAAGCTTATCTACAAGAGCCTTCAGAAATTTGTCAATTGCAGTCTAAGTTTTCCTACCCCAGTACTGGCTCCAGTGGCGATTGCTGCTCCTGGGCTGTGTTTGAATTAAGCTATAATTCTCTGGGTTTGTCTGTCTGCCTCTCCAATTTTAAGGCGGTGGCATGTCCAGTGACCTCAATTCTCTGACGGATCCAAGAAAAGTTGCTGGTGTCCAGTTCATTCAGCTTTGTTCCTGTTGTTAGGATGTGAGGGATGATGTCAAGCTCTTTATGTGCTGGACTGCAAATCAGAAGTTCAGAGTACACTTTTGCAAATGAGAGGCATTTCTCAATGAAATAATAAAGCTTATTTTAAAAAATAAAATAACTTTTTCTTTAAAGTATGCTTAGGTATGAACTTAGTACCATTCATATTGCTTCTTTTAATTTGCATTCATTGTTGTTTTACTTTAGTGATTATTAGAACAATGTATTGTTATTAAATAAAATATCATGTGGTATTTTTTTAAAATAGTCCATATAATTTCACCATTCATCAATAATCATTGTTAATATTTTCATGTATTTCATTCTAGTACAATCTAATTTTCCTTCCTTCCCTCTCTCCCTCCTTCTCTTACTCATTTCTTTCTTTTCACCTACCTATATATTCAAAATGCTTGTTATGGCACATATGTGTATATATATGTGTACGTGTGTATATGCACAAGTGTACAATTTAACTTTATTCTAATATGTAATAACCACATTTAATGTATAATTATATATACATATTATGCATATAAACTAAGCTAATTCTATCTATCTATCTATCTATCTATCTATCTATCTATCTATAATTTTAATCTAGTCCTAGATTTGAGTCGAAGTCTTCCTTCTCATTCACACTGATTATCTGGCAGTCAGTGCTCTTGGGATTGAAATTTCAGGCCAGCATGGCATCCCAAATTCTCTGCGTTTCCTCTAAAGATTCCAACTGTGCAAATAATTGCTGAAAGTAAAATGCTTCAAAATGTAAAAATAATGATGTAATACAGAAAAGTGACTAATTCTACCATTTTATTAAATAAATGGTATTTCATTGAGAATCAATTCTATAATTTTACTTTTACCCAAATAGCTCCAAAATATATATTTGCATATATATATAGAAAATATATATGCATCTATTATATATAATAATATATATTTATATAATTTATAATATATATTTTAATATATTTTATATAATTTATATAATATATAATATATAATTAGATGCATATATTATATATGTATAATAGATGCATATATATTATATATATATAATAGATGCATCTATTTTTATATATAATAGGTGCATCTATATTAATAGATTCATATATATAAAATAGATGCATCTATAACTTAGATGCATGTACATATGCAAATATATGCATCTATTTATTTTTGAAACAGCATCTTGCTCTGTTGCCCAAGCTGGAGTGCAGTGGTGCGATGATGATAACTCTCTGTAGCCTTGACCTCCTGGGCTCAAGCAGCTCTCTTGCCTCAGCTTCCTGAGTAGCTGAGACTACAGGTGAGTGCCACCACACCCAGCTAATTTTTTGCTTTTGTAGAGACAAGGTCTCACTATGTTGCTCAGGCTGGTCTTTAACTGGGCTCCAGCGATGCTCCTGCTTCAGCCTGCTGAAATACTGGGATTACAGGCGTGAGCCACTGCACCCAGCCTTGCATTTGTTTTACTAGAATACTTATGATTTAGTGAAATGTGACCTCTATGACTGCTATAGTAGCTGTTGAATGTGAGCCCACTCCACTCAACACAAGGATTCAGTGGATAAGAAACTCCATCTCTACCAATAAATCCCTTCACAGGTGTTGATGGTGTTATAGCTTGAATTTCTGCTGCCTCAAAAAATGGGGTAAATAGGAAAGCTAAATATCACCAATTTTGTTACAGTGTATGAGCTGAAATAACATCTTCCTTTTTTTTGATTTTCAATACGGAAGAAAAGTAAGAATCATTTCTAAAGTGCCCAGAAACACCTGAGCCTCGGTCCAGGTCCTCAATAACTCCGATGAGAGAATCCATTTCCAGCCCCTTCCCTGCAGTAGGCACAGCACAGAAACCCGACTCCTTCCGTCTGCAGGAAATAAGAGATCATAGGAACACCTTTTAAAATTGTGGCTGGCGCCTACTCTACGGAGGATCCTCAACCTCCAGACTGAAGTAAATGACAGAAGCTTTTCCAAAGAAGTCTGAATTATTTCAAAATTATAGAAGATAAATTGTGAGCATGGCGGGGAGGGAGCATGTCAGTGTGCCTATCACCTAAACTGGAGGTAACGGGCTAACGGAGAGCCCATTTGCCGGGAAGGCCAGGCGATGCCATGTGAACCACCAACGCTCAAGTCTGTGGTTAAAACCCAACGAGTTGACTTCTCACTTGTGCAAAGTCCTCTGTGTGTCTGGGCAACTTTGTAGTTGACTGACCCCCGGGTAATCCCAAGTGAGATTTCTCCCCATGAATCCAAGTGATCGTCACAACAGGAGGCAACATTTCTTGACCTTTTTATTTTTTTTAGATGGAGTTTCACTCTTGTTGCCCAGGCTGGAGTGCAATGGTGTCATCTCAGGTCACCGCAACCTCCGCCTTCTGGGTCCAAGTGATTCTCCTGCTTCAGCCTCCCGAGTAGCTGGGATTACAGGCGCACGCCACCATGCCCGGCTAATTATGTATTTTTAGTAGAGATGGGGTTTCTCCACGTTGGTCAGGATGGTCTTGAACTCGCGACCTCTGCTGATCCGCCCGTGTCGGCCTCCCAAAGTGCTGGGATTACGGCATAAGCTACCGTACCTGGCCTATTTCTACACATTTTATACCAACAAGTAAATACATGTTCCTGCCTATTAAGCTATATTTAAGCTACATTATTTTTCACCACAATTCATTCATCAGAAATAGTAGCATGGCTCTGCCTAATTGCAGCAGAATCGGGGGGTGGGAGAAGCCCAGATGGAGAGGAGGCTGAAATATGAATGAGCCTTAGAAGTCTCCGCTACTGTACATTAGCTCCAGCCCAGCCTTAATTTCCCCACTTCTGATTTTTGCCAAGCAAAGCTCCCCTGCCAGCTCTCAATTCAATCTTACGTAGTTACAATTCATAGTACCAACGGTACGTGGAAAAATTCCATTCAGTATACTCTCAAACGTGACTCTTCATCCATAAGATAAAATTAAAATTCAGCTGAGTGATTGGAGATCCCTCCGGCAGCAGGCACCGTGGCAGGGGAGTGGAGAGTATTGCTGATGGGGTCAGAGCAAGCCTGCCAGCCAGCCCTGCTCCTTATTGAGGGAGTGTCCACAGACAAGCCACCTAACCCGTCAGAGTCTCGGCTTCTTCATTCATAAAACAGGGAAAATACCATCAGCTCTTGCATGTTATTGGGAATTTTAAACGAGATCATCTTTATATAAATTAGTATAGCACCAGGCTCACAATAAAAGCATGATAAACATTGCTATTACATCATCACAATCCAGATCTAAAGCAATCCTATGACAAGTTTGGGTGATGGCAGTTTACGAATAGGGTGGTCCTGGGATATTGTCTTAGTGCCATATAAAATTGAAAAGAAGAAGGAAGAAGAAGAAGAGGAAGGAGAAGAGGAAGAAGAAGAAGGGGAAGAAGGAGAAGAGGAAGAAGAAGGAGGAGGAGGAGGAGAAAGAGGAGGAGGAGGAGGAAGGAAGGAAGGAGAGAAGGAAGGAAGGAGAGAAGGAAGGAAGGAAGGAGGCTTTTATTCACATTTAAAGAAACGGCAACACAGAAGACATTTGTTTTAGCAGTCTGAAGGTTAAAGTTCTACTTTATTTATTCTATTACTGATAGAGTTAGGAGAACACAAAGGCAGGCCAAGAGAGGTGCTGGGCTCCCCACATGTGAGCACCTTCCACGGTGGAACAATCCCACCTCTGGAGCCGACCACGCATGTGGAGTGGGGGTTGGGCACACAGGGAGGCTGCAGTTGCCACAGCCCAATTCAATGTGTCCTTTGATGCAACAACTAAGATACGGATAATGTTTCACTAACAAAAGTGTCAGAATCCTCCTTTTTGACCACCTACAGCCATTATTTGAATCTTTCAATGGTCCAAATTTTACATTATTAAAAATTAGTGAATGTGTTTCCACTCTTACAGAACTAGCCTGAGACCAATTACAAAGTTTGCCTTGTGTCTTTTCCAGCTACAGTTTCCGGTGTCCTTTCCTTCTTCTTTCCTTCTTGCCACAGGTCCTCATGCTGTCTTCTGGCTCCTCAGAGCCATGCCAGCCAAACCTGTCCTCACAGGGTAATAACTGGGTCATGGCTTTGAACCTAGACATAGAATTTATGTCTTTCACAAAGATTAACTCAAAGTGAATCATAGGCCTAATTTTAAAATGCAAACCTGTAAAACTTCCAGAAGAAAACATACAATAATTTATATGACCTTGATTTTGGTGATGAATTTTTGGATACAACATCAAAAATACAATTCATGAAACAAAAAAAAGTAAGTTAGACTGCATTAAAATTAAAAACTCCTACTTTGCACAAGACACTGTTAAGAGATGCTGGTGAGGTTGCAGAGAAAATGGAACGCTTATATACAGCTGGTGGGAATGTAAATTAGTTCAGCCACTGTGGAAAGAAGTTTAGCAATTTCTCAAAAAACTTAAAACAGAACTACCATTCGACTCAGCGATCCCATTCCTGAGTATATACCCAAAGGAATACACAATCATTCTACCATAAAGACACATGCATGCATGTGTTCATTGCAGCACTATTCACAATAGCAAAGACATGGCATCAACCTAGATGCCCATCCATGGTAGACTGGATAAGAAAATATGGCACATATACACCATGGAATAGTATTCAACCATAAAAAGAATAAAATCGTGTCCTTTGCAGCAACATGGATGAAGCTGGAGGCAGTTATCCTAAGCAAACTAACGCAGGAACAGAAAACCAAATACTGCATGTTCTCACTTATAAGTGGGAGCTAAACATTGAGTACACAGGGACACAAAGAAGGGAACATTAGACACCAGGGTCTACTTGAGACTGGGGGGCGGGAGGAGGGGGAGGATCAAAAATCTACCTACGGCACACCATGCTTATTACCTGGGTGATTAAATAATCTGTACACCCAAGCCCTGCAACATGCAATTTACCTGTATAACAAACCTGCACCTGTACCCCTGAAACTAAAATAGAAGTTAAAAAATAAAATCAAATTAGAATTGGAAACAAAAAGACACTGCTGGAGGATGAAAAGACAAGCCAAAGACTGGAAGAAAATTTTGCAGAACACATATCTGATAAAGGGCTTGAATCCAATATATATAAAGAATGTATAAAACTAAATAATAAGAGGACAAACAACCCCATTAAAAAAATGGGCAAAGGTCTGAACAGACACTTCACCAGCAAATGAGCATAAGAAAGATGCTCAACATCATATGTTCTTATGGAAATACACATTTAAAAAGAATGAGATACCACTGTAGACCTATTAAAATGGCTAAATTTTTTTTTTTTTTTTTGAGATGGAGTTTCGCTGTTGTCGCCCAGGCTGGAGTGCAGGCGCGCAATCTCAGCTCACTACAACCTCTGCCTCCTGGGTTCAAGGGATTCTCCTGCCTCAGTCTCCAGAGTAGCTAGGATTACAGGTGCCTACCACCACACGTGGCTACTTTTTGTATTTTTAGTAGAGACGGGGTTTCACCATGTTCGCCAGCCTGGTCTCGAACTCCCGACCTCAGGCGATCCGCCCTCCACAGCCTCCCAAAGTGCTGGGATTACAAGCATGAGCCACCGCGCCTGGCCTAAGTTTTTTTTTTTTTTAAAGCTCATTTTAAAATGTATTCTCTTGGCACTGTTTTGTATGCCTTAGAGTAGATACAAATTTTGTCCAAAGAGACATGGCAGCCCTTCTCCTGAACCACAAAAAGCTACAACTGGTTTTCTTCCTTCATGGATATTTGTTCATTAGCAATCCATCAGAAGAACGAAAAGAGCAGCTGATTTATCTCTAATAGGATACTTTGTACACCTAAAATATGCCAAGCACTCCTCAAAATGTACTTTCTACGACTCGTTTAACCCTCACAGTGACTTAGGTAACTATTGTCATCACCATCCCCGTCTTATGGGAACTGCGTCACGGAATGGGTCAGTAAGTTGCCCAAGATGACCCAGTCAGTAAATGGTAGAGGGAAGATTCCAATTCAGAACGTCAAGCTCCTGGCCCCATGCCTTCACTCCTCCCACAGCGGCTGATTCTACAGCAAGTGGACTGGCAGGAAGCAGTTCCAGGACTGTCTCGGGTGCTTTGTTCCTTTTCTCCACCATGAGAATGTCGCCTCTGCCACTCCTGTCTTGCAGAATGTCTTCCCAACATTCACCTGCTTCCCCGTGCTTCTCAGAGTGTGGCTCCTGAACCAGCAGCAGCAGAGGCGCCTGGGAAATTGTTGGAGACACCAATTCTCCATCCCAAATCTACCCAGTCAGAAACTCCAGGGATGGAGCCCAGTAGTAACAAACCCTCCAGGTGATTCCGATGGAAAAGAACGTCTGACAACCATTGGCACGCCCAAGGACAACTCGCTTCATTGTTCTGAGCCTGGGTTTCTGTTAGGAGAGCGTGTGGAACCAAGTATCTCAACATTTCTTCCATTGTGAGCAGCTGGTTCTGTGGCCAGAGTCAGATACCCACAGGGGCACGTGAAGCCAAAAATGGTGGATACTGTGTGGCACTGCCCAGATCCCCCTCAGAACTGAGGCCAGAATCTCTCCTGCTGTAGTGACTGACAATGGCTTCTAGCTGGGTTTCTCTTCAGGAATGGTCCTCAGCAGATAGGATCAAGCCAAGGTCACGCCTCCTTCCCTTGCCAGGAGTGGGCAATAGGGTAGACCTCCTGTTTTAGTTTGGGACAACTCGCTTGGATCCCTCCAGTTCCAGAGCACCCTTTGGGGTTGGCTGGGGCTCTGTCCCCAAGTCCCTCTCTTGCAGCACAACGTCTTTGCAGGCATTGGTCCCCACTGCATGTCCCCAAATCTCCTGCATGCAAGTCTCCATCTTACAGTGTGTCTGGGGAACCTGACCTGGGGATAAAGTTTAAAATGATTTTTACTATAACTGATACAGTGGGCTGGGATGAGGTCGGGGACAGGATTGGACTAACCTTAAACTGGAATCCATGAAACATAAGCTTTGTGCAAATGATCTTCTATAGCAATGACGAATAACTCAGATTTGGCTACAACAGATTTAAATATTTTAACTCATATTTTGGATATTTGCACAGAACATAGTTAAATTATGTAATGAAGTGTTTCTTTCTCCTCTCATCTCCCCTCTTTCTCTGAACCCTCCCTCTCTTCCCTACCCTCAATAGGCTGACTTTGTTGGAGCAAGGTGCCCTCATCCCTGTCACATTTCACGAAGAATTGAAGCTGTGCTTTATGTTGGGCTGTGACTGCCACTGAGCTCTTTTTTCTTTGCCCCCAGCATTGCACACTGACCTATCGGGGTGGGCTCCTCAGGCCCCGGCTAGACACTGTCCAGGCCAGTCTCAGGGCTGGAACACTGCAGTACTGAAGGCTTGGCTGCAGCAGGAGGTCCACTTAACACTGAAGCCACAAGTACCTCATTCTTAGCCAAGCCCTGCCATAGCTGACTCAGGGAACTTTCTGAATTTGTTTTCCTACAAGTAGTGAATTTCACTGGTTTTAAATTTATTTCCTAAGTGCTCAGGGGCTCCTCAGAGGGCCTCTGTTTCCAGGTAAATGCATGAAGCTGAATCTTCCTTCCAGCCCTCCCCAGCAGCCTGCCTTCCTCTCATTTCTATGGCAGGCTTCCATGTAAAGTTTGTCCAAAAACAGTTTTGGCAAACAAGAAATCCACTTGAGAGAACAGCTATGGTTCCTTGGAGTTTTGTGGGTTTGAGAGATGACAAATGGATGTTTGTATTAGCCTCTCTAGAAACCACTTCCATTTTAATCAGAACCTTGGCTTTCTATAACCTCTTTCCTCGCGCCACCCCTGGCCCCAGAGGCATTTTGAGATGAAGTCTTTCCCGGTCTGGTGAACCTCACTCCACAGCTCTCTGCTCAGCCTTGAGCAGTATCAGTGCCAGAGTGCCAGTCTAGCCTGGCAGGCACAGGTGATTTGAGCACTAGCAAAGCTGGAACACTTCGCCTCTTAAAGAATTTTATATTTGATAATTTAAAAATGCATTGAAGAGGAAAAAGCTAAAACACAGGAAAAACTAAAACTTTATTGGATTTTGTTATTCTTTGTAGGCTGTTGTTAAACGTGTGTGTGTGGGGGGGTGTGTGTGTATGTGTGTAAAATTTAAAAAATCTATTTAATTCCATACAGCATAGAGGCAGGGAGTGGCCAAAGGAGCACCATGAGGGTTTCAGTGCCTCTACAAGTTTGAATGCAGCCCTAGCTACCATCAATGCACTTCATCACACGCTACCTCCATGTCAAAAATAATTTTAACTTGCAGGGCCCAGCTTATTACATCACAAGCATCCACAGTCACGAAGTTTAGTGTACATAGATAGGATGGTATAATATGCCCAAGCCTCTAGAGCTGTGCCGTGCAACACGATAGCCGCTAGACACGGGAGGCCATTCATTCGATAGCCGCTAGACACGGGAGGCCATTTAAATTTAAATTTCATTAAAGCAAATTCAGTTCCTTGGTTGCAGTAGTCGCTTTACAAGTGTTCAACTGCCACATGAGGCTAGTGACGCTGGACAGCACAATTAAATAATATTTCCATAACTGCAGAAAGTTCTACTGGACAATGCCGCTCTAGCAGTAATTAAAGCAATATTGTCTGAGATAAGATAAAATGTTGAGAGTTGGTGCTAATGTCTAGTCTATGGAGTGCCAAATGAATTTCTAGAAGCCTCTAAATCAAAGGCCATATACATTTGCCCAAGAGGTGGTTTCATCTTACGGAATCGCCTAGCTGATAGTTAGCTTCCTACAGGCTGGCTGAGGGTATGTCTAATTTTATACCCCCACTATTCTCTGGAACATGTAAACACCTGCCTCAATACATAAAACAAATAGAATACACAGGAATTCAATGTATGTTGTTTTCCCCCTGGCTCTCAGAGCTATGGACTCTGCAAAATAGCCAAGATCTTATTGTTTTGGTTGCATTAATATCTGATGCTGCAGATTTTTGAATACATTCTTGTATGCAATAATCAGCAACCTTTATTCAGCATTTATAGGGAGCCAAACACTGTGTTAAGTGCAGGGAGTAGGTAGAACAATGAGCTCAGGGTTAGTGGGGACACACACAAGCCTCTGGCCATAATGCAATGTGGCAAGTTCTACACAGAGGCACAGACCAGGCAACAATGCAGCAAGAGGGGCGTCATCCTGAGAAAGCTTGCAACAGCTTCATGGAGGAGGTGACTGATAACTCAGTTAAAAGACACAAGCAGGTGGATATGGTTATTAAGGGGCAGGCAGAAGCAATGACAAATGCTGTGCCCCAGAGATTGAAGCAGTTTGACACTTTTGAGAGACAGAAGGAGATTTAACTTGGCTGGGCGGGGCATAAGAAGCAAGTGAAGTGGGGAGTGAGTGAATGAATGAATCAAAGAATGGTGCACGTCTATTCCAGTAACATCCCACATCCTGGCCAGAGGCCCTTGAGAAGCCCAGCGACCCTTCCGTGGGCAGAGTTGGGAACGACATGATTCTGCTTGCACTACAATTATTTGTGATATTTCTTTCTGTCCTCATTGAACTTTCTTAATAGAGATTACTACTTATCAGGAACAGGAATGCTTTTTCCTTACTGTTTTCCTCTTGGAACCTAGCTCTGTACCCAACCCATGATAGGTATCAAATATGTGTAAAAATAAATTGAAAATGAAAATGCAGGCTAGCAAATAGGGTAATTCAATAAATATTGAAATGCTTTGTTTTCACTTCTGCATTTGACCAAGAACATGGCTGAGACCCACAGGGACTCTGCCTCCAGGAGAGAGACCTGTGTGACTGCAGACCCTGCAGGACCACCGGCAACCCTGGAGCACCAAAGCATTGCATGGGGCCAGGCTGGGGCGGGGCACGCAGTGTTAAATGGGAGAGCTGGAGAAAATTCCACGAGGAAAAACAAATGGAAAAGTATGACCCCTGCAACAACAAAAGCCCCTCCTCTGCGTCGCTGACAAACCTCACGCGAGTTGGACAAGCATTTTTTTAATAGAAAAGAAGCTGGCTTTATTCTAACATGAGCAATATTGAGAGTCTTCTCTAATGTTCTGTTTCTGATGGACCAAAACTGATGTGCTGGGGAGCGGATCCCTGCCGCCCGTGCTCTAGCAGGTGAGATCTGGGTAGGATGTGGAGGTGGTGGCAGTTTTCCAGCCTGGCCACGTGGGAGGCTGGAAGCAAGGGGAGCGTGGAGCAGCTGAAATCGCCTTAGCAGGCTCTTGACGGTAGAGAGTGAATGCCCCCCCATTCTCTATGTTCTGAATAAGAATTTGAATTATTTAGCTCAATATCATCTTCTATTTTGCAGCAAAATCTAGTCAAAGCTAGTTTTCAATTGGATTTCTTTCTTCTTTGTTGGAATGAAAATTCACAGTGTCATTTCATTCTGCTCAGGTCACTGGCTCTGCCAAAAACCAGAGTCTCACTCCGGAAATCAGCCTTTCCTTTCTTCTCCTTCGAGTGTGAATCATGACCTCATCCTTCACAACCTCGGCAGACATTTCTTGTATGTTAGTGATGGAGAACAGCTGAATGGGGCTCAAATGAGACCCAAAATGAGAAAGGAAAGCAGACTAGCGGGTATGACCTAATCTCTAAAACCAAAATAGAGAAATAATTTAGGATACAATTAATTACTGATAGGCAGACTGTCAGAAAAAGGACCTTGATACACACACACCCACACACACATATATATATTATATATATAATATTAATATATATTATATATACACACAAGTGTGTGTATACATGTGTATGTGTCTATGTGTACATGTGTCTATGTGTGTGCTAGACACTCTTCTAGGCATAATCAGTTGCATTATTTGTTTTCAAAATGGCCTTGAGGCATGTATGATTATAATGGCAGTCAGTACAGCGCAGTGCTGGGATCAGCACACTTTTCTGGGAAAGCACCAGGTAGTAAATATTTTAGGCTTTGTGAACCACAGGATCGCCCCTTCGATTACTCAACTCTGTTGTTATAGAGCAAAAGCACCATATGTGATGTGTCAATGAATGGTTATGGCTGTGTTCCAATAAAACTTTATTTACAAAGACAGCAGGCCAGATTTAGTTCGGAAGCCATTATTAGCTGATTCCTCAGGTGGTGGGGAAAGGTGTAGATTCAGGAGCAGATGCTATGGATTTGATTTTCTAGCCTACTTCTTACTCGCTTCTCCTCTAATTTTTAACCTCTATGTGCCTCAGTCTTCTCCTCTGTAAAATAAGAATAAGAATAGCCAAAATTATATGGAAAAAGAGAATTAAGTTGGAGAACTCACATTGCCTAATTTCAAAAGTGTAAGTGCCTATACACTGTTAGTATCACAAAGGGACTTTGTAGTCTATTTCCAGCTAGAGATGGGTGGACTGAGATTCAGCAACGTGAATACAAATCTGGTGAAACCTCTTCTACTGTGGCTCTGGAATCTGAATTATGCCACAGGACAGACCTCCATAAAGGTGTTCAAGTGCACTGATAGGGAAATTCCAAACCATCTGCAAAGCCCTGGACAACACTGTGGCAGGCCTCCCCTGTCATACCCACCGGAACTGGGTCCTGGGTAGCGCTGTGACAGGGCTCCCCTGTCATATACCCACCGGAACTGGTCGTTGCATAGTCAAAAAAGTTCATTAAAAGGGAAACGAGATTACAGTAGCCATAAAGGAAAGAGTAAATAGAAAAATCAATAAAAACATGTGAATTCTTTGAAAAGATTAATAAAATCGACAAACCTTTAGTGACACTTACCAGGAAAAAGAGAGAGAGAACAATCAAATTAATAAAATCCAGAATGGAAGAGAGGACATCAGCATTGACCTTATGGAAATAAAAAAGATTATAATGGAATACTATGAACAATTATAAAACATTATAGTGGAATACTATGAATTGTGCATGCCACAAATTACTCAGATGAAATGGACACATTCCCAGAAAAACCCAAACTACTGACACTGACTGAAGAAGAAATGGATATGCTTGAATTGTGAATTTTAAGACTTCAACAGAGAAAATCCCAGGCCCAGAGGGGTTCACTGTGAATTCTACAAAACATTCAAAGAATGAATACTGATTCTTCAGAAACTCTTCCAAAACATACAACAGAAGAGCACACTTCCCCACTCATGCTGTAAAGCTAGTGTCACCCTAACACTAAAACCAAAGACATAGCAAGAAAAAAAATCACACAGTGATAACCCTTATAGCCTAAAAAAATCCTTGACAAATTATTAGCAACCTTAATTGCATCACATATTAAAAGATCAGACACTGTGACCAAGTGGAATGTATTACGGTGATGGAAGGTCGGTTTAACATCCAAGAGCTTATCAGTGTAATGCATCCTATTCACAGAATACAGCACAAATCATGGCCATCATCTCAATAGATGGAAGAAAGTAATCTACAAAATCTAAAACCTTTTCATGATAAAAATGCTTAACAAACTATACATACGAGGAAACTTCCTCAACTTGATTAAAATTTTAGCAAACTGGACATAGGAGGAAACTTTCACGTCTTGGTTAGAAGCATCTACGAAAAATCCACAACTAACATCATATTTACTGGAGTGAAACTAATGCTTTCTCCCTAATATCAAGAACGAGACAATAATGCCTACTCTAGCCACTTCTATTCAACATCACACTAGATGTTATAGCCAGGGCTATTATAAAAGAAAAAGAAAAAGGGAACAGTTAAAACGATCTCCATTTTCAGATGACATGATCATATATATAAACAAATCCTAAGGAATCCACAGAAAAACCACTACAGCTAACAAACCACTTCAGCATGAGGCAGCATACAAGGTCAATATACAAAAATAATTTTATTTATATACACTATCAATAAATAATACGAAAATGAAAGTTAAGGACAAAATGCATTTTAATAGCATAAAAATAAAATGTCTAGGCATGCATTTAACAAAAGAAGTACAAAATTTATATGCTAAAGATATGAAACAAATTAAAAATCTAAATAAATGGAAAGATATTCTACATTCATGGATCAGGAGACTTAATATTTTTAAGATGGCTACTCTCCACAAATGGATCTTTATCAAAATCTCAGCTGTCTTTTATTGCAGAAGTAGCCTAGCTGATCCAAAAATTCATGTAGAAATGCAAGGGACTCAAAATAGCCAAAATAATATTTAAAAAAAGAATAATTCATTTGGAGGACTCATGTTGCCCAGTTTCAAACTTTAGTGCAAATCTCCAGCAGTCAACATTGTGTGGAGCTGGCATGATGACAGGCATATAGAGCAATGAAATAACATTGACAGTCCAGATACAAACCCTCATATTTATGGTCAATTGAGTTTTGACAAGGGTTCCAGTGCTGGGACAACTGGAATTCACATGGAAAAGATGGATTTGGACTCCCATGTATCACATCACTCACAAAAATTAACTCAAAGTGGGTCATGCAGCTAGATGTAACTGCTAAATCTATAAAACTCCTAGATGAAATCACAGGACTAAATCTTTGTGCCCTTGGATTAGGCAGTGGTTCCTTAGACACAACTTCAAGATTATAATCAACAAAAGAAAAAATAAGATATACTGGACATCATCAAAAATAAATACTTCTGTATTTCACAAAATACCATCAAGAAAGTGAAAAGATAACCCATAGTATGGCATAAAATATTTGCAAATCATGTATCTAACAAGGACTAGTATCCAGAATATGTAAAGAACTCACAACTTTGTAATAAAAAGAAAATACCCCAATTAAAAATGGAGAAAATAAGTAAATAAATATTTCTCCAAAGAAGATGTACTAATGGCTGATAAACACATAAAGATGTTCTCAACATCATTAATCCTTGGGGAAATGCAAATCAAAACCACAATAAGATACCACTTCACACCCACTAAGGTGGGCTTAGAATCAAAAAGACGGAATCATCGATGTTAGCCAGGATGTGGTGACATTGGAGGCTTCAGACATTGCTGGTGGGAATGTAAAATGGTGTAGCTGCTTTCAAAAACATCATTCTTCAAAATATGAAACATAGTGTTCCCATATGACCCAGAAATTCTGCTCCTGGGTACTACACACTCAACAGAAAGATAAACGTGTCTACACAAAAACTCATACATGAATATTTATAGCAGCATTATTCATGATGGCCAAAAAGTGAGAAAACCCACATTTCCATCGATGAATGGGTAAATAAAATGTGTATAATTATACAAGGGCAATTCCTTTTTATTATATGGCAATAAAAAGGAATGAAGTACAGGCTTTAGAACATGGTTCCTCCTTGAAAACAAGGTGAAAGTGAAAGAAACAGGTCACAAAACACCCCATGTTGTATGATTGCATTTATGTAAAATGTTCAGAAGAGGCAAATCTACACATAGGTATGAGGTTTCTTTGGGGGAGTGATGAAGATGATAGAAAATTAGATTAATGATCACACTACTCTGAGAATATACTAAAAATCACCGAATCGTCATTTTAAATGGAAGTTTGGGTATATATGAATTATGTATCAATAAATCTGCTTGTTAAACAGTGCACACTATCAAGATGACTTACCACTGATGATGTTACCTCATCAACTAGCCTGTTTCTCCTCTGTAAATTACCTTTTCACTCCTATCCATGCTCTACTCCCTAAGCAAGGGATAGAGGGTTAAGCTCCACATCCTTGAGAGAGGAGAAATGGTGTAACTTACCCGGAATCCTGTACAGCGGATTTCTCTCTTCTCTCTCATTATTTTGTTCATTCAATCATTTTGTATCAGTATGAACTCATGGATATTTATTTTTTACTTTAAGATGTAATCCAATGCTAGATTATTCATTCTGTCACTCAAGTTATTCCAGTTTTGGTTATTGGGAATTCTTTCAGGTTGGGGCTTATGTAATTATAAGTAAGTTACTTCTTTACAATAATTGTTAAATTGACCTGAACAGATCTGAAAACAAACACAGCCAATTTCAAATGTTTTGATTCAGCTGAATAGAAGAGACCTTTCCTGTGTGCACCAAAAAGTGGCCTTTGAGCATTTTCTGAGTGGCGAGATCAGTGCACGGCAAGAGTAAGGCCATCTTGAAGTGACTGTCGGACCCCTGCTCACCAATTAGTTCCTCAGAAACAATGCCTGTGACATAGACAACCCCTTCAAACAAACAATGCCTGGGGCATAGACGACCCCTATAAACAAACAGTGCCTGGGGCATAGATGACCCCTATAAAGATGCTTATTCAACCTCCCCACTGGTCAGCAGTTTTGCAAGAGGGTCTGGTGCATCAGTCTTATAAAAGCTTGCTATAGAAAGAACGTTTTCTGGGCCAGGTGCGGTGGCTCATGCCTGTAGTCCTAGCACTTTGGGAGGCCGAGGTAGGTGGATCACGAGGTCAAAAGATTGAGACCATCCTGGTCAACATGGTGAAACCCCGTCTCTACTAAAAATACAAGAATTACCTGGGTGTGGTGGTGGGCGCCTATAGCCTCAGCTACTCGGGAGGCTGGTGCAAATCACTTGAACCCGGGAGGCGGAGGTTGCAGTGAGCTGAGATCGCGTCACTGCAGTCTAGCCTGGTGACAGAGCGAGACTCCATATCAAAAAAGAAAGAAAAGAAAGATAGGAAGAAAGAAAGAAAGAAAGATGAAAGAAAGAAAGAAAGAAAGAAAGAAAGAAAGAAAGAAAGAAAGAAAGAAAGAAAGAAAGAAAGAAAGAAAGAAAGAAAGAAAGAAAAGAAAGAAAGAAAAAGCAAGCAAGCTTTCTGGAGGGCAGCTGTGGGATAAGTCCCTATTCAACGCTCCTTTCTGAGAGTCTGGATTTGTCAGCCTCTTTCCTCGGCCTCTCTGCACCCCCAGGCTTTGGGGGTGGGCTTGCATGGGTCTGCCCACTGGAACACAGGGTGTTTCCTGGTATGTGTGGGGAGTGCTGGCAGTGAATCTGAACATCAGTTAAGAGTCTCAACTCAATTTAGTTACTCATAAAACTAAGTCTAACGTGCAGATAAGAGATATCAATGCCCGCAGATGCAATTGTCTGCTTTTTCCACTCATTTTGTTAATGCCCAGGCAGAGACTTCCATGCCTTCAGACACTCCTGCCTGCACCCTATACTCCCCTCTCTACAGGCCATGAAAATAGGCAGTTACAGGCCTGGAAATCAATCGTAATGATTACTGTTGGATAAATTGGATAATGAGTAGGACAATGAATTTCACTGGTTTGTTTCTGAGAGTTTTGAGTATTTTTGATATTTGCATTTTTGAATCCTGCCTGTGTAGCAACCGGTATGCTTAGGGTGACTTTAAAAGGGAGCTCTTGAACTGAAATTCATTCCAAAATAATACTTTTTTGTAAATGTTTGTTCTGTATTTTCTAATAGAGACCATACCCTCTTCCTTCAATAAACAGTTTAATGGCTTATTTGTGAATAAAAATATGAGTTGCTAAGGGCTCATTTTCCCCAAAAGTATGTGGCACCCACAGAAATACCTGCCCAGGAGGCACCTCTTAGCAGAGGGGAGTCATCTGAGCTCACTTTCTGAAGGGGTCTGTTTTGTTGTTTTTTATATAGATATGTTCCATGGGAGGTGGTTTTCGTTTGATGGTGTAATGGCCACACTGAGGAGCCACTGGAAGCCCATTCCTGCGATGCCCAGCGGGGCTGGGGTGGCCCAGATCTCCACGCCCAGGTGGAGACGCTGTAACTTTTCAGGGGCTCTGCACACCTGGGCCTCCCACATGATCCACTTACCTCCAGTTAGTGGGGCTGACTCCTAACTTTGCTATAGGGTGCTCAGGCTGAGACTGGATTCCAGTATCTTTTGGAAACTCGGGGGCTCCAAGGTGAAGACAGGGCAAAAGTGGGACTGAGAAGGGAGTGCGTGTAAGCTTCAGGCCGGGCCCAGCCCTCCGGAGGCTGCGGTTCGAGGTTCCGCTCGCGGGGGCCCGGCGCTCTCTGGTGGGCGCAGGTGGACGCCGGGGCGACTTGGCGCCGCTGGGCTCCGTTCCCCAGGCTTTCTGCTCACCCGTTTCCCCGCTCTCTTTCCAAGTCCCTAACCAGCTGACCCGTTTATGAGACACTGTCACCGAGTCAGGGCTGATTCAAATGCTGACCGAAGTTTGTCCCTAGGAGGCTTCCTGTGTCACAGTCACAAAATGGTACAAGCTTCAGCTGCACAGAACCTGGGGGTGCCCCGCGGGCCCCGCGAGGAGCGGGCTTAGGTTTGGCTGGCAGCGAACACCGGCCCGGGAGGCCTCCGCGGGGAGCTGGGGTCTTGGAGTGAGCGTGACCATCGCCGCTTCCCGATGTGTGTGTGCCTTCCGTGTGTGTGTGTGTGTTTCCTGTGTCTTTCATGTGTGTGTTCTGTGTGTATTTCATGTGTGTGTTTTGTGTGCGTGTTCCATGTGTATGTGTGTGTGCATCTGTGTTTTATGTATTTTGTGCGTTGCGTGCGTGTTTCATGTATCTCTGTGTGTTTTATGTGTGTAGTTCATGTGTGTGTTTGCGTGTTTCATATGTATGTGCGTTTCATGTGTGTATTTTGTGTGCTGTGTGCTTGTTTCATGTGTGTTTTGTGTGTATTTTATGTGTTGTGTGCATGTTTTTTGTGTGTGTTTTGTGTGTTTCATGTGTGTGAATGTGTTTTATGTGTGTTTCGTGTGTGAATGTGTGTTTTATATGTGCATGTGTCGTGTGTGTGTTGTGATGTGATGTGGGGGGGTGGGTAGACTATTTTTATTATCACTAAGCCTTCAGCATTCAAATGTTTATGTTTGTTTGTTTTAAAAATACAACACAGCCTTAACAATACATTGCGGGATCAAGGTTGGGGATACTGTTCCCCAGTTCATCAGGGAAGAGGTGAAGGAGCTGAGTGAGCAGGGGTAGGGGTGTGGGGAGGGCAGCAACAGCGCAGAGGAAGCCGCCGAGGGCCGAAGCAGCCCTAAGCCGGACCCCAGCAGAACACAGCGCGCGTGGGCACCGTGGACCTGGCCCCGGGGCTCGGGCTGGGCGGTCAGCGCAGGAGCAAGGGCCCAGCGCCGTCCTGGAGCATCTGGTGGACAGGCGAACCTGCTGTCCGGGGACCAGATATTTACAAGTGTTATATTTGAAAAGGAAAGCATATTTGAATGGAAGCCGTTTATTTGATTTAAAGTTCCCAGATATTATATATACATAGGATTTGTTTAAACTTACCATAAATTAAGTGCGCTCTGCCCATCTGCTGTGAGTTTAAAATGGAACAAAGAGAGGTATAAAAGTGCCATCTAGTGGGGAAATGGAGAATTGGGTTCAAAATATTTACCAGCAGGTTTGTCTTGTCTTTCTTTTCCACTTGTAAAACACGTGGATTATGTTATAAAGGGAATAATAATAATATCCTACTTGCACAGTGCTGGTGAGAAGGAAAGCCCACTGCATGATGCAGAGCACATAGCAAGATCCCAAAAGACGTGAATATGGCGATAGTCTTATCTGTATTCTCTTTCCTGTTCTTGTTCATCAAGATGATATTATTATTATTAACTATAGTAATCACTGCTTGTTGGACCCACTGGATTTTATGTCTATGTTATTCATTTAACAAGCTGTTCACTTAACTCCAGAATGTTGATTTTAACTCTTTTCGGATAGAATTAAATGATAATGACATGAGTGACGTTCTTATATGATCATGCCCTCTGTGGGGCTGTTAACTAGGCTGCTCAAGAAACTCCTAATTATGTCCACAGCCACTACTCCTAGACGCTGTGCTGGCAGCTGCTGGGGTTCAGAGGAAGCAGGAAGTAGAAGCACAGGTCCTCACTCCAAGGATGGCAGCCTGCCATTGCTGTCAGCAGTGAGCACAGACCGACAGCAATACAATGAAAAGTGCCTTTAAGTGATAACTGTGGCATCTCAGAAACATGTTTCTTTCTTATATGTTAGTGGCAGCAAAGAGAAACACAGGCCTGACAGAGGAACTGCTATTCCATGAACTCTACCATCCAACTTCCCTTCTCATTTAAATTGGCCCCTGAAGGACTGAGGCACAGGAGACCTACATTTCCTGGGCTCAGCGTCCACCCTCACAGGCCGTGTGAGCGGGGAGAGGTCACAGCCCCGCCTGGAGCTTCATTTCTATGGAATGATTGCTGAAGTCTCTTTCACCTCTAACAGCTTATGGGTCCCCAATAATTAATGTGCCAAATAACATCTTCCATTGGTCTCGTTACTTCCTCACCATTAGCAATTTGGTCAATGCAAAAAAACCGAAGGAGCAGATTTCACTGGATACCAGAGAAACTTTGAACTTATGTTATTCTGATCTTCAAGGGTAGCAGAGAGATCTCTCTTCACATGAGGTGTTTTTTTAATTTTTATTTTGTTGGTTGTTGTTGTTTTGAGATGGGGTCTCAATATGTTGCCTAGGCTGGTCTCAAACTCCTGGCCCCAGCCATCCTCCTGCTTCAGCCTGTTGAGTAGCTGGGACTACAGTCATGCACCTGGCAACATGAGTTTTAATACCCCGAGAAGGAGGAGGGAGAGGCCTGGAACCTCAGATACAAATGCATAATACTCAGAATTCAGCTAAATTAGAATGAGCAAACTGAGAATCTAAGCCTTTAATTTAGCCATATGCTGAAACAACACCGGAAGCCGACCATCCTGGCTAACACGGTGAAACCCCGTTTCTACTAAAAATACAAAAAAATAATTAGCTGGGCATGGTGGAGTGCACCTGTAATCCTAGCTACCTGAGAAGCTGAGGCAGGAGAATCGCTTGAACCCGGGAGGTGGAAGTTGCAGTGAGCCTAGATTGTGCCACCGCACTCCAGCCTGGGTGACAGAGTGAGACTCTGTCTCAAAAAAAAAATTATCTGTATACTATTTTTACAGACACCAGCACAGCCATAAACATGATGATAAATCCATCTACTGATTGTCAGTTAAAATGTTAAAGGCTGCCCATCACATCACAAATTACTCATTTATAAAACGGAATCTGAATAAAGAAAAACTAACTTTCAAATCTGAAAAATAGACCTCTCTTGATTTTTCTTGCCAAATCACAAACACGATGAAATATATATATATATATATAGCTGAAAAATTATTTTTAATGCCTTTATTTTTTCTATTTATTTATTTTATTTTTATTTTAGATTCTGGGCGTGCGCATGCAGGTTCATTGCATTGTGTAACACTGAGGTTTGACCTTCTGCTGATCCCACTGCCCAGGCAGAGAACATAACACGCAATAGGTAGCTTTTCAGCCTTTGGCCCCTCCCTTCCTCTTCCCTTTTAGAATCCCCAGTGCTGGGCTGGAAGCTGCTGGAGATGAGACGACGTTCCCGTCTTGATGTCCATGAGTACCCAACGTTCAGCTCCCACTTAGAAGTGAGAACATGCGGCATTTCGTTTTCTGTTTCTGCGAAACAGCTTATTTATTTATTTATTTATTTATTTATTTATTTATTTATTTTTGAGACAGAATCTCACTCTGTTGCCAGGCTGGAGTGCAGTGGTGCGATCTCGGCTCACTGCTACCTCTGCCTCCTGGGTTCAAGCGATTCTCCTGTCTCAGCCTCCCAAGTAGCTGCGACTACAGGCACACACCACCACGCCCCGCTAATTTTTTGTATTTTAGTAGAGACGGGGTTTCACCATATTGGCCAGGATGGTCTTGATCTCTTGACCTCATGATCCACCCGTCTCGGCCTCCCAAAGTGCTGAGATTACAGGCGTGAGCCACCATGCCCAGCCCACAGTTTTATTTTTAATGAAGCGATTACCGGAGAAATACATTCAGATTCACCCAAATCAAATATTAATTTGCTCAAGTATATAAATATTTCTGAGAAAGTCACTTTTTGTCTTGATTCTTTCTTTACTGCTTTCTCGTTCTAATAGTGAAGATAATTATTTCCGTTGGTGGCAGCAGAAACTTATCGAAAAACCCTCTAAACCGCAAAACCCATACTTCTGTGTTGTGTTTGATAGTGTTTTCCGTGGGATGACAAAGGTTTTCTAGTCTGTATTGTTTGTAAAGGTGCCTTCCCAACCAAGCTCATGGGAGTCATTCTGACTGCCGTTTTGACAGTGTCTGAGCATGGAAGGAACCCACGCAGTCACCACAGCCTGTGAAAATCTCTACCTGTGCACAGCATTTGAAAGTTACCGGTGGTTACAAAGCGTGCTCATGTTTCCTGGGGAGTGCTGGGTGCAGCAGAAAAGCTGCATCCGTACATATAAGATACATTTTGACACCTCTCTGGGTAGATGAGGTAAGACAAACACATACACGAACAAGTCTCTCCATCAGTAGGTCCACCATACACTGTTACATTTGTAAGACAGTTGCCGGATACCCCAAGGCAAAAGAGAGGGAACTAGTTTGTTGAGCACTATGTGTGCCCGTTACTGTGGGAGGCATTTTGAATATAGTCTTTTCTCTGAAAGTTAGAATTAAATGGAAAATGACAGTAAGCTATGTACTGTGTGCCGCATATAGTACATACCGTATACAGCAGTTTGGGTTCTTAACCAATATTACTAGTTTACTTACAAGAAAGGGATAAGAAATGTGGGAGAGGCCCACGTGGAGAAGGAGGCAGCCGAGGAACGAGGAAGAGGCAAGGCAGGGTCCTTCCTAAGGCCTCGAAGGGAGCCGAGTTCTGCCAACACCGAGATTCCAGCATTACAGCCTCCAGAGCCACGGGGAGAAATCTGGGCTATTCAGCCACCCTGGTGGGTTGTGGTAATTTGTTACAGAATCCAGAGGAAAGTAACACAGCATCTGAAGATGAGGAAACCCAGGGACCAGACAGGCAGTGAAGCTGGAGTGCGTAAGCATTACAGGTATCAGAAATGGTCGTTTTCATTTTCTTTCTTTTTTTTTTTTTTTTTGAGACGGAGTCTTGCTCTGTCGCCCAGGCTCTGACTCCCGGGTTCACACCATTCTCCTGCCTCAGCCTCCCGAGTAGCTGGGACTACAGGCACCCGCCACCACGCCTGGCTAATTTTTTGTATTTTTAGTAGAGATGGGGTTTCACCATGTTAGCCAGGGTGGTCTCGATCTCCTGACCTTGTGATCCGCCCGCCTCAGCCTCCCAAAGTGCTGGGATTACAGGCGTGAGCCACCGTGCCCGGCCTGTTTTCATTTTCATTCTCTCTCTCTCTTTCTCTCAAACACACACACACACACACACACACGGACACACACAGACACACACACACACACGGACATTCCTCATTGAAGAATTGCTCTAAACAGTTATTTTTAGTTTGTGGGATTGCCTTGGAAAAGGAAGAAATGTTCTCCTGAAAGAAGCTTGGCCTGCTGTGGTTAATGAACACGCGTGCATACAACAGGCGGGAAGCAGGCGGGAGAGTTGGGGTGGGGCTCACAGGGCGCACTGGGAAGCCGTGATGCTGTGGCCACCACCTCTGCCTGGACAAAGGGAAGCCCTCCCAGGTGACAGGTGGCCTCACAGACATCTTGTGGAAAGGACATTCAAAGAGAGGATTGCCCTGACCACATGGGGCCGGCAGAGCGTCCGTGCAGTCGGGAAATTCCCTACACCTGAGCTCTGGGATGCTGCGGGCTGGGATGTTGAAAATCCTCTCACACGAGCAAAGGGAAAGATGCATTCTATTTTTTCCTTTTTTTTTTTTTTTTTTTTTTTTTGAGATGGAGTCTCACTCTGTTGCCCAGGCTGGAGTGCAGTGGCCCAGGCTGGAGTGCAGTGGCACGATCTCGGCTCACTGCAACCTCGGCCTCCCGGGTTCAAGCGATTCCCGTGCTCAGCCTCTTGAGCAGCTGGGACTACAGGTGCCACCACCACGCCTGGTTAATTTTGTGTGTTTTAGTAGAGACGGCGTTTCACTATGTTGGCCAGGATGGTCTCGATCTCCTGACCTCGTGATCCGCCCGCCTCGGCTTCCCAAAGTGCTGGGATTACAGGCGTGAACCACCGCACCCGGCCTGGGAAAGACCCATTCTGAGTGAGACCTGTGAAGGGAGCGGAAAATCACAGAACAAAGCGAGGATGAAGGGAGAAGTGGACCCGAACAGGCGAGATGGAGACATGCCCCTTAGCAAATGGGGAACGTTTCCTCTGATGCTTTCATGAGGCAGGACCACAGGTAAGGCCATAAATGAGTCATGTATAATGTAAATGTATTATTTCTGAAGGCTTTCTTAAATATATAATTCTCAGTCCAAAGTTTAGTTTCCCTCTTTAGAGTGTAGGGCAGTGGCCAGCCACTGGTGCCCCGGGTGCCACAGGTGAGAACCGCTGCGTCCTTCACAAGCGTGGCTTCGTTGCCGGCTGTCCAAGAGCACCGCTCATGTCAGAAAGTGAGGCAGCTCTGGAGCGGGTCACAGACAGACTTTCTCTGAGGCTTTAGGATCAAAACTATTCAAGAACATTTCCAACTTTTAAAATTGGAAAACACAAAACTGTGTCCCATAGAACACTATGGTAAAATGCATGCCTAATAAAAGTCAATTACATTTCATTGACTCAGGGTTGTGATCAATAACCCGAGTCCTGGCACACAGGACGTTCCACTGCAGGTGGTAGGAAATGCATGGCTTAAAATGAAAGGGGCCATTGCTGTGGAAGAGGGAAGCCCAGAGTTGGTGCAGACCTCAGCCCCTCTACCTGGGCATCAGTGACCTCCGGCAGCTTCTCATGATAAGTGCCACCACTTCCAGGGCCAACACTTCCTCATTCACATGGAAGGGAAAGAGAAAGCATTTATTCCGACACAACATCCAAATTCTCAACCTTTGCTCAGGTTGCTGACTCTGAGCCAGTCACTCTGGTGGGGTGAAGGCGTGTGCCCACTGCCTTGGCCTGCACTGCCAGGAACTGATTCCCAGGGCAACGAGGATGCGATTCCATCAGGGAATGTGTAGGAATCAGGATCCACCCCTGGAACTGGAGATGAGGCCACTTGTACCCCAAATTTATGTCCATAACACACAGGGAGAAGGCTGGACAGCCAGTATGTCTGCCACACTGAGCCACTACCAAGCTTGAACAACATAAGCTCTGGAACGTTTGCTTCGTCCTTTGGCAAGAACTCTTACCATGTTTACATGACTGCAAGGAGCATACTCTATGTTTGTCTACGTCATAACCACCAAATTAGCATTTAAGTAAACAATGAAGCGGTGAACAATTTGGTGATCTTATACACCACATTAACATCACGTCATTTATATTAATTTGTCATAGTAAGAGAACTGCAAAATAATCTACAGTGAGCTACCTTTTTCCACCTGTCAGATTGTCAAAAATTCCTAATTGTGGTGTTATGGTAGCTGGAACGTGGCCCTCTCTTACATTGCTGGTGGGAGAAAAAATGGCTACAGATTTTTGAAGAGAAATTTGGCAATATTCAAAATTACAAATGCATCTGCTGTTTTCGTTTTGTTTTGTCTTCAGCAATTCTACATCTGGACTTTATCCTACAAATGTTCCTGCGTGTGTATGAAAGAGGGAAAGATTGAAAACAACCCAAGTGTCCGTCCACGGGGACTCTGGTTAAATGAAGTGTGGAATCCCTGCAGTGAACACCAGCCTTCCATAATGGACAGAGGCAGCCCTTCTCTACGCATCAGAAATAACCCAAGATAGAGGAAGCTCTCTCGGTACCCATCAGAAATATCCCCAGACAGAGAGAGCCCTCTGCGTGTCAATCAGAAGTGTGCCCAGACAGAACGTAAGTGAGAAAGGTGCTACGCAGTGTGTAGAATGTGCACTCTTCTGGTACAGAAGAGGAGATCTCCTCATTGTATATTTTATATCTTATAGAACTTTCATTAATGAATCATAGGAATATACCAGCTCTTCAAAAATTAAGACATTATACAAAGTGAAATACTAAAAACAGAAATATGTGTTTTTCTCAAATAATATGCTTCTCAGGAAAGACTTTACAGAAACATCTCTTCTTATCCGAAATTACATCCAAACCCTTTTTTTGTGTGAAGTGTTGCTTCCAGTCTACTAAGGTAATAAGCAAGTAACAAGATAGTATTGTTTGATACTCTTGAACGCACTCTGATTTTCAATTCCAATTTTGTTTGAACCTGTCAGCATTTTGGATCTGGCCCCGTCATGTCCTACCGTCATTTTATTCTTTTGGGAACCTGTCAGCATTTTTGATCTGGCCCCGTTATGTTCTACTGTCATTTTGCTCTTTTGGGTTTTTTGTTTGTTGTTGTTTTTGTTTTGCCTTTGTCAGGACAAATTCCTTTGTATCCCAGTCTTTGAACTTGGTGAAAAATGTCCTTCTTCCTTTCTTATCTCATAGAATCTGGTGCAGCCACTCATTTCAGCTTGAACCTATATATTTTGTGTGATTATTTTATTTTGTTGCTCATGTTAACTAGAGTATAATCTTCATGAAGCCAGGATATATGTTTGCTCACCACTGTATCTTCAAAGCTCAGCATGATGCTCTCACATAATTGTGCTCAATAAATATTTTCCATGGCCAGACGCAGTGACTCACACCTGTAATCCCAGCACTTTGAGAGGCCGAGGTGGGCAGATCACGAGGTCAGGAGTTCAAGACCAGCCTGGCCAACATAGTGAAACCCCGTCTCTACTAAAAATACAAAAATTAGCCGGGCATGGTGGCATGTGCCTGTAATCTCAGCTACTTGGGAGACTGAGGCAGGACAATCGCTTGAATCCAGGAGGTAGAGTTTACAGTGAGCCGAGATCACACCACTGCACTCCAGCTTGGGCAACAGGGTGAGACTTCATCTCAAAAAAAAAAAAAAAAAATCACACTTGATGAATTGTATAGTTGTTGGCACAGATTGAAAGCTATGTGGTGACAATTCAAATTCTAGGTTATTGAACTAGATCACAACAATAATGAGATAAATATTTGCACGAAACAGAAAATCCCAGTGCTTAGAATACAGGCAGCTGCTTGCTGAAGACTTTACTGTAACTATCCATTTGCGCCCTAATTGTTTTTTCTCTGTAGTATGGATGCAGTCTATGGTGATTTTTGTCAAATAAATATACGATCTAGCTCTTTGGGAGCCCATAGTCACAGCAGCAGCTTGTCTTAGGGAGGTTTGAGCATGCTCCCTATCTCCATCAGCCTCCCCTCCCAAGATATTTTAAATAAATATACAATCCATCACAAATCATTTTTCAGGAAAGTGTATCTTCAAGATTGCCCCTAAGGTATCACTTCCAGGTAAATTGCTGCTTGTAATCCTCTTCCACACAGAAATTCTGTTATCTTCACATTCACTCTTAGCTCGTGTCTACTCGAACTGATTTTTTTTAATATATATTTTAAAATGGAAATGACAAGAATTCCTGACTATTCTGAAAATCTGCCATTAAATGCAATCAATTTCTTTCTTTACAAAAGAAATGTGTTCACATAGGCAGAGTGTAGATTCCTGCAAAATGGTGAAGACTGTCTTTGTTCTCCTTTCTTCCAGTTTTCATCTTTCATCGAACAAATCTATTTATGGTGGCTTCTTTTACCAGTTCTTCTGCCTGATCCCCACTGCCACTACTTGGTTATTTTCTGCTATATCTGCCTATATAGTAATCTTCAGAAATATTGCCTTATGGTAATTCTTGGACTCCATAGAAGCGTGATCAAAAACAAAGAGACTGAATGCTCAAACAAACTACAACGATCATAGAACGGGAGTTTTGGACATAACAACTTGTGACAGTTTGTTTTCTTCTAGCATTTTCTTACAAACACCAAGCCCCTTCAGCGTGTTACTGTGGAGGAAGCATGCTGGCACAGTGAACTCAACACCCTCTCCCAGCAAATCCTGGGTCCTTCAGGGACTCCAATGGCCCCTGGGAACCCATTCACACTGCTTGAGTTTTCTCCAGAATCCAGTCCACGTACTCGACCACGTTGGTGTAAACACCTGGCCGCTCCCTTTGAGCACAGCCTTCGCCCCAGCTCGTGATGCCTACCAGATGCCAGACCTCATTGTGTTTGCAGGACAGAGGGCCTCCCGAATCTCCCTAGAACGAGGGGAGACAAGAAAAGGTGCACAGATCAACTCAGACGCTTCCCATCTTCAGCACATCTTGCTCAGGCTGATTTTGCCTAAAATGTTGTCTTGGCCCCTTAATATACTGCAGAGAACCTGGGTGCTTGCGTTCATCCAGTCAATCTCCTTGCTTTTGATTTCAGTCTAAGTCAAACAAATACACTGTGTTCCCTGCTCATTGGCAGAAGACTGCTTTTTAAAATGCATTAAGCGGCCCGGCGCGGTGGCTCACGCCTGTAATCCCAGCACTTTGGGAGGCCCAGGCAGGCAGATCATGAGGTCAGGAGATCGAGACCATCCTGGCCAACATGGTGAAACCCCGTCTCTACTAAAACTAAAAAAAAAAAAGACGCTAGCTGGGCTTGGTAGCTGGCGCCTGTAGTCCCAGCTATTTGGGAGGCTGAGGCAGGAGAATGGCGTGAACCTGGGAGGCAGAGCTTGCAGTGAGCTGAGATCGAGCCACTGCACTCCAGCCTGGGCAACAGAGCGAGACTCTGTCTCAAAAAAAAACAAACAAAAAAAACAAAACAAACAAAAAAACCCCAACGCATTAAGCATTCCAATTTGCATATATTCCATTGGCTAAGAACACTCTGTTACCTTGCAAGCGTCCTTCCCTCCTTCCCTGTAGCCGGCACAGATCATCTTATGGGTTATTTTATGTCCTCTGTATCTCTTCTGGCACTCTTCGTTGGTCACTAAGGGTATCTTGGCTTTCTGGAGAGTATTTTGTATTTTGTCTGAAAAAAATTTTTTTGGTTCGTTTGTAGAATAACCATACACAATACACATAAACATATATGCATACATATAAATATATATATATATATATTTTTAATTGAGACGGAGTCTCTTTCTGTCGCCCAGGCTGGAGTGCAGTGGTGCAATCTCAGCTCACTGCTACCTCCACCTCCCAAGTTCAAGCGATTATCTTGCCTCAGCCTCCCGAGTAGCTGGGATTACAGGCACACACCACCATGCCCAGCTAATTTTTGTATTTTTAGTAGAGACAGGGTTTCACCATGTTGGCCAGGCCAGTCTTGAACTCCTGACCTCAAGTGATCCACCCATCTTGGCCTCCCAAAGTGCTGGGATTACAGGCGTGAGCCACCAGTGGTGCTGGGCCACATATATTTAAAATAAAAATCATGGACGGGTGTGGGGGCTCACGCCTGTAATTCCAGCACTTTGGAAGGCCGAGGCAGGTGGATCACGAGGTCAGGAGATTGAGACCATCCTGGCTAACATGATGAAACCCCGTCTCTACTAAAAATACAAAAAATTAGCTTGGGGTGGTGGTTGGGTACCTATAATCCCAGCTACTCGGGAGGCTGAGGCAGGAGAATCACTTGAACCCGGGAGGTGGAGGTAACAGTGAGCCGAGATCGTGCCACTGCACTCCAGCCTGGGCGACAGAGCGAGAGTCCATCTCAAAACAACAACAACACAAAACTCATGTCTATATAAAAATCTAGAAGGAAAAAATGTTAGATTTACTTCACAGACCTTTTATAATTACAAGTATGAAGAAGACATTATTCCCACTATTGCGTGTACCATTTTGTTAATGTTAATTAAGTTCAAAAATTAATTATGACTCTAACTGGAATGACTTCCCAAGAAAGTAATTGGATAGCAGGCTAGAACATTTACTGAAAAGTGCTAGGCTTCACATTAAACTTCATTAAATATAATTAGTCTTTAAAGAGATTTAGTCACATTTAAAATTTCCAATCAAACATATGAGGCACCAGCCTCACTTGGGTGATTTTTGCCTCTCCATCTTTATTAATCCGCTTCCTGCAACTGAGTAGTGTGACTCGAGTTGTGCTTCAGCTACATGACTTGACAGGGCAGAAAAGGTTCCGCTCTTCATTTCTAGGATGGAGCACATATAACAACATCATTTTTACCTCTTAGTTTTCTGTACCCCCATCCAGTCACCCAGCAATCAGTGTATATTACATTTCTATCTCCTTTGGAAGGCAGGCATATGGGTCGTTGAGAATCTAAATTTAAAAAATCGTGGTTTAAATATGAGACGCAAAATATATCCTCTTTTCCAGAAGAGACTCTTCTTCCACTGTACATTATCTGTGTTTTCTTTGTTTACTATATTCATTTTTTGCCTTGTTGTCGTGTATTTTCCTCCCTCAGGTTCAGCACGATATCGCACATGTGCCAGGATGAGAGGGCGAGAGAGAGACAAGCCTCACCCTCACCGCTAACTCCTCATCCAACTCACTTTGATCCTGCACAAGTTGCTTAATTGTTCTAACCTTCAATCCTTCATCCCTAAATTATCTTTAATAAATTATCTTTAGACTAAATTATCTTTACTATTCCAAAGTATTATGAAATTATGTCATTCTATGCACCTGAAGAAGACTCAGGAAAACGTATCTCTTTACCCACATTCCCAAAATAAGTTTCAATAGCCAGGAAAGTGTGTCAGCCTTAGCAGAGTGAATGACTAGCATTCCAGGCCCTCTCCCTTTCATGATGATAACGCATGGAGAGATTG
This sequence comes from Homo sapiens, assembly GCF_000001405.40. NCBI lineage: Eukaryota > Metazoa > Chordata > Mammalia > Primates > Hominidae > Homo > Homo sapiens. The sequence continues at coordinate 186,285,899 of NC_000004.12, read as the reverse complement.
GCAGGGTCAGGCCGTAAGTCTAGTAGTGTTAAACATTTTATCCAGTTCACCATTGGAGACAACTTTCCGGATAAAATTCTCCGTACCTGTGTAATTCACTGTGGTTTCCAGTTTCAACAAGGCAATATCATACCCGCTTTCTGCCATTTTATACTGATCATGGATTATTATTTCTTGAACCCCAAAGAAAGATGTGTCCTCTTTTATTTCAGATTGATTTAAAATGCCACTGTAGACACGCAAAATCTTAGGTGACTCTACCCTAAGGAGCAAACAACAGAGGGAAAGAAATTTCCTTTACTAAAAATAATTCCCAGACATTGTGAAGTGTGTGGCTGTTTAATTATTACTAATATTTTCTGCCAATGATGGACATTTAGGTAGAAAAAAGTGATTTTATCCTAAGATTTTTCGGGATAAAAAACATATTCACCCTATAAAGAAAATCCATTATACACAAAAAATGAATGAGCACTCCCTCCGTGCTCCAACACACACACACGCACACACCCGCACACGCACACACAGACACGCACACACACGCACACTGCACAGACACACACGCACACACACACACGAAGACCGCTGGACTCAGTCTCAATCTCGCCAGTAACTAGCTGTGACAGAAACTAGGCTTTCTGCTACTCCATTCCCATATGTGACAGGTAACGGGAACTCTTGGCCTCACATGTGTTCTTGAGTTTAACATGAGTGTGCTGCAGATTGATTAAAAAAGAAAACCAAAACTAAAAAGCACACAAAACTGTGTCTGGAAACAACTCGGAGGATACTGAAGTAGCAAACGGAAAGTTTGGCCAACTTAACTTCCCTGGAATATATATACCCCCAGCTGGAGCCTTTTTGTTTGGCCAACGCTGAAAGTGACCTAAGTAAGGAATCCAATGTGAGGATGCATACCGAACTCGTTCTGTATTTTATTTATTTACTTAGAGATAGGGTCTTGCTCTGTTGCTCAGGCTGGAGCACAGTGGCACTGTAGTAACTCACTGCACCCTTGAACTCTTGGGCTCAAGCAATCCTCCTACCTCAGACTTCTGAGCAGCTGGTGCTACAGGCACACAAAACACCATGCCAGGCTAGTTTTTAAATATTTTTTAGAGACGAGGTCTCACTATGTTGCCCAGGCTGACCTCAGACTCCTGGCATTGAGCAATCCTCCCACCTCAGCCACCCAAAGTGCTGAGATGACAGGCGTGAACCACCACACCTGGCCACTTTCTGTATTTAAACACACACGCACACACACACACACACATATTAGAAATTTGATTCAGACAATGGTAAATCCTCTGTGAGTTTAGTTCCGGGCACAGTGCACAGAGCGAGGCACAGAGGGAGGTATGCTCTTGCAGGGAATAACATGAAGGCCCTTGGGGATGTGAATGCGGTTAAATGGGAAGCGGAATAGCAGGCAGTCAAGCAGCCTTGTACCTGCACCTGTTCTGATGCTGGGAGACCATGAGCTCTTCCTTTTTGCGTTTTTTACCACTGAAGCAATTAATTAATTTTGCAAATAAGACAATCTAATTGGTTAAAGTATTTATTTCCTAACATGCTAGTAATATTTTTTATAAATGTGTGAAGAAGATGAACTAATAAAAACAGCCGTGGTACTGACCCATAGAAACAGTGAGCGGCTGTTAATATCCACTGGTTTCCAATGATGGAGCCTCCACACAGGTGTCTCTGAGTGGGTGAGGTTGTGTGCAGGGTCACCTGCCACGGCCACTCACCACGAACAGACGCAGTTCCTCCAACGATCCTGGGCTTGATTTTGGTGGTACACTCTGCAACAGAAGCATTGTGATGAGCAGCTTCCTACATCTTCCTTTCCATCAGTAATTATGCTCCTTCAGGAACAAGAAGAAAACCTTTCCTCAAGTCAATAGTTTATCATGACCCTGAGTTACAGAGACTTTATAATCAAGCTGCCAAAGCAAAACATGCACATGAAAAATGGAATTGACTAAGTCATCTTGTAATTACACACCCCTAAGAATGTAGCCCTCCTTGTGTGGTACTACAAGGCTGTCTTACCCTCCTTCAAATGATAACGTGAATGGTGTTTTTAAACCAGTGGTTGTCAAGTGCAGTCTCCAGACCAACAGCGTCACCTGGGAACGTGTTAGAAATGCACATTCTTCAGCCCAACCTCAGATCCAGTGAATGAGAAACTCCAGCCTGGAAGCTCAGCCATCTGTGTTTGAACCAGCCCTGCTGGCGTTTGAGAACTGCTCTTAGAAAGAAAAGGCAAGCACCTTGCCCGCAGGCTGCAGCCATTGTCCAGTTCCTGCCCTGTCCCAGTGACTCTGCTGACCATGATCCCAGTCACTCCTGCTCCACCCACGTCCAAAGTAAGACTGATCTGCTATGAACTTCCTCTGACCTTTGGCCTTGTTGACAGTTTGGGATTCTCTGGGGTCCTTGGTACTTTTCAGGGACTTTGACTCAGGCTCATCCCTCTGTTTCTTTTCTCTTGGGGCTGCCTAGACAGGACAGTGCCCTCTATTTCTACTTACTGGATGCCCGACACAAGAACCCACCCTCCCGGTTGGAGCCATGGAACACAGATGGATGGGAATAGGGTGTTCGTAGACAGCAGTATTCTAGACACACACACACACACGTGCACACAAACACACGCACACATACATGCGCACACACACGCACACACCTATGCGACTCAAAATTTATGTGCCTGTGGGTTGCCTGTGTAGCTTTCAAAATGCAGATTCTGACTCAGTAACATCTGTGTGGGTCCTGAAATTCTTTCTAACAAGCTCCCAGGTGATGTCAATGTGCTGTGCCCAGATCACATTTAGAATAACCAGGCTCAGGTGCTCAGAAGGCTCCGCGTCCTGAGCTAAGGGAGGAGTCTAAGTTAACAGAAGAATCACTGATGAGAAGCCGGGTCCTAGAAGGTCCATTCACTAGTTTTGTGGGTGTAAAACAACCTTTCTAGGCCTTTTTTTCCTTGGTAGGAAAATGAGTGTATAATTCTGGGGCAGATTTCAAATAGGAGGAGAGGATGAGAGAAGGAGTTCGGAAGGAAACAGCAGCTAACAGCAACTGAGGTGAGAACGAGCACGATGTGACTTCGGAAGCCTGAACAGAGGCTCTCATTTTAGAGCCGGAAGGGTGAACATTCATTTTGGAGGGCCATCTATTCTGGAATTTCTGCAAGGTGGGAAGCGTCATAAAGGTAAATTTTAGGAAAATTAATAGGTAAATAGTAACTAAGATATTTTAGAAATAACTCAAGGTCCAGGTGAGAGGCCTTGAGGTTCATCCTATGCTGTTTCTCAGTTTAAACGAAATGCTGAAAATATGTGTTTAGAATCATATTTTGTGGTAAGAAATGTTTATTTTAATGGTGCTGCTATCTATCTTCAGAAAGTTAAGTTACATTGTAGACCAGTGACAGACAAGGCACCATAAATATCTCACGCAGCTATTCCCTTTCACATTAGGGGGTTATTTCATCAAATACAGCGCAGTAAAAACCTAGTTATCTAATTCACTCCCTCCAAAGTTGCACTGAAAAGACGTAAGACTTTATTTTCCTTTATCTTACATTTTCTCCTGTAGCTATCAATCTATACCTGGCATATTCTGTAACTTCTACAGGCCAGAGTCTATAAATCCAACAGAGAAAACCATAATGAAGAAGGAAGGGGGAAAATGCAGTCTGCAATGTATTGAGGTATACGTGCTCATTCCCATTTTATTAAACCATGTCAACATTACTTAACAGCAACATTTGCTAAGTGTCCCTTCTAACGCTTAGAAGTAGAAGAAAGACAACAGAATGGTGCCGAATGCTCCTTCTTGTCTTAGGGAAATTTATTGTGAGGAAAACAGAATGTATGAGATACGACGTAATTGACTTGCTTTTTAAGAAGTCTTGAGCCATCCAGAGATTTTCATCGGAGCGCCTCTAAGCTCTAGGAAGGCATAGTCTGTTAGTTAGGATACCAGTGTTGGAGGCAATATAACGTCTTTATGTTCTACAAAACAAGTTCTCAGAAATTAAGGATTGATTCGCCTTCTCGGTACAGCAGATAATCTGACACAGAATGTTTTTGTGCTTCTAAAACTATCACGAGGCAGGATTGTTACTTCCATTTTATTCATTAAATCTCAGTTGCACCTTATAGTGTATTGTAATATTGGACATTTGGCAATAAACAGTATAAGAACATGCAGCTTTATGTAAATCAATATATAGTAAAGCCATCCTAAGTTACTATGGTAATTTAAGCAGGAGTGTTTGTGGTGTGTTCTTTCCTGTTGGGGATTTTGTCCCTTAGAACAATTCTGTTTGCCTACAAAGCATCTCTCGTGACTATGCTCAGAAATTGGCCACTGGGATGGAAACACTGCTGGTTGGATTTTTATTGTAACTTTTATGTTATTACAGGTCTCGTGTAATCTAAACACTTATTTCCATCCTACCACACTCATTGTTACTAGTAAAGTTTTACCTTAACCTTTGCCAATCCCTAAGTCTCCAGAACCCTGCATGGAATCTGAATAAAGACCCTAAAAAGGAGGTGCTCCAGTATTTCTTGAATAGATACACAATTTTTGGAAGAAAATTAGTAATTTGACTAACCAAAGTGCTGATCGATAATTCCCTTACAAAGGATAATAGGAAAGATTACTGGCCTTGATAACAGGAGTGTTGGCAGAGTCTGGGTCTCATTAGGAAATGCCAGTTGTGGCTGGGTGCAGTGGCTGAAGCCTGTAATCCCAGAACTTTGGGAGGCCAAAGCGGGAGGATTGCTTGAGCCCAGGAGTTCAAGACCAGCCTGGGCAACATGGCAAGATCCCATCTCTACAACAAATTAGCCGAGTGTTGTGGTGCACGCCTGTAGCCCCAGCTACTCAGGGAGCTAAGGTGGGAGGATTGTTCGAGTCCAGGAGTTCAAGCCAGAGGCTGCAGTGAACACTGACCACATCACTGCACTCCAGCCTGGGCAACAGAGTGAGACTGTGTCTCAAAAAAAAAAAAAAAAAAAAGAAAGAAAGAAAACAGAAATGCCAGGTGTATAAATGTGTCAAATTAAAGCATATATTTAGTTAATACTAGGCAATGTACAGTTTAGTCAAGCCTCAATATTTACCTTTAAAACATGGTCAGCTTGAGTGACAGGAGTGAAAATAATAGAAAATTGCAAAATTTGTTATTTCCTGAATGTTCTCCCTTCTGTGGCTATAACTGACAGTCTTGATTGTGATGTATGAAGCATGGAATAATTCCTTCAGCTATATTTTTTCAAGTGACATTATACTCACCATTATCCATTTTACACAACCTTAATGTGTATCCAGAGATGCCTCCTCTCCCGTGAAGTATTTTAGTTGGAGATCCGTTTGAAGAAAGCTTTAAGTAACACTTGCCCCTGCAGTTGGAAACAAAACGGTATAAACATAATGCACCTCACAGGCAGACGGGACAAGGGTGTCTGCATAACCCTTCATATGGCTTACTTCCCTTCGTTGCAGGATGCTTGGGCTGGGGTATAGGTAAAAAACTGGCAGCGGACGGCATTGGTGCACAGTTTCTGGCAGGCCTCGTGACTTTTTGCAGCAACAATATCCAGTTCTTCTCCCAAGAAATCAGTGTCATGGTAAAATGAAGAATGGCAGAACACTAGACAGCAGACCACATGTCAGAGTGAGACCCTCCCTCAGCATGTATCAGCCTCCTCGGGGCTGGTCACTCTCAGCCAGAATGCAGAACTCTCAGTTTACCTGGGATGCTGTGCCTGCAGCTTTGTAGACTGAAACCAGAAAGAGCTTTGCTCTTTTTAATGCGTGTACTGGGCAATCCACTCTCAGATGTTTTAAGGAGACAAAGATTTCTAACAAAAACAAAAGGGAAGTAGAAATATATCATATCAAACACATAAAAACATTTTTACAGCACCTAGAGAAAGTAAAGTCAGCTCATGCTAGCACTTAGTTGTGAAGATTTTCCTATTTTGAAAGTACTCTTCATAAACCACGGAGTTACACCCATAAACCATGGAGTCACACTCCATGGCCCTTAGGTTGCAGACAAATTTTCTAACTAAATCACCTCCATAAAAATTTTCTGAGCTTGCTCTATTGTCAGTCTTCCTAGTATCTTCCCTTTTCATTTCCTTCCTTTCAACACTCCCAGCCTATCTTAAAGATTCAAGAGTCTTCATGCTACCTAGAAACCTCCTATCCAGGGTTGCAATAGGTTTATAAGGAGATGGGTGAAGTCCGTCGTTTACTCCACACCCTGGAAGCATCTTCCTGGAAAAGAGTGACTTTTCCTAAGTAGACAAAATCACAGTCTAGAGCAAGACTGTCCATAGATCTTTCTGCAGTGATGGAAATATTCTATGCCTGTGCCATCCAATACAGTAACTGCCAACTACATGTGGCTATTGGGCACTTGAAATGTGGCTAACACAGCTGGGAAGGTGAATTTTTAGTTTTATTTAAAATTTTTTTTTTTTTTGAGACATAGTCTTTCTCTTGTCACCCAGGCTGGAGTGCAGTGTCGCGATCTTGGCTCACTGCAACCTCCGCCTCCCGGGTTCAAGTGATTCTCCTGCCTCAGCCTCTTGAGTAGCTGGGATTACAGGCACATGCCACCACACCTGGCTAACTTTTGTATTTTTAGTAGAGACGGGGTTTCACCATGTTGGCCAGGATGGTCTCGTACTCCTGACCTCGTGATTCACCGCCTCGGCCTCCCAAAGTGCTGGGATTACAGGCGTGAGCCACTGCACCCAGCCAGTTTTATTTAATTTTAATAAATTTAAATTTAAATTGCCAAGTTTGGGCTTATAGAAGCCATGTTCCTATCACATACTGTATTAAAGATCAAATGTGTTATTCCTATTCTAGGAATTGGTCAGTAAGGTAATAAGACAAAGAAAAAGAGCAGTGACTAGCACAAAATTACAAGTGACAATGACATCTTTCTTATTTCTAAACTTCCAATGTCCCAAGGCTTGATCTTTGGACCTACTTTCTTCCCTCTCTGCATTTAACCCTTTGATAATTTCACTAGATTTTTAAAAAGTATCAGCTGTATATTGGTGACACCTAAACACAGATGTCCACATAAACCTCTCTTCTGAATTTGACTTCTATTTCCAGTTGCCAATTCAACCCTTTGCCCTAGATGAGCCAAGGGCATTGCTTCTCCTACACTCTGCTGCTTGCGAAATCCTCCACATTCTGTCATTGACATTTCCATCTTTCCAGTTCCTTGGGCCAAAAGTCTTGGTGCTATCACTGACTCCTTCACAATCCGTGGTCCAACCTATCAGCAAATCTTATTGGCTGTCTGCTGATAACACAGATCGATCTGGTCACTTCTCTCTCATCTCCACTCTGGTCCAATAGGCAAAGTTTTTGTCGATTTAGTTCACTAAATGGTATCCCCAGCCTTCAGAACAATGCCTGATACATAATAAGCACCAAACAAATTCTACTAAATTTGTTTAGTAAGTGATGGTAACAGATATATTTTCATGTGACAGACCCGGTGCTTCTGAAATGACAGCCTCACTCAGTGGAAAGTGAGGCTCATGTGATAGGCAAGGCACACAGGGCCTCCCTTGGCTGAGTTGTCTGGAGGACAACTTTTCATCAACAGGAGGCCAATCAGGCAAGTGCTGAGGGCTCTGAGAGTTCCAATTCAGAGATATATACAAGCCAGGTTTTAAAGCTGACTTAATTTTACGGATATTTGTTTGCTTGTTTAAGTGAATGTTGTCAATGAGGAATAGCAAGCTGGGCATAGTGGCTCAGGCTTGTAATCCCTGCACTGTGGGAGACCAAGGCAGGTGGATTGCTTGAGGCCAGGAGTTCTAGACCAGCCTGGCCAACATGGCGAAACTCTGTCTCTACAAAAAAACAAACATTAGCTGGGGGTGGTGGTGCACACCTGTGGTCCCAGCAACTTGGGAGGATGAGACGGGTGGATTGCTTGAGCCTAGGAAGTGGAGGCTGCAGTGGGCTGAGATCACACCCAGTGCAACCAAATCTGAGTGACAGAGCAAGACCCTGTCTCAAATAAATAAATAAATAAAAGAGGGACAGCAACCTTAGCTAGTGTACTTTTGATAATCAAAGAAATTTTCCATGCTGTTTCTGATGTCCTATGTTAATTTCCATTGGTAAGGAAACAGGGACTCAATTCTCAAACCTCCCTCCACCACCACCCTAACCCACTTGATGGAGACATTCATTTCCACCTCTCTCTCTCTCTCCACTTTGGGTTTGACATTTCACTGACATTTTCAGCTCTTTCTGTTCCTGGTTCAATTATTTTAAACAAAGCATTGGACTGAATTGTCTTTTAGTTGTCATGAAATGGAAATGGAATCTCTTCATTTCATTTAGAACTAGACAACTGCCCCTTTGCCAAGGTGGAGACCTCCAGCAATCCCACTACTGGGTACATAGCCAAAGGAAAAGAAAGAAAAAAAAATCATGTCACAAAGATACCTACACTCACATGTTTACTGCAGCACTATTCACAATAACAAAGATATGGATCAACCTAAGAGTCTATCAGCAAATGAATGGATAAAGAAAATGTGGTGTATAGAATATACTATAGAATGTTACTTAGCCATAAAAAAATCATAAAATCATATCTTTTGCAGCAACATGGATAGAACTGGAGGCTATTATCTCAAGTGAAACAACTCAGAAACAGAAAGTCAAATATTGTAGATTCTCACTTTTAAGTGGGAGCTAAATAAAGTGTACACAGGCACAGAGACAGTGGAATGAAAGCTATTGGAGACTCAGAGAGTTGGGAGGATAGAGGAGGGTGAGGCAGGAGAAATTATCTAATGGGAATAATGTATACTATTTGGCTACACTGAAAGCCCAGACTTCACCACTACACAGTATATCCATGTAACACAACTGTACCTGTACCTAAAATTTATTTAGGTGAAGTAATATTTATATTTATTTTAAAATTTACTGGCCGGGCACGGTGGCCCAACCCTGTAATCTCAGCACTTTGGGAGGCCGAGGCAGGTGGATCACCTGAAGTCAGGAGTTTGAGACCAGCCTGGCCAACATGGTGAAACCCCATCTCTACTAAAAATACAAAAAAAATTACTGGGCGTGGTGTCCCATGCCTGTAGTCCCAGCTACTCAGGAGGCTGAGGCAGGAGAATCGCTTGGACCTGGGAGGCGAAGGTTGCAGTGAGCTGAAATCATGCCACCGCACTCCAGCCTGGGCAGCAGAGCGAGACTCCATCTCAAAAAAAAAAAAAAAAAAAAAAGAGTCCTCGGTAATGTTGGGTTTGTGGTAAGTAGGTGGGGAATAGAAAGGGAGAGGGGCTAGAAATTCTTTGCAACTTTTATCCTATACTGACATTTAGAGTAAATTTTTAGTTACTTGGAATTTTTAATGATGGATTTTGATCAGCTATTTTTAGAAGATAACAAATTATCCTTACTTGTTAACTCCTTACCTTTGAGATTCTTTGGGCCATTCCTGGGAAAAGAAGGTAAAAAACAAGCAACCGGGATGATGAGTGCAGATTCGGCCACAGACAAAAGCATCGGGAGCCATGACACTGTCGATGTTGCTGTCTGCAAACACCGTATTAGGGAAAATGTCCCTAATACAAGCTGCGCGACGGAAGAACTATGTCAGGGACTCAATTCACCAGCTATCAGGAAAATTCCGGTCACAGTATGTGTAAATTCCATATTAAAAAATTTAAGTGTATCCCAAGATCTTTTAATTTTTTTTTATTTAGAAGAAAATGGCATGATTATTTTAAACTGGAAATTTAAATAGAGGATCTAACTGTATAGGACATGATGAAATCTATCACATGAAGAAGGTAAAGATCTTTGGGTCCGTTTCATCGTGAGCATAAGCTGGTATCCTGAGTGAGATCTACTGTAATCATCAGCATATTTAATGGTTGAATTACATCATCAAGAAGTCGATAATTACCCAGATTAGAAAGTGCACAGGATTTCAGTGAAAATCCAGACACCACTTTATCGAGCTTCGTTATTCTGGTTGGTGTCCCTGTTTGGGTGTGCTTCAGTAGACAAATGTTACTGAATAAAAAGAAAAAGGAAAAGTGTCTTATTCTTCCAACTGCAAGGAGGAAAAAACATGAGATATTAAGAAAGTCCCCTTTGGAGAGAGGACCTGCGAGACCCCGAAGCATCCATCTGGGAGGCTGAATGGCTGGGCATGGTCCCAGCAGTGTTGCTAAGCACCTGTGAATTGTGTAAGTTTATTTCTTCTTCAGTATAATGACAGCTTGAGAGAGTGACCACATGAAGAAGGAGAGTGCATGAATGAATGACTTCTCAAGCCCTTCTCATTTTTTGTTTTTTTTTATTTGAGACGGAGTCTCACTCTGTTGCCCAGGTTGGAGTGCAATGGCACGATCTTGGCTCACTGCAACCTCCGCCTCCTGGGTTCAAGCGATTCTCTTGTCTCAGCCTCCCAAGTAGCTGGGATTACAAGCGCCCACCACCGCGCCTGGCTAATTTTTGTATTCTTTTTTAGTAGAGACGGGGTTTCACCATATTGGTCAGGCTGGTGTCGAACTCCTGACCTCAGGTGATCTGCCCGCCTCGGCCTCCCAAAGTGCTGGGATTACAGGTGTGAGCCACCGCGCCTGGCTAAGTCCTTCTTACTTTTAATGACTTAACTTTATCTTGCTTAGAAACCTCCAATTTCTTGTCTTGCAGTTCACATTCTGTTAAGTCTTAGACATAAAAGCTGTCGTCTGAGCTGAGCTAAAGATAAGCCTTACAAGTCAAATCATGAATTTAGGGGTTTGGTGTGTGTGTTTTTCACCACTGTTGTTTTTGAAATAACTCGTTGATGCTTTGTTTGCTTTCTGTTCACTCCTCTTTGTGAATGTGGAGAGCAGAATGTTAAAATCCAATGTTAAAACGCAAGTATTAGTAATTTGAATGTTTTTCACTTTTCTGTTGATTCCAGATAAATGCAGTTTACTATGAAAATCTAAATCATCTCAAATATTTCTGAATATACAAATTAATAATCTATTTCCCTAGTAAATTTTTAAAGATGAGAACACAGATTTGGTTATTAGAGATCAGATAATTTTTAAATCCTTATGTGATAGATTTATCCTTGAAATATTTCAAAATCCAGTATGGAGCAGGATAAGACTTTTTACATGAGTATTTTGTCTTAGGTAAGGAACTGTTATTTAGAGAGAGAGAGAGTAGGTTTTTATTTTTATTCTGTTAGACTGTAACATTTTTTAGACTGGGAAGGGCACTGACAATCATACCAATTGCAGCTGTTTCAAAAGTGCCAATTTAAAAGTGTAGCGCTTTTGAAATTAGCCAAGTATATATATTTTTCTGACAGTGTTATTAAAAGATAGACTCCTTACCATAAATGAAATGCATCCAAATTAGGCTTTAAGTGTATTTTTCATGAAGAAAACTAGGAGTACTATTATAGAAATGTCTTTTAGGGGTTCAAAATAAATTCTGGCATAAAGTTGATGGCAAAAGCTTTTTAGTAAATCACGATTCTGTTTTTCATCGACCACTCGAATGTCCTGGGACTCACTCACCGATGCTCCAGGCTGGGAAACTGCCTTGTGGCGTACGTGAAAAAGTGGCAGTGGACGTCATCCGTGCATCTTTCTTGGCATTCTTGAGCACTCTTGGCAACTGAGCTGTTATAGTTTATGCCCTTCATGTCTAGGTCCACATAAATGTCTTTGTTGCAAGCTGGAAATAAAAGCAGAAGACATGAGTACCTTCCAGATTCTAGGGGCAATGACCTAAGCAACTGTCCCTCCTGACTCATCCTTTCAACTTTTTCACCCACCTTTCCTCAGAGGTCTTTCGTTATATTAATCTGCAAAATTCTTATTCTTGAATGGAAGCAGTAAAAGAATGCCAATGTCCTTCTTACACTGTAACAATTTTAGACTTGTAAATTCACATTTTGATTTTCTGACCTAGCCTCTCTTCTCCCTAACTGCACTGATTATTTCGCTAATTAACTGATTCAAGTATCTATTCACTATTAAGACAAGTGTCACTTCAACCTTTATATTTGCTCCTTTCAATTTGGATTAATACGTTTAATAAAGAATTTCGACTGGGCACCATGGAATCCCGGCACTCTGGAAGGCCGAGGCGGGCAGATCACTTGAGGCCAAGAGTTTGAGACCAGCCTGGGCAATACAGTGAGACCCTGTCTCTAGGAAAAATGAACAAATTAGCTGGGAATGTTGGTGCATGCCTCTGGTCCCAGCTACTCCAGAGGCTAAGGCAGGAAGATCACTTGAACCCAGGAGGTTGAGGCTGGAGTGAGCTGTGATTGCACCACTGCACTCCAGCCTGGACAACAGAGTGAGACCCTGTCTCAAAAAAAAAAAGACTTTCATTTAAGATTTTAGGCTGGGAAATAGAAAGAATATAAATAAATGATGGGAAGTGAGGTAGTAAGATATGTCTTTCTATGAGGTAAAGAGGTTTTTACAGTGTGTTGGAGGGCAGGCATGTATGTATACTAGTTTATACTCTACACTGAAAGAACTTCATTAAGGGGGTTTATTTCCACATAGCAGTGTTTCATTTCATAGCCTTAAAACCACATCCGATGTGGCGATATGTGTACATCACAGCTGGTATTTGTTGATTCTGAGAACATATCTTACCGCTTATTTGGTGTGAGCATTGCTTGAAAGAATACCCAGAAATCGCTGCTGTCCTATTCACTCTTGGCAGTGTTTCTGTAACACTGTCTTTCAGGACACAAGTAAACCTGTTTTTTTAAAAAATACATATTAATGAATAGGAATTTATGTTTTTAAAATAATGGATCTTAAAAGTCAGCACACAGAAAGCCAAAAAGAAGGAAACAAACTACTTTATCTCATGCCAAAACAAATATTTTCTTAGCAAGATTCTGAGTTTGTTTTTTACTTCAATATCCCTACACTTAAGAGACTGCATGTAATACTCCTTTCTAATAGGAACAAACAGGAATGTGTCAACTAGGACCTGTTGGTAAAATGCAACCAAAAATCTGTGTGTTTCTGTTTAGCCTGTTAGCTATACAAAATGATTTTTATATTTTCAAATTGTTACATTTTAAGTGGTGACATAAATACTTAAATAATATCCTTGGCTTTACTGTGGGTTTTGCCCACAAAGCCTAACATATTTACTCTGCGTTATTAAGAAGACATTTGCCAATCCCTGCTCTAGGTTCTGGAATAGTAAATTTTATAAGTTCTGGGTGCTACATAAATGCCTGTGAATGTAGCAATAATAAAGATGTTGAAAACTTAATTCTACAGAAAGGCTTATTATTAAATTTTCAAGCTCAGGATGGGAATACAAATGGTTGGTGGACTGTTTAAAATGTTTTAAACCTGACAAACCACCCAATGCAGTGAGTGACTCTTGGTAAGATTCTGGTTAATTACTATAAATTATATTTGAGGGAAAACTGAAATAATATAAAGGAATTCTTGTTAAATTTCGTATGTCTTTTGTGTAGGATAGTGCATGCTGAAGTATTTAGGGGTAAAGTGTCATGTTTTAAAATTATTTCAAACGGTTAAACATGTATACAAATATAGGTATTGTATATTGTATATTGCTGTACAAATATAGCAAACATTGCGGTTTTGGTGGTGGCAGGGGGATCACTGTACTGTACTTTTTTTCAAATTTTCTTTTTAAATATTTTATTTTTTTCTAATAAAATAGTTGGGAGAAGTTCCAGTTTGTTGAGAAGCACGACAAAAATTAATAATCGATAGAAAAGCAAAGTGTGAAATGTTTAAGAAGTGTAAAAATTGAGACAAACAGAAGAAACATACCATTAATATGAGACTATAGGAGAGGCTGGAAAGTCTACACTTGGAGGCATATTTATTCTTTTCTAAATTGCGTAAACACCATCACTTCTTTCTGTAACAATATTTCAACTGAAAGACAATTTATCTTCCAGTTGTTAATGTTAAATTTTATAAAATGTTAGATGGAAATGTGTTAAGAATAGCAATCTCCCTTTAAAAATCTGTCTCCTCGATGTAGAAACATAAGCATTTACCATCGGGTGGGATCCTCAGATGGTGATTCCGCCGTGAAAGTGAAGAGTAAACATCTTGGGTGGTAAGTGCAGACTACCTGGCAGTACTTGGCGCTTGGTGTGAAGACCGTAGTAATGTCCCCTCCTTCAAAGCAGGTGTCCTTCAACAACTGAGTCACACATTCTGTGATGTAGTACATGGCATGCGTTATGTTGGATTTTACTGGGCATACATCTAGTTAGGTGGTAATCTCATAAAGGCAAGGCAAGTAGCTCTACTTACCAGGAAATACGCCTGAATTTGGAAATCAAGGCAATAAACACTTTTATGTGAGTTTATTGAATGAACAGCCTCAGGTGGAAACGAAAATCACAAAATGGTACGTTGGCTTCAATGGAATTGTGCTTATGAGTGATTGTCTTGGAGACAAGGAGTGCTTTGAGGGTAATTGAATCATTTCAAGGATCTTTACTGGCAAAAGCTGCTGCTTTTTAGGATCTCATCCAGGTCTGGAACGAGCCTTCTGCTTTTTCCTTTCCTAATTGCGTCTCTTTATCCAAACCCTGTGCTTATTTGAAACAAAGACTTCAGAGTGATCACTTTCTGACAGCATCTGATGGCTCGGGGGTGTGATAACACACATCCTCACCCCATTGAGAATAATTTGGAAACCCCACCGTGGAAACCCCACCTTTTGGTGGAAAGCAATCTTGCTACATTAAAATAGTACTTTTAAGAAGAATATTAACTGATGAATCAAATAAATGTTCTATATTTAATAATGCGGAGTGGGCGCAGTGGCTCATGCGTGTAATCCCAGCACTTTGGGAGGCTAAGGTAGGTAGATTGCTTGAGCTGAGGAGTTCAAGACCAGCCTGGGCAACATGGCAAGACCCTGTCTCTATAAAAAATACAAAAAAAAAAAAAAATACTAGCTGGGCATGGTTGTTTCCACCTGTAATCCCAGCTACTCGGGAGGCTGAGGTAGGAGGATCTCCTGAGCCTGGGAGTTTGAGGCTGCAGTGAGCTGTGATTTTACCACTGCAATCCAGCCTGGGCGACAGAGCAAGACCCAGTTTCTCTCTCACTCTCTCTCATGTGCACATGCGCACACACGTGTTCTGTGTGTGTGTGTGTGTGTGCATCATGCACTAATTTCCTTAGAATATATCCCCCTCCTAATTGGATTATTTAATTTTACAAGACAAATTGATTTTCAATATGCCACTAGATGGGAGGATGGGAGTGGGGTGAGCGTTGAAAAATTACCTGTTGGAGGCTGTGTTCACTACTTGGGTGATGGGTACACCAAAAGCCGGCACTTCACCGCCGCATAATATATGTATGTAAGAAATCTGCACTTACACCCCCTAAACATATAAACATTTAAAAATTTTTGGAAAACAATTTTGGAAAAAAACTCTGCACACGTTGAGTACAGATACAATTTTTTAAAAAATATTTCACGTCAAGGTTGTTTGAGTGCATGGATGTGGAACACATGGAACACATGCTGCTTCTAGTGTCAGTAAAAACTAGTTCATCTGCTTTTGCGAACGAGCAAGTGCTTGCTGTTGTATATTGACGTTGTATCGAGACTTCTTACTCATTTAATTAATTGGCTCAAATAATTTATGTGATGGTTAATTTTGGATTTTTCTAGGTACTCAATCACATCATCTGTGAAAAACGAGAGCTTATGTTCCTCCTAATCGTTTTCCTTTTATTTCCCTTCCTTACCGCACCAACGAGTACCTCCAGTCAAGAGTAAATGGAAATAATGGGAAGTATTCTTGTCCTATTCTCAATCCCTTGGGAAAGCTTTCAATATTCCGCTATTACGTATTATGTTTCTTGAAGATTTTTGGTTTGGATTTTTGTTTGCTTTTGTTTAAAATATCGTTTAATAGCTGATGAAAGTTCTCTTCCATTTCCAGTTTATTTAAAGTTTTGATCATTAATAGAATTTTAGCAAGCATTTTTCGGCACATATTAACATTTAAAATTATTTTTATTTTTTATTATGACAGATAGCATACCATGTGCCATGTAGCCATCTTGAGTGTACAGTTCTGTGGCACTAAGGGTATTTACATTGCTGTGCAACCATCAGCACCATCCACCTCCAGAACTTTTCAACTTCGCCAGCTGATGCTCTGTGCCCATTAAACACCAACCCTCAGCCCTTCCCCTGGCCCCTCGGCCCCTGGCAACCTCTGTTCTAATTTCCGTCTTGATGAAATTGACTACCCTAAGTACCTCCTATCAGTGAGATCCCACAGTATTTGTTCTTTTGTGACTGGCTTATTTCACTTAGCGTAATGTCCTCAAGGTTCATCCATGTCATAGCATGTGTCAGAATTTCCTTTCTTTTTAGGGTTGAGTAATATTCCTTTGTATGTATGTACCACACTTTATCCAGTCACCTGTTGATAAACACATGGGCTGCTTCCACCTTTGGGTTAGTGTGAATAATGCTGCTATGAGATGGGTGTACAAGTATATCTGTGTGAGTTCCTGCTTTCCCTTCTTTTTTTTCGGTATGTACCCCGAAGTCACACATCTATTGATTTTTGAATGTTAAATCAACTTTTCATTCCTGGAATAAACCCAACTTTGTCACAATATCACAATGTAATCATCCTTTAATTTTTTTAACAATCTACTGGGTTAAGTTGGATAATATTTTGTTTAGGACATTTGTACATATGTTCATAAGATAAAAGACCTGTGACTTTTTTTCCTCAGAATTTTCCTATCAGATTTTGGTGTCAAGATTACCCTGACCTTATAAAATGGGCTAGAAAGGGGTTATGTTGACCTCTCAAATATGTGTGTCTTCCATTTAATTAATTTCTGCGATTTCTTCTTTCTGCCTTCTAATTTCTTAGCACTTAAGTTGCTATTCTCTATCTTCTTGTCATCTTATATCATTAATTTTTCCCTTTTCTGTATTCTAATGTATACATGTAAATCTATACATTTGATCTCAACACTGATTCGGTTACATCTCAAAGTTTTGATATACTGTACTTTCATTATTGTACAATTCCTTTTCTAATTACCATTGTGATTTCATCTCTGATTCATCTTAATCTAAAAAGGTATAAATACTCAATTTTCAAACATTTGCAGATTTTCAATTCCCTTTTTATTATTATTCTAGCTCCCATTCACGGTGATTATAAATACTCAATTTTCAAACGTTTGCAGATTTTCAATTCCCTTTTTATTATTATTCTAGCTCCCATTCACGGTGATTGAATAACATGATCAGTATAATTTTAACCCCTTAAAATTTGTTGAGCCTTGTTTCAGAGGCTTGTGTGTGGTCAATATTTGTAAATGTTCCATGTGCATGTATAAAGGACCTAAATATGTACACTATCATTCCTTGATATCTATGAGGGATTGGCTGCCAGACCTCCTGCAGATACCAAAATCCATGAACGCTCAAGTCCCTGATAGAAAATGGCATAGTATTTACATATAACCTACTCACAGCCTCCTGTGTACTTTAAATCATCTCTAGATTACTTATAATACCTAGTACAATGTAAATACTATGCAAATTGTTGTTATACTGTGTTGTTTCGGGAATAATGACAAGAAAAAACTCTGCACATGTTGAGTGCAGATATAATTTTTTTTAAAAAATTTCACTTCAATGTTGTTTAAATCCATGGATGTGGAACCCCTGATTCAGGGTCAATTGTTTATGTAGTTATTGGGTCCAGTGTTCAAAATATATCAAATTATTTAGCGCTGACATATTTATCAATGAAATAACAATACAATTTCCAGATAATTATAACAAAGGAATATTATAACCTGAGCAGTAGTCTTGTCACAGAGAAAATTGAAATTATGAGCTGTGTAATTTAATATATTAAGTGGAATTTACTTTTAATATCTTCACCTAGGTTTGCCTTTTTTCACATAGGCCAGCAAAAAGAATTTACTATGCTTAAAATGCTAGCAATAGTATCAGAAATTAAATATAACATGTAGACATAAGCTATTTTTCTAAAGGAATGCTTCAGCTTTCATTTTAAATAAAGAATGGTCATGGAACTAAACAATACCTGTACTGATATATCCTACTTAATATTGGCTAAGTAATTTATAAACAAATTTAGCAGATGTGACATAGGGTGGAGAATTAACAGGGTAGTTAAATTATTGAAATGCATAAACTGTGTATGAATAGTTACATAACATTTTTCAGTACAAAATTCCTATTTTATGTGTGTGTGTATGTTCCATTGAACTGACTGCTTTATGAAAAACCAACTAATTAGTGAGGCAAATCAAGATTTCTTCTTTTTAATATTGCTTTTAAATATCATTTAAATGAATGATGTATGTAGGCATGGATGTAGATATGGTACACATATAGACACAGATTCCTACCAGTACAAACAATTTTTTCACCTCAATTCCTACCCTGCTTTGAAAACCTCTGGAGCCTCAGGCAGGAAGTTAATAAAAACATTTTATTTCCTTCCCGGCATAAATGGTGTGGGATTCTCCCACATGTGTGGAGATTGCAGTGTGATTTCCCTCTCCCAGCCCATAGTTAAGATAACACTCTACTTACCACCAGAAACTGAAGTAAATAAAATGAAATGTACCACTTGATATAAGAAAATCATCCTACAATGAGAAAAAGGTGCATGCTTTTAGAACATAAAATGTAAATTTATAATTAGTTTACTGACACTAAGACTTACAAGAAATAGGGAGAGAGGGGAGTAGTTAATTCAATAGCATTCACAGTGTTCTCATTATAATGTTGAATTTTCTTTCCCAATCCTGGAGCATTCCTTAGTGTGACTGTGTGTGGCATTCAACTCTTACAGCTCTGCAGAAGCCGGAACCCACAGGGAAGCAGCGCTCTCCCCTCCTCCCTCCTTCCCCGCCGGCCCCGCCGCTCTCTGTGTTCAGATCCTTCTCATGGCCACCATCTGACCGCTCTCCCCACCCCAATTTTTCATCTTTGTTTCCTTTCCCAATTTTTTTCCTTTCTTTCTTTCCTTGAGGCCTCTCCCTATATCTTTCAAAGAGCTATGAATGATTTCCTACTTAGAAAATTTTCTATTTAAAAAAGTCTGTGGCTGATACATTAATCGATTGTCTTGGTCACCTATAAATCTATTTATCTCCAGTAAGCATTAAACAGACTGCTCTAGGAAAAACGGAGTCATCAGTGAGACAAATCAAGACTTCTGATTTTTCAGTACTGCATTTGGATGTCTTTTTAACTCGTAAAACGCTTGTTACTGAGTAGACACTGTTACTCTTCTGTTGTTCCACATTTCCTCTCAGATTAGTTATGGATATTAGCGGAACATCTCTACAAAGCTAAATCAGACACATTTTAAAAATCAATCATTCTCTATTGTAAAGTGTTTTTAAATTCCTATGATTTAAAAAAAGCATTTCAAGGCGTATTTGCTTGAGAGGAATGTTAAATAGTAAGTTCTGAAACTGTACCTGAAAAGACCTTGTTGGCTTACTTGCTGCAATTCTTAATAAGGGTGCTTTTCTTCCTCCAAAATGGTCTTCATCCTCCTCTGAATGAGCTTGTGTAGGAAATGGTCACTTCACTTTAATATTTACTTGTACTAGTTCTCAATGTTATGTAACATTCTCTCTCAGTACAGCATATTTGTGAAAGTCGTTAAAATCTTAGTATGTCAGAAATATACCTTGAGAGAATTGCTTGCTTTCTCAATACACTGAATTTATTTTTTTAATTTTATTTCGTATTCAAACAAGTGACATACACAGGGACAGATGTAGAACTTGATTTTGCCTGTGTGCCTGCTAGCCAAAGCTGCATTTAACCACACTTTCACCTGTCAGCTGTTAACCATTAATTCTAGCTGACCTTGAATCTCAAAGTCTAAAAAGAAAACATGGAAAGTCTAATGGATTCATTGATTTGCAATATAATGGAGGGAGGAGACTTTGGCTGCTGGGGGAGAGCGGACGGATGGGAAGCAAAGTACAGACAGCTCCTAAGAGCCTGGCTCTTGCCCAGTCAGTTTCCCTTCAGGTGACGCTGCCTCTCAGAGGCCTAAGCAGATAGGATTCCTCCTAAGGCCAAGCTTTTTTTTTTTTTATTCTTACTTGTGAACACTAAAAGTCTATTTTTTAAAACAGAAAAATAAGCTATTTCAGCTTGCTTGCTTCTTACTTTCTTTCTTTTCTTTCTTTCTTCTTTCTTTCTTTCTTTTCTTTCTTTCTTTCTTTCTCTCTTTCTTTCTTTCTTTTGAGACAGAGTCTCTCGTCGCACAGGCTGGAGTGCAATGACGCGATCTCAGCTCACTGCAACCTCCGCCTTCCAGGTTCAAGTGATTGTCCTGCCTCCGCCTCCGGAGTAGCTGGGACTACAGGCCCGCGCCACCACGCCCAGCTTATTTTTTTTTCTTTTTTCTTTTCTTTTTTTGTATTTTTAGTAGAGACAGGGTTTCACCATGCTGGTCAGACTGGTCTCAAACTCCTGATCTCCAGTGATCCGCCAGCCTCAGCCTCCCAAAATGCTGGGATGACAGGCATGAGCCACCACGCCCGGCTTCTTTTAGCTTTCTTTAGGTCCTGGGACACAGACCCGAATGGAGAGCTAGGAAGTGACATGTCTAGCAGCTGCATGACTGTCAACGAAAGCACAGCACGTCACATCCCTGAAGGAAAGGGTGGTTTTGTCCTGGAGGGAGTCTTCCCACTGGACAGTGGGAAGTGGGACACTGGACAGTGGTAGGACCTGGCGTTTATAGGCAGGAAAGTTTGTGAAAAAATTCTGGGGTGTTTCACATAATTATATTTCCATGAAGGCCTTCCCTTTGGCCTTGAAGAAGGTCTGAAAGCCTATGGAGGGCATGTTCATCCATGCCAACTGCTACCCAGACCTACTCACTGGCTGACGAGTCATGTGACTTGAGCGGAACCAGCCTGTGCACAGTCCCCAGCCACCTGCAGGTCCTTGGCTTCCGTTTCCTCATTTAGAACACAAGGCACTAACTAGTGCTGAGGGTTTCTGTGCGGTCCCCTAAAAAACCTCACAACACGAACACAAAACAGTTTTCAATATGCCTGATTTGAATACATTTTGGAGAAAGATACGTTTATGGTTCAGAGAAGGCTCTCAATTTTTCATAGAAAAGCAAAATACGATCTTGTGTTTATACATGGAATCATAATTTAAAAAACATATTTGGAAGACCGGGGAGAAATGACAGGGAATTAAGAGAATGTGAACTGAGAACAGATCTTTTTGTAAAGTGCTGAAGAACTAGGGTGATGTTCTATCTGGAAGGCATTTACTCAGATATTTTTATTTGATCTATTGCCAGTGCATTTGACTTATCCTGGCATAAAGAGTTCCTAGCTGTTTTCTTGAGTTTCCCGTTTAAAGTACATTCCAGCTACCCAAAAAGTGCATATTTATGATGCATTGCCTTTTATGAGGCTCAAACATAGAATGGCAAATTCGTGCCAAGAATGGCTTTCATGGAAAATGGATACGTGAGATTATATGAGGTCCTTATATCCTTGTATTGTTTACTCCATGGAACCTCATCTCTCTTCTTAAGCCCCAATAAAAAGAAGATAAGGATAACTCTCCAACCCTATTGAGAGAAACAGAAAGGCTCTAAATAAGAGAAATGCTTCACTGGAAAACCAAATAATATTTTCCTAAGTTTGATTTAGCTAGTTAGTGAAATCTTTAAGGTCTTTGAAATAGTATCAGGATTCAAAAAAATTTTGTCTATTCAAATAAAAGTAGAATAATTTTTTTTCAGACAAGGTCTCACTCCTGTCGCCCAGACGAGAGTACAGTGGTGTGATCTCCACTCAACGCAGCCACCAGGTGATCCTCCCACCTCAGCCTCCTGAATAGCTAGGAATACAGCCGCATGTCACTCCGCATGGCTAATTGTTGTATTTTTTGTAGAGACAGGGTTTTGCTGTGTTCCCCAAGCTGGTCTGGAATGCCTGGGCACAAGCGATCCACCTGCCTTGGCCTCCCAAGTGCTGGAATTACAGGCATGAGCCACCGTGCCCAGCCTAGAATAAAAGTCTTGACTACATAGAAACTCTTTGAGATTAAATAGACCTTTCTTTTAAACTGACCATAGATATCCTTAAAAAATTATTTTCAACTAATGCATTGCAGTTTAAAATTCTGATATCAACTACTTTTTTCAATTTTTTTTCAATGAAATGAAATGTTTTTGAATATTCGAAGACTGATGAAAATGAGGAATAACTAGACAAAGTCTTAGGAAGAATATAGAAGTTAGTCTGCAGAGACCCAAGTACAAGTCAGAAGTTAGGATTCTAAATCAAAAAGTATCTGAGACAGGTCCCAATCAATTTAGAAAGTTTATTTTGCCAAGGATAAGGATGTACCTATGACACAGCCTCATGAGGTCCTGATGACATGTGTCCAAGGTGGTCAGGGCCCAAGCTGATTTTGTACATTTTAGGGAGATATAAGACATCAATCAATCTATGCAAGATGTACATTGGTTTGGTCCTAAAAGGTGGGACAACTCGAAGAAGGGAAGGGGGCTTCCAGGTCATAGGTAGATAAGAGACAAACAGAAGCATTTTTTCGAGTTTCCAATTAGCCTTTCACCAAATACGCAATTTACAAGAATAGTCACTCATGCCTTAGTGTGGCCCAGTGAAACAATATGGCAAACGAGGCAATCAGATACGCACCTGTCTCATGTCAGCAGAGGGGTGACTCTGACTTCTGCCTGTCCTTTTTCCACAAGGAATTTCCTCATGGGCAAATTGTGAGGAATGTAGCTTTTTAAAACCTTTTTAAAGCTTAAAAAAGGTTTTTTATAGCTTAAGAAAGCTATTTTATTTAGGAATAGAATGGGAGGAAGGTTTGCCCAATGCAGTTCCCAGCTTTACTTTTCCATGTGGCTTAGTGATTTTGGGGGTCCCGAGGTTTGTTTTCTTTCCAATGGATCATAGGTGGGAGATGTATTGGACATTTGGACATATTGTGACCTAAAGCCTTCTGCTTGGGACAGGAATGTCCACAACGGCATTAGTTGACTGAGACCCCTTCTCAGGCATGGCCATAATCAACTCTCAGAGCTCCTTCTCTTGTCTTTCAGAACTTGCTTTGAAAATGGACACAATAAAAAAGAAGGAAATCATTCCATTTGCAGCAATGTGGATGGAACTGGAGGTCATTATGTTAAGTAAAGTAAGCCAAGCACAGAAAGACAAACATTGCATGATCCCACGAAAGATGATTTCATGGCCGTAGAGAGTATATGGTGGTTACGAGAGGCTGGGAAGGGTGTGTGTGGGGGGGTGGTGGTGAGGACGAAGAGAGGTTGGTGAAGGGGTACAACCACAGAGTTAGATAGAAGGAATGCTTTCTAATGTTTGACAGAAGAGTAGGGTGACTGCAGTCAACAACAAGGTATTATAGTTTTCTAAATAGCTAGAAAAGGACTTGAAATGTACTCAACACATAGAAATGGTTGGGTGATGGGTATGCCAACATCCTGACTTGATCATTACACATTCTATGCACATAACACAATTTCACATGTGCCCCACAAATATGTACAAATAGAATGTATCAAAAAGTAAAAAATAAAGGAAGAGAAAGGGCACAGCCCGCCATGTCCTACAACCCCTTTCTTGCTGTTCCTGAAATGTCCTCTTTTGTTTTTCTTTTTCTTTTTTTTTTTTTTTTTTTTTGAGACGGAGTCTCGCTCTGTCGCCCAGGCTGGAGTGCAGTGGTGTGATCTCGGCTCACTGCAAGCTCCACCTCCCGGGTTCACGCCATTCTCCTGCCTCAACCTCCCGAGTAGCTGGGACTGCAGGTGCCTGCCACCACGCCCGGCTAATTTTTTTTTTTTGTATTTTAAGTAGAGACGGGGTTTCACCGTGTTAGCCAGGATAGTCTCGATCTCCTGATCTCGCGATCCGCCCACCTCAGCCTCCCAAAGTGCTGGGATTCCAGGCGTGAGCCACCGCGCCCGGCCGAAATGTCCTCTTTTCATTACAAGGTTTTAATGCTGACATGAGATCAGGCTTTCCCAACCCTGGCATTATTGATATTGGGGCAGGATAACTCTCTCTTGCGAGGGGCTGTCCCACACACTGCAGGATGTTTAGCTGCATCCCTGGCCTCTACCCACTACAGCCAGTTGCATACCCTCTCCCATTAGGACAACCAAAAGTGTCTCTAGACGTTGCCGAATGTTTCCTGAGGTGAAGGGAGGACAAAATCGCTCCGGGCAGAGAAACACCAGTGTCAGTTGATAATGAAAATAACAAATGGTGGTTATAAATGCTCTGTCATCTTTCATCCTTCTCCTAGTGAGAAGCAACCGGATATCAGTGAGAGGACATTGCCTGGCATAGGAATGCTGAGCTTTGTTCCAGCTCTGTCCTTGCCAGTGACCTTGAGCTAATCATTTCACCTCTTCAGTCTCCATTGCCTTTATTTTTGTAATAAAGGTGTATCATCATCATTAGCCGTTTACTGGATGCCCATGATATGCACTATGAATGAGAGAGCCTCCCTAGAAGCTGCTCACAGTCAAGTAAAGTGACAGACATAAGCAACAATTGAAAGGAAAAGTTCCAAGTTTACGTGGGGGGTTCCCATGCCTTGGCAGGGACTGAGACAGATGTTGGAGCCCTTGGCTGACCTTGGAGCCAGGTGGCTTGTGCATGTGCTTGCATGCCACGTGTACACTGCCGCCACAGGAGGGCAAGGCCAGCTTGCAGGATTGACACTGCCAGCAGCCTTTGTGAAGTAGAACTGCCAGTGGCCCACGCCTCCTCCCGTCACGCTTCCTCATGGGAGTGAAGGCATCCCAGCCTCGCATTTTCCTAGCCCATGTCACACTTTTTAGTCCCACGAGGCTAGACCTGTGTGAAGGGCTCCTCAGTTACCCCTGTATATGAGCACACAGTGAGTCACCAAGACACCAGCCCAGTCCTACTGGGCTTTGATTGACCACTTTAAAATGACAATGTATGCCTCGGGAAAGTTCCATATTTCAAAACTCTCCTCTGTTTTGCCAAACTAGGTCATTCCCTGACTAACAGAGGCCAAAGGTTTACCCTGCAAGCATTCCAAAGTCCTGTTCCAACACCCCATGATCAATACTCAAAGACTGAGATAAAAGTTTCATTGCAAACCATTTTTTCCCTTTTAAACATAAAAAAACATCCACATGAACAAAGACTAATGTCTTCATCGCATGCAAAGGCAAAATTTAAATAGTGCATTTTTAAAATCGTTTCATGGAATCTAGCCAGATTTTACAAAAGCCATTCAATTCTGAAGTAAATGTTTAACTCTTCAGTTTCCTGCTATCTGGTTTGTGGATAGCCCAGACCTCATATTTTCCTTCACCCTCTCCACCTTTAGCTCCTCCTACCACCCGGTGTGTCTCTGAGCAGGGGTTCCCAACCCCCGGGGCCCAGAACAGTACCTGGTCCATGGCCTGTTAGCAGCCAGGCCGCACAGCAGGAGGTGAGTGGCAGGCCAGCAAGCATAACCGCCTGAGCTCTGCCTCCTGCCAGATCCGCAGCAGCATGAGACTCTCATAGGAGCTCAAACCCTGTTATGAACTGCACATGTGAGGGATCTAGGCTCCTTATGAGAATCTAATGCCTGATGATCTGTCACTGTCTCCCATCACCCTCAGATGGGACTGTCTAGTTGCAGGAAAACAAGCTCAGAGCTCCCACTGATTCTACATTATGGTGAGTTGCATAATTATTTCATTATATATTACAATGTAGTAATAATAGAAATAAAGTGCATAATAAATGTCATGCACTTGAATCATTCCAGAATCATCCCCCACCACCATGCTGGTCCATGGAAAAACTGTCTTCCACAAAACTGGTCCCTGGTGCCAAAAAGGTTGGGGACCTCTGTCTTGAGCATTGAAGGAAAAACCCAAACTCTTTCAGAAAACTTTTTTCTGTTTTTCTACTTAACTTACATAAGATTTTGTAAATCGCCAATTCTGTGTAAATGTTGTTCAGTTTAACTGAACTGAATCAAGCGAGCTGGTATCAGTTACGGTGAGCCTCGGCATGTGAGGAATTTGTGTGGCATAGGACATCTATCACCCATTCCAAAGGCTACCATAAATTTACAAGTCTGAATTTTATGAAATAATTTATACCTAACAGGGCTGGGTGTGGTGGCTCAAGCCTGTAATCCCAGCACTTTGGGAGGCCGAGGCGGGTGGATCACAAGGTCAGCAGATCGAGACCATTCTGGCTAACATGGTGAAACCCGTCTCTACTAAAAATACAAAAAATTAGCCAAGCACAGTGGCGGGTGCCTGTAGTCCCAGCTACTCCGGAGGCTGAGGCAGGAGAATGGCGTGAACCCGGGAGGCAGAGATTGCAGTGAGCCAAGATTGCACCACTGCACTCCAGCCTGGGCAACAGAGCAAGACTCCGTCTCAGTACTACTACTACTACTACTACTACTAATAATAATAATAATAATAATTTATACCTAACAATGCTTCCTTTTTTTGAGACAGTCTCACTCTGTTGCCCAGGCTGGAATGCAGTGATGCAGTGGTGCCATCTCAGCTCACTGCAGCCACGACATCCCCGGGCTCAAGCGGTCCTCCTGCCTCAGCTTCTGGGGGAGCTGGGATTACAGGTGCGCACCACCATGCCCAGCTAATTTTTGTGGAGATGGGGTTTCGTCACATTGGCCAGGCTAGTCTCGAACTCCTATGCTCAAGTGATCCACCTGCCTTGATCTCCTAAACTGTTGGAATTACAGGCGTGAGCCACCACGCCAGGCCTAAAAATGCTCCTTGAATTACTATTGCAATAGCCCATATCCACTGAGCCTCCAGGGCTAATGCCCCTTGCAAAGCAGATTCCTTGCCTGCCATGAAGGCTGTGCAATGCTGCAGCCCCTCGAGCTCCTCAGCACGCGCAGCCTGGACCCTCCTAGCCATGCCCTGGTAGCAAAGTTAGGAGGCCAAGAGGCAAAGGTGCCCATGGGTTCAGGTAACCCATCTCTTTCTTATAAAAGTGGGTGTTCTCCCTTCCTCTCGGCAGAACAAAACCCAAGCCCGCTAGCTCTTTGCCACACGTGAAGCAGGCAATAGTGGGTTTCAGTGGCCGACCAGGTGCAGCACGGAGAGGAAATTACATCTTTGAGATATACTGAGTTCCAGAGGAAGCAGTGCAATTAGAGGGATCCCAGGAACTGTGCTGGAACCTCAACCACTTACTTTCAGTTCTGTTTCACAACCAGAAGAAAACACTTGCTAATCGTGATCTTTCACCATTTTATTTCACAACACACAGTCATGGAGATCTCAGTTGCGACCTCGCATTGTCAGCCCCTGGTTACGGCGTGCTGAAAGCGGGCTTCAGCCAGACATTGTCCTCAGCAGCTCTGAGTGCACTGTGTTTTTCGTCCTTAGGATGCAAAGAAGATGCCACTCTCCATGCTTTGCAGATGAGGACCCCCCAGGCTCAGAATTTGACTTGAACTCAGGTTGTAAAAATTGCCTAGACTCTGGACTGCTTCTCATGCTGGTGACTGCATCTGAGCTTTTCCATCACTGCTCTGTGTTTTCTCTAAAATCCAGTCCATGTACTCAGCGACTTTGGTGTAGACACCAGGTTGCTCCCTGCGGGCACAGCCTTCACCCCAGCTGGTGATGCCCACCAAACGCCACATTCCATTGTGTTTGCAAACTAAGGGACCACCTGAATCTCCCTGAGTCACAGTGGAAAAATAAAATAGTAGAAAGTTACGACAATGGGATTCAAATAAGTGACTGCCTCTAAAGTTCTGTAGTCCACTACACAGCAACACACACACACAGATACTTTCATATTTTTTTGTAGAGATGGGTTTCATCACATTGCCCAGACTGGTCTCAAATTCCTAGGCTCAAGTGATCCACCTGCATTGGCCTCCCAAAGTGCTGTGTGTGTGCAAGACCTTGCTTGCCAGACACACACACACACACACACACACACACACACACACTCACTCTTTCTTAAAGTTCTCCAAGTATCTCATGTGCCTGCATTTTTCGTATCCCCTTTTCTATCTGAAATAAATCTAACAAAGAAATCTTGATATCATCATCCCAATGATGAAGTCTAATGTTTTTATATTCTAGCACAATTATTGCATGTATATTTGCCCCTCTTAAATAGCACATGCATAGATTGTGACATATATCATAAATAATATAAATATATATTATGTATATTCAATTTGTTAAAAGTTGCTTATCAATTTATCAGATCATTTGTCTCTGAATTTTTTTAAAAACTATGATTGAATTATGCTATTGGAAAATATATTTTGAAATGAATTTTCTCAAGCAGCCTATTGTGTTTTTCATAATCTCATGAGTTACCTTACAAGCATCTTTTCCCCCTTCTTTATAGCCAGCACAGACCATCCGTTGGGTTATTTTATAATCTTGATATCTTTTCTGGCATTCTTCATTTGTTACCAAAGGAATATTTACCTTTTGTAGAATATTTTGGATTTCACCTGTGAGTAACCAATATATAACCTCAGAGGGAAGTTAATAATAATAACTTAAATAATAAATAATAATATTGGGAATATTATTATTCCCACAATAAATAATAAATATGGAAATAAGTTTTAAAGTGAATCAGAGCAGTGTATTTTTCATAAGGACCTTATCTTTGAATACAAATAGACAGTAAAAATTGGGAAGGTAGTGTTACACACACACACACACACACACACAGAGAGAGAGAGACAGAGAGAGGAAGAGGGAGAGAGACGGCACCCTGTACTGTCCTCTTATTGCCTACGTGGTGTTGGGACAAGCCCAGCACCCTGGGCTGACCAGAGACCTTGCTTCCATGTTTTCTGCCATCCCCTCATCTCAGTAGCAGCCCCCCAGAAATCCCATTTTATATTTATCACCTACAACAATCCAAAGCCTGGAAGTTCTCACTTTTCATTTTTTTGCTTTATATATTCAAAATTATAATTTACAACTATATCGTTTCTGAAAAGCCCTCCGAGCTTTGGCAACAGAGGGGTCTTTTGTTTTTGAATAAATGCAGGCCAGCATCTCTCATGGAGAACAATGTTGGGAGCTTTCATGGCTTAGTGAAGATTACTTTAAATTTCTTCTTGTCTCAGATTACCAATAAAAAATCTAAAAATGTGAATTACTTGAACAAAAGACTGAATCGGGAAAGATGGAGACAGTTTGGCAAGCTACCTTCTTCTGTAAAGAATGACACAAATATTATTCTCCATAGTGAGACGACACACCTGCCTGTGCTCCCGGCCATTAGCATCAAGGGAGAACATGGTTTTGGGAGACGGGAACGCTACTAACACTGAGGAGCGGGTGGTCTTGCACGGGCTTGTCAGCCCTAGAAGGGCCCAATCTGCTTCATGCAAAGTCAAGCAACTGATCTTTATAATGAAGTAAGATGCTTAAAAGTCTCCCTAAAATTTTTTTTCAAGCCAAAGCAAAAATACATTTTTTAAGAATAACTGAATAAATATTTGGGAATAAATAGATAGGAAAGATAAAGAGTTTAGATATAATTTCAGACAGAAACCGATTAAAACGACCCACTCCATGTATTTCAACATGTGAGACTTACTCTAGAAGCAATATTTAAAGCGTCATGCTTACCTTTCTCCTTCGAGAAGCCCCATCCGGTTACCCAACAGTTGGTATAAATTGTGCTTGTGTCACCTTTGGAAGGTAGGCATATTGGTTTTTGGAATTCTGAAACATAATTTTTAAATTAGAGTTTGGTCAAATAAAGTTATGGATATAGACTTTAAAAATACATCTTTCTCTTTTTCTGTCTTCTCTTTCTATAGAGTAGCATCAAGAATAATTTTTTGCTTTCTGCCCAACCTCTAAGGCTAATGATTCAAGAAAATTTGTCACCACCATTTTTCACATGACATTTTTGGTGTTACAATTTCCTGAGTTAAATTCTTAAAACTCAGAACCTAAATCTATGGTCAAAAGCATTTAGAAGTTCCTGTGTCTTATTCCATGTATACTATCCTTAATAGTCATAGCAGGGTATCTTCACTGTTCCAGACATGAAGTGCTTTGATGTATTAATTATTACAACAGACCCAGGAAGAAATTATCATCCTCATTTTACAGATAAGGAAATTAAGAGGTGTAAAGAGGTAAAGCAACTTGCCCGAGGTCACATAATTGTTTGTGTGCAGTGGCACGATCTTGGCTCACTACAGCCTTGAGCTCCTGGGCTCAAGAGATCCTCTTGTCTCAGCCTCTTGACTAGCTGGGACTACAGGTGCACACCACCACACCCAGTTAATTGTTTTTTTCTAATTTTATGTAGAGACGGGGTCTCACTGTGTTGCCCAGGCTGGTCTCAAACTCCTGGCCTCAAGCAATCCTCCCACCTGGGCATCCCAAAGTGTTGGGATTACAGGTGTGAGCCACCATTCCTGACCATGAATGTTATTGGATACAGTGGGTATTCGGCTCCTGGCAGCAATGACCCTCCAAAGGCAACACCTCTGACCACGATGCTCTGGCCTTCCAGGGCTTCTTTCTGCATGAGTCTCTTTCCTACCCAAATTATACCTGGAAGTAGATATCTGATCCCACTTGCCCTCACACATTCGAATATCCCTAAGCCCAAAGCAATGACAGTTCTGCTACTCTTGTCAAAGCAAGCCCAGTGCCTCTCAGACGGCACAGACATTTCCCACGCCCATTATTTCCATCACCTGCATGCAGTTGTATCCCTCCCTGAAAGAATTAATTCACATGTCTTGCTCTTTAAGTAGAAGAGATTTCACGGCAAGTCGCGGGGTCTTCACTTCCCAGCAACCCTCACGTTTCCCTCAACTCCACCAGTCAGAAAACGACGACAGTCTCTCTAGGTCTGCCCTCTTGTTCAAACTGATATGAAAATATCAACCAGCGCAATTCTGCTCTCCACCTTCTTACATATGCTACATACCAGTGTAATTCAAAGGAGCCTGGAGTTTTATCAAGGCGATATCATGATTCCCTTCTGAGACTTTATAGTTTTGGTGAATAATAATCTCTTTTATTTGTGAGAAAGGTGTATCTTTTGTAATGTCTGACAGATTTAAAATGCCACTATAGATGCGCCAAACATCCTGCAGGGGAAGCCTAGGAGAGAAAAATAAATACCTGTTTGAAACTGGGCAGTCCTTCCTTCAATAGTGTTCCTTTTTCCTATCACTCTCTTTCAAAGAACTGGGAAGGAAATACATAGGACACATTTTCTCCTACCTAATTCCTCCTTCTGGTAATTTTTCATCACCAATAGCGGCAGTAGTGAATCTCTGAAGATTCTATTTAACAAATTGAAAAGTGTACATTTATGTAATTGCATCATGCTTACTGCAAGTGAAAACAAAAAGAATGTTGCTGTCCCATTTTTGAGAGACACTGTAGTGGGAAGAAACTAGCAGTTTATCATGGAAAAATTAAGCTCATTCACCAAAGCTGAACCTCATTGCTCCACTAAATTCAGAACTGTCAAGAAGTCAGGCTGATCTTCTAATGCTCTTCTAATTAGTCAAAGTAGGAGGACTTTAGTGTTGTTTAAAATATCTCTATACAGCTGGGCACAGTGGCCCACACCTGTAATCCCAGCACTTCGGGAGGCCGAGGTGGGTGGATCCCTTGAGGCCAGGAGTTCGAGACCAGCCTGACCAACATGATGAAACCTCGTCTCTACTAAAAATACAAAAATTAGCCAGGTGTGGCGCGCGCCTGTAATCCCAGCTACTCAGGAGGCTGAGGCAGGAGAATCGCTTGAACCCGGGAGGCAGAGGCTGCAGTGAACCAAGATTGTGCCACTGCACTCTACTCTGGGCAACAGAGAGAGACTCCATCTCAAAAAATAAATTAAATAAATATATAAATAAAATAAAATATATCTGTATTTTGGAAAGTATGAAAATGTAAATAGATTATTTAAAAGATGAATGTATACTAAGTACATCCAAAATTCTGATCTAAAGCAAAGCCTTATTCTGTGCAAAGATCTGGAAATCTTTATCATCACCAAGTAGTGCAAGGCATGTGTGCACAAAATTCTAGAAAAATGATGGAGATATCAGGTGCAAAGGGGCCTTTTTTTATTTGCAATGAAATCATTACACTTTTATGTCTATTATCTCTTATAAACTCACAATACTGAGCCTTCAAGAATGAAAATTTTTGGTCCCAAATTGGAGTGCATTTAGTAAAAAAGACACCTACTATTTCCCATCTTGGGACTTTTCTTCCAGGCCAACCACCTTAAAGTCACATGCAAGGTCATGTATGGCAGAGCCCCTTCACACGATGACAAGGTGGAGGGGTCTTGCTCCACCCACATGTACCACCGACTGCTATATTTTGGTGGCAGTATGTTCAATCCTAGTATACAGCATGTAAGCATGAATTTCACTAAAACAAAAATACTTGGTGTGTTTATTTTTGAGAAAAATCAAGTGTCTTCTAGTATTTCTTTTGCTTTTTATATGCTTTGTCCATTTCTACATTTCTTATTGAATATAGAAATCACAGTTTACATTTTTTGAAGTGTTTATGTTCTACACACAGTACTAAGCATTTTAAATGTGTCACTTAATCTTCCCAACAACGTTACAAATTCGGGACTATTACTATTCATATTTTAGATCAAATAAAGCTCAGAGGGATTTACAAATCTTCTAGGGCCACACCTCTAATAAGCAGCAAAGCTGTCACTTAAGCCATGTTCTGTCTAACTCCAAAGCCTCAGTATTTTAAGACTTACCTAACATGTCTACTATTTGACCAATAAATTGAAATAGATCAAATTATATACATTGAAATATACAGAGTACGAAACTCTCACTTTTAAAAATTATTATGACTTAGTATATTTATGAATCAAAGAGCAAGAAGTAACATTTCTATGGGCCTGACAAATAAGTCTTTGAAGAACACATCAGGGATTGGTGGTGGGATTGGTGGTGGGATTGGTGGTTGGTGGCGGGATCGGTGGTGGGATTGGTCGTGGGTGGCGGGATTGGTGGTGGGGTAGGTGGTGGGATTGGTGGTGGGATTGGTGGCGGGATCGGTGGTGGGATTGGTCGTGGGTGGCGGGATTGGTGGTGGGGTAGGTGGTGGGATTGGTGGTGGGATTGGTGGTGGGATTGGTGCTGAGATTGATGGTGGGTGGTAGGATTGGTGGTGGGATTGGTGGTGAGATTGGTGGTGGGTGGCAGGATTGGTGGTGGAATTGGTGGTGGGATTGGTGGTGGGTGGTGGGTTGGAGGAGTGGGGTACTGTCTTCGTTTCTCTTTCTGTGGAGAATACCCACTCAGCGCCATCTGCCCTGTACAGAGACCACACTCTGTTCTAATGGTCAGGTTGGTCAGTGCTTGGACCCTATAAGTTAAATGTTGTGAATACCATCCCCGCTTTAACACGTCTCTATTCATAAAGTCACATGGCGGTGAAGCAGCTGATCATAGATCCTTCAAAATGAAAAGCCAAGATAAGACTCTGGATGAGATGCATCCAACACTTACCCATCAAAGCAGTGGGCAGCAGTGAGGACCCACTGGTGTCCTATGAGTGACCCTCCACACAGGTGCCTCTGAGCTGTCAGCTTCACCTGCAGGCTCACCTGCCAGGGCCACTCTCCCCAAGAAGAGTTTGTTCCTCCAACAATGCGTGTGCTTGTTTTTGTTGTGCAGACTGAAAAGAGAGCGTTGACGCTAATGGTTGGAATTAGAAGTGAATCAAAGTCCCTTCTAACCAAGGAGAACAAGACACATAATTCCTTAAGACTAAGCAAACTATCAACATGACAGACATCCCTGACAGGTCCACGAAAAAGTGAGGTTACTCACCAGAGTTGTCCCCAGTGTTACACAATCTCAAAGAGTAACCAGAGCTCCCTTGTGTCCCATACGCAATCCTAGTTGGAGAACCATCCATAGATAATCTTAAGAAACACTTACACCTAGATGAAATGAACAGTAGAAAGAGTAAGCCTTCACAGGGGGAAAGAGAATATGAAATGGTCATGTCAACTGTCTTTGAAAAATAAAATTTCCTTTACTTCTCTTCCTTACAGTCTTCTGGGAGTAAAGAATAAGTGAAAAACTGACAGCGAATCATCTTTGTGCAAGTCTCTTGGCAAACATTCACTCCTTTAACAAAAGTCACATTCAATTCTTCTCCTCCAAAGTCAACTCCCGGGTAAATTTTAGAATGGCAGGGTTCTGTGTCAATTATAAACACAAAAAGATATCAGATGGGAAAAGCAATGAACGACATTTACACAAGTTTCTGTTACCTTGAGGATTGTTTCATCACTGTTGCTGTTAAAAGTCATGAAATAGGTTACATTTTATGTAATATTATTATCAAATCACATTACCAGGTAAAGTTCTTTTGCAGGTTAAAAGGCTATATCCAGATATGGTGTTTTCTTGAGGAGTAGAGGAACTTGGTGTGCCACTTTCAGATGTTTTAAGAAGACAAACATTTCTATTTTTTTTAAAAAAAAGCAAGAGAGAAAGAAAGAAATTTGCATTAAAGGCATTAGGCAAATACAAAAGCAGCTCACACCCAAAAAGCAACGCAGCAAATTTTATTCTTCTGGGAAACTCTCTTCAAAGTAAATCCAACTACAGGACTCTAATAAATTGCAGAGATTAAATGTAAATCAAGCCACCTCTCCCTCTGGAGAAAACTAATAGGCACAGACAACCTGAAAAGAGGACAATGATGAAGTTCCACCTTCTAACTGGAAAAACAAACAAAAAAATCAAAGAACAAATTCTGGGAATTTATGCTGCCGATGATATTACATAACTAGACACCCTTCTCTTAGCTCCATGCTGTGTGCAGAAGAGGGTGGGTTATCTGAGATAAAGACAGTGGGCCAGAGCCTTGATCAGAATAAACAGGGCTCTAGTTTCTGAAACAAAGAGAAGAGGCAACAAGCTTAAGGGCTATATTGCCAGCAAGTGGATTTTACTCCAAGCTAATACAAAACATGAAGATCATGTTTTGAATCTTCATTCAAAGGCGTCAGATCCTTCTTTTTTCTCATGGCTATTGCTTCCTTGATTCAATGGTAACATTTGTTTTAAAGTAAGAGAAGATAGGCAGAGAAGTCTGCTAATCTCTTAACTAATCTGCACCTGGCAGAACAGTACCTACTGAAACTGCAGGTTCAAGTGTTTTGAGGGAAATGAACGAAACTTTTAAGAACTCAGACTATAAAAGTGATGAAAGTACAGCAGCAAGTGCTCCCCATGCATACTCGCCTTTGTGATGCGATTTTCCATGCATACTCGCCTTTGTGACTCGATTTTCCATACATTTGTATAGAATGTAAAGAAGAGGCAGTTGGGGTGATAGGTGCAGATGGTCCGACACACAAAAGCATCTGGAGTGAGAACCCTGGCAACATCCACATCTGAGAACGCAAGATGCTGGAAGATGTTCATGTGGCAACCTGTGAACTCACAGAGAGAAGATGTTCCTTAGGAAATGACATGAGGCTAAATTTGCTTGTATTTTGTCACCATAGTTAAGGAAATTGTGACTATTTATTATTCATAGTACTAAACATCCTAAGTGAAAAAATGTCCTTTAAAGTATCTCCAAACTGTTTGCCATTTAGAGGAAGGCAAAATTGGTCTAACTCTAAGGGGCAAATTCCTATTTCAGAGAAATAAAAGCTGTGCTCCCAGCTCCAGTCACCACCATTGCCAAATGCTTGCATTACTCAGCATGTGTTTACATTTCCTTTATATTACTCTGACTCTGAGGCCTTAGGAATGTAAGGGTTTTTTTGTTGTATTTTCCTGAATATTATAAAAAATTCTTTAATAAGAAGTGATTAACAAAAATGCCTTGTGC
Organism: Homo sapiens; assembly: GCF_000001405.40. Taxonomy (NCBI): domain Eukaryota; kingdom Metazoa; phylum Chordata; class Mammalia; order Primates; family Hominidae; genus Homo; species Homo sapiens. The sequence continues at coordinate 186,249,835 of NC_000004.12, read as the reverse complement.
CTATTAAAATTAGAACAGGAGACAATCCACTTTTATTATCATTACATTAATATGATCTTATATCTTAGTTTTGTTTTAGTTGTGTACATATCGTTTATGTAGTTTACTAAATTTGATAACACATAATTCCATTGATACTCATTGGTCTACAGATTCAATGCACTCTCTATCAAAATCCTGCTGCTTTTCTATTGCAGAAATTGACAACCATCCTAAAATTCATATGGAAATGCAAAAGATCCGGAATAACCAAATTAATCTTGAAAAAGGACAAAATAAAAGCACTCAGACTGTCTGAGTTCAAAACTTACTGCAAAGTTATGGTAATCAAGACTGTGTGTAACTGGCATTAGGATAGGCATATATAGGTCAACAGGATAGAACTGATGGTCCAAAAATAAACTCTTACATTTATAGACAATTGATTTTGAAAAGGGTTTCAAGACAATGGAATAACTGAATACCCACATGCAAGAATTAAGTTGGATTGCTACTTTACACCATATACAAAATTTAATTTAAAATGCATCAAATGCCTAAATGTAAGAGCTAAAACTATAAACCTCTAAGAACAAATCATAAGCAAAAATCTTCAAAACCATGAATTAGGTTTTGGCGTTTTAGGTAAAGCACGTGCAAGAATAAAGCCAGACTGGATTTCATCAAGTTTAAAAACTTTGGTGCTTCAAAGAACACCATCAGTAAAGTGAAAAGATGACCTGCAGATGCACAGAAAATTTTTGAAAATAATATATGTCATAAGAGTGTAGTATCCAGAGTATATAAAGAGTTCATACAACTCAACAATGAAAATAACCCAATTATTTTTAATGGCCAAAAGATTTAAACAGAGATTTTCCCAAAGAATGTATTCAAATTGAAAATGAGCACACGAAAAGATACACAACATTGTTAGTCATTAGGGAAATGCATATCAAAACCACAGTGAGACACCACTTCACACTGCCTAGAAAGGCAATAATTACAAAGACAATAACAAGTGTTGTTAAGGTTGTAGAGAGACTGAAGCCCTCAATTGTTGCTGGTAAGAATGTAACATTGTGTAGCTGCTCTCAAAAACAGTTTGGCAATTCATCAAAAAGTTAAACATGGAGTTACTCTGTGATCCAGCAATTTTAATCCTAAGTATATACATAAGAGAATTTAAAATGCATGCCTACCCAAAAACTGTTGTCCATAGCAGCATTATTCATAAGAGGCAAAAAAAAAAAAAAAAAAATCCAGAAACAACTCAAATGTTCATCAAACTAAGTATATAAACAAAATATGTTTTATTCATACAATAGAATCTTATTTAGTCCTAAATAGGAACAAAGTATTGATATATGCTAGAATACGAATGAGCCTTGAAAACACGCCAGGTGAAAAAAGCCAGATGCAAAATGTGCTGCATTGCATGATTCCATTTATGTAAAATGTCCCGAAGAGTCAAGTCCACAGACATGGAAAGTAGATTTAGTGGTTGCCAGGGGATTGGAGGAGTAGGGAATGGAGAAAGACGGCCAATGGGAAAGGAGAAAGACAGCCTTTCTTTTTTTTTTTTATTTTATTTTTATTATTTTTTTGTGAGATGGAGTCTTGCTCTGTCGCCCAGGCTGGAGTGCAGTGGCGCAATCTTGGCTCACTGCAAGCTCCGCTTCCTGGGTTCAGGCCATTCTCCTGCCTCAGCCTCCTGAGTAGCTGGGACTACAGGCATCTGCCATCATGCCCAGCTAATTTTTTTGTATCTTTAGTACAGATAGGGCTTCACCGTGTTACCCAGGATGGTTTCAATCTCCTGACCCCGTGATCCGCCCGCCTCGGCCTCCCAAAGTGCTGGGATTACAGGCGTGAGCCACCGTGCCCGGCCTGGATACAGCCTTTCTTTTGTGGTGATAAAAATGTTCTGGAACTAGACAGTGGTGATCGTTGTGCAATCAGGTGGATATACTAAAAACCACGGAGTTGTACACTTTCAAAGGGTTAATTTTATGTTATCTAAATTAGATATCAAAAATTTTAAATCTACTATGAAAAAACAATATATGCCATATTAAATACCAAGCTTGTAGAAGGGATTCATGTAAAACAGACACATTATTTATATACATAAGAATTAAATTTTCTTGGTATTTTCAGCAGTTTCATAGTGATTCTCAAACATCCTTCAAGTCTTATAAAGTGCGATTAAGCCCCATCTTTTCCAAAGTGTATGTATGATTCTAAGAACTTTACATTTATCCATGTTAAATGTCAGGCCTCTGGGCCCAAGCCTACATGCATACATCCAGATGGCCTGAAGTAACTGAAGAATGACAAAAGAAGTGAAAATGGCCGGTTCCTGCCTTAACTGATGACGTTACCTTGTGAAATTCCTTCTCCTGGCTCAGAAGCTCCCCCACTGAGCACCTTGTGACCCCCCACCCCTGCCCGCCAGAGAACAACCCCCTTTGACTGTAATTTTCCACTACCTACCCAAATCCTATAAAACGTCCCCACCCCTATCTCCCTTCACTGACTCTCTTTTTGGACTCAGCCCGCCTGCACCCAGGTGATTAAAAAGCTTTCTTGCTCACACAAAGCCTGTTTGGTGGTCTCTTCGCATGGACACACGTGATATTTGGTGCTGTGACTCAGATCAGGGGACCTCCCTTGGGAAATCAATCCCCTGTCCCCCTGCTCTTTGCTCCATGAGAAAGATCCACCCATGACCTCTGGTCCTCAGACCAACAAGCCCAAGGAACATCTCACCGATTTTAAATTGGGTAAGCAGCCTCTTTTTACTCTCTTATCCAACCTCTCTCCCTATCCCTCAACCTCTTTTTCCTTTCAATCTTGGCGCCATCCTTCAATCTCTCCCTTCTCTTAATTTCAATTCCTTTCATTTTCTGGTAGAGACAGAGGAGACGCGTTTTATCCATGAACCCAAAACTCTGGCACTGGTCATGGACTTGGGAAGATAGTCTTTCCTTGCTGTTTAATCACTGCAGGGACACCTGCTTGATTATTCACCCACGTTTCAGAGGTATCTGATCACCGCGCGAATGCCTGCCTTGATCCTTCACCCTTAGTGGCAAGAACCACTTTCCTGGGGGCAAGCACCCCCCCACCCCTTCTCTCCATGTCTCTACCCTCTCTTTTCTCTGGGCTTGCCTCCTTCACTATAGGCAACTTTCCACCCTCCATTCCTCCTTCTTCTCCCTTAGCCTATGTTCTCAAGAACTTAAAACCTCTTCAACTCACACCTGACCTAAAACCTAAATGCCTTATTTTCTTCTGCAATGCTGCTTAACCCCAATACAAACTCGACAATGGTTCCAAATAGCCAGAAAACGGCACTTTCGATTTTTCCATCCTACAAGATCTAGATAATTCTTGTCATAAAATGGGCAAACGGTCTGAGGTGCCTGACGTCCAGGCATTCTTTTACACATTGGTCCCTCCCTAGTCTCTGTTCCCAATGCAACTTGTCCCAAATCTTCCTTCTTTCCCTCCCATCTGTCCCCTCAATCCCAACCCATCTGTCCTCTCAATCCCAACCCCAAGTGTTGCTGAGTCTTTCCAATCCTCCTTTTCTATGGACCCATCTGACCTCTCCCCTCCTCCCCAGGCTGCTCCTTGCCAGGCCAAGCCAGATCCCAATTCTTCCTCAGCCTCTGCTCCTCCACCCTATAATCCTTCTATCACCTCCCCTCCTCACACCCGGTCCAGCTTACAGTTTCATTCCACGACTAGCCCTCCCCCACCTGCCCAACAATTTCCTCTTAAAGAGGTGGTTGGAGCTAAAGGCATAGTCAAGATTAATGTTCCTTTTTATTTATCCGACCTCTCCCAAATCAGTTAGCGTTTAGGCTCTTTTTCATCAAATATGAAAAACCCAGCCCAGTTCATGGCCCGTTTGGCAGCAACCCTGAGACGCTTTACAGCCCTAGACCCAGAAGGGTCAGAAGGCCTCTTATTCTCAATATGCATTTTATCACCCAGTCAGCTCCTGACATTAAAAAAAAAAAACCAAAAAACAAACAAAAAAAAACTCCAAAAATTAGATTCCAGCCCTCAAACCCCACAAGAGGACTTAATTAACCTCGCCTTCAAGATGTACAATAATAGAGGCAGCCAAGTAGCAATGTATTTCTGAGTTGCGATTCCTTGCCTCTGCTGTGAGACAAAACCCAGCCACATCTCCAGCACACACAAAAACTTCAAAATGCCTAAACTGCAGTGGTCAAGCATTCCTACAGGACCTCCTCCATCAGGATCTTGTTTCAAGTGCCAGAAATCTGGCCAATGGGCCAAGGAATGCCCGCAGCCTGGGATTCCTCCTAAGCTGTGTCTCATCTGTGTGGGACCCCACTAGAAATCGGACTGTCTAACTGGCCTGGCTGCCACTCCCAGAGCCCCTGGAACTCTGGCCCAAGGCTCTCTGACTGACTGCTTCCCAGATCTTCTTGGCTTAGCGGCTGAAGACTGACGCTGCCCGATCACCTTAGAAGCCTCCTGGACCATCACAGATGCTTTAGGTAACTCTTACAGTGGAGGGTAAATCCATCCCCTTCTTAATTAATACAGAGGCTACCCACTCCACATTACGTTCTTTTCAAGGGCCTGTTTCCCTTGCCTCCATAACTGTTGTAGGTATTGACCGCCAGGCTTCTAAACCTCTTAAAACTCCCCAACTCTGGTGCCAACTTGGACAACATTCTTTTATGCACTCCTTTTTAGTTATCACCACCTGCCCAGCTCCCTTACTAGGTCGAGGCATTTTAACTCAATTATCCGCTTCCCTGACTGTTCTTAGGCCACAGCCACACCTCAATGCCACCCTTTCCCCAGTTCAAAGCCTCCTTCACATCCTCCCCTTGTGTGTCCCCACCTTAATCCACAAGTATAGGACACCTCTGCTCCCTCCTTGGCAACCTATCGTGCACCCCTTACCATCCCATTAAAACCTAATCACACTTACCCCGCTCAATGCCAATATCCCATCCCACAGCATGCTTTAAAAGGATTAAAGCCTGTTATCACTCACCTGTTACAGCGTGGCCTTTTGAAGCCTATAAACTCTCCTTACAATTCCCCCATTTTACCTGTCCAAAAACCGGACAAGCCTTACAGGTTAGTTCAGGATCTGTGCCTCATTAACCAAATTGTCTTGCCTATTCACCCCATGGTACCAAAGCCATATACTCTCCTATCCTCAATACCTCCCTCCACAACCCATTATTCTGTTCTGGATCTCAAACATGCTTTCTTTACTATTCCTTTGCACCCTTCATCCCAGCCTCTCTTCGCTTTCACTTGGACTGACCCTGACACCCGTCAGCCTCAGCAACTTACTTGGGCTGTACTGCCACAAGGCTTCGAGGACAGCCCCCATTACTTCAGTCAAGCCCAAATTTCTTCCTCATCCATTACCTATCTCGGCATAATTCTTCATGAAAACACATGTGCTCTCCCTGCTGATTGTGTCTGGCTCATCTCCCAAACCCCAACCCCTTCTACAAAACAACTCCTTTTCTTCCTAGGTATGGTTAAGTACTTCCGCCTTTGGATACTAAGTTTTACCATCCTGACTAAACCATTATATAAACTCACAAAAGCAAAGCTAGCTGACCCCAAAGATCCTAAATCCTTTAGCCACTCCTCTTGCCATTCCTTAAAAACAGCCCTAGAAACTGCTCCCACACTAGCTCTCCCTAACTCATCCCAACCCTTTTCATTACACACAGCCGAAGTGCAGGGCTGCGCAGTCAAAATTCTTACACAAGAGCCAGGACCACGCCCTGTAGCCTTTCTGTTCAAACAACTTGACCTTACTGTTTTAGGCTGGCCCCCACCCCCATGACTGTATCTCTCTGATCCACCTGACATCCACTCCATTTCCCCATATTTCCTTCTTTCCTGTTCCTTACCCTGATCACACTTGGTTTATTGATGGCAGTTCCACCAGGCCTAATCACCACTCACCAGCAAAGGCAGGCTATGCTGTAGTATCTTCCACATCTATCACTGAGGCTACTGCTCTGCCCCGCTCCACTACCTCTCAGCAAGCTGAACTCATTGCCTTAACTCAGGCCCTCACTCTTGCAAAGGGACTACGTGTCAATATTTATACTGACTCTAAATATGCCTTCCATATTCTGCACCACCATGCGGTTATATGGGCTGAAGGAGGTTTCCTCACTACACAAGGGTTCTCCATCTTAATGCCTCTTTAATAAAAACTCCTCTCAAGGCCACTTTACTTCCAAAGGAAGCTGAAGCCATTCACTGCAAGGGCCACCAAAAGGCATCAGATCCCACTGCTCAGGACAATGCCTATGCTGATAAGGTAGCTAAAAAAGCAGCGAGCATTCCAACTTCTATCCCTCACAGCCAGTTTTTTTCTTCCTCATCTGTCACTCCCATCTACTCCCCCATTGAAACTTCCACCTATCAATCTCTTCCCACACAAGGCAAATAATTCTTGGACCAAGGAAAATATCTCCTCCAGCCTCACAGGCCCATTCTATTCTGTCATCATTTCATAAACTCTTCCATGTAAGTTACAAGCCACTAACCCACCTCTTAAAACCTCACTTTTCCTTTCCGTCGTAAAAATCTATCCTCAAAAAATAACTGCTCAGTGTTCCATCTGCTACTCCACTCCTCCTCAGGGATTGCTCAGGCCCCCTCCCTTCCCTACACATCAAGCTCGGGGATTTGCCCCCGCCCAGGACTGGCAGATTGACTTTACTCACATACCCGGAGTCAGGAAACTAAAATACCTCTTGGTCTGGGTAGACACTTTCACTGGATGGGTAGAGGCCTTTCCCACAGGGTCTGAGAAGGCCACCGTGGTCATTTCTTCCCTTCTGTCAGACATAATTCCTCAGTTTGGCCTTTCCATCTCTATACAATCCGATAACAGACCGGCCTTTATTAGTCAAATCACCCAAGCAGTTTCTCAGGCTCTTGGTATTCAGTAAAACCTTCATACCCCTCACCATCCTCAATCTTCAGGAAAGGTAGAACAGACTAATGGTCTTTTAAAAACACACCTCACCAAGCTCAGCCTCCAACTTAAAAAGGAGGACTCTGTCAAGGATAGAGCCCAAAAACTCACCAACCAAGCAAGTAATTACACTGAACCCCCTTAGGCACTCTCTAATTAGATGTCCTGGGTCCTCCCAATTCTTAGTCCTTTAACACCTGTTTTTCTCCTTCTCTTATTCAGACCTTGTGTCTTCCATTTAGTTTCTCATTTCACACAAAACCATATCCAGGCCATCACCAATCATTCTATATGACAAATGCTGCTTCTAACAACCCCACAATATCACCCCTTACCATAAAATATTCCTTCAGCTTCATCTCTCCCACTGTAGGTTCCCACGCCGCCCCTAATCCCGCTCGAAGCAGCCCTGAGAAACATCGCCCATTATCTCTCCATACCACCCCCAAAAACTTTCGCCACCCCAACACTTTACCACTATTTCGTTTTCTTTTTCTTATTAATATAAGAAGACAGGAATGTCAGGCCTCTGGGCCCAGGCCTGCACGTATACATCTAGATGACCTGAAGTAACTGAAGAAAGACAAAAGAAGTGAAAATGGCCGGTTCCTGCCTTAACTGATGACGTTACCTTGTGAAATTCCTTCTCCTGGCTCAGAAGCTCCCCCACTGAGCACCTTGTGACCCCCCACCGCTGCCCGCCAGAGAACAACCCCCTTTGACTGTAATTTTCCACTACCTACCCAAATCCTATAAAACGTCCCCACCCCATCTCCCTTCACTGACTCTCTTTTCGGACTCAGCCTGCCTGCACCCAGGTGATTAAAAAGCTTTCTTGCTCACACAAAGCCTGTTTAGTGGTCTCTTCACACGGACGCACATGACATTAAATATATGCAATACTTCAGCCCAATGTCCTAACCTGTTAAAATTGTTTTTACTTTGCTTTTCCTATCTAATATGTTGGGCACTATTTATAGATATTTTGGCCAAGCAACCAGTTGATTTCTAGGACATTCTCTATTTCAAGTATGCCATCTGGTTAGCCTCCGAACAGAAACCATGATGTTGCTTCCCCTAATTGCAATTTTATCAACCAGCTTCGTTTATCAGACTTTCTTCCCCAGAGGTGATAAAAATAAAAAAACCTTTTTTTTCCAATTTATGTTTTCCTCCTTTTGGCTTGAAAATATGTGTACCATCTCAATTGATAAATTAATAAGTCACATGGTAGGAATTTTCCATGTCAGAGTTGCAAATGGTTTTGTTAAATTAACTGAGGAAACGTGGTTAGCCTGACATCTCTCAAGATCTATGCAGGAAGATGGACCACAAGAGAAGGAAATCTGTAAATATAATGAATTCATATGTGTTGAGAGGCAGGAGGCTTTAAAACACCATTAAATCCATTAAAAAAACAAAAGGTGGAGTGAGCACTGTGAAATGTGTGTGACCCAAGGGTCGAGTTCTGGTTCAGCTCATCAGCTGTGTTGCCCCCGGAGCACCTTCACTTCTACCCTCCTTCCAGGAGCCTTAGGGGTTTTGTTTGTAAAATTAGGAAAATCCTTGGTGAAACCAAGGACAAATCTGTAGTGATAACTACAGATCATCCCTAACTTATGAATCTCATTTGGGCAGTTAGGCCAGGAGACAGCCCTACTCTAGGTTTAGGAGGCATGTGGCTACTGGGTGTTCCCTGAGGAACGGGGACCACGTACTCAGTGAAAAGCCACGCCCTTAGCAGCTCAAAACACCACCTGAAACAGCCATATTTTTATCAGTCTGTAAAGGCCATTTGATCCGATTAAATCACATGTGAACTCACTGCAATTTAACAAGAAAGCAAGTACACAGATGAGCCATCCAGGGTGCTCTCCCAGGTGTGGACAGCAGCTGTGACAGCCCAGAGCCACAGCACGAGCTTGCCTGTTCCCTGGGTAAGTGCAGCAAATCCTTCCAGCAACAGGGCTGGGTACAGAATGGAGCATGTTTGCATCGAGTCCTGCCTCCTGGCAGCCTTCAAAAACTCTCCCAGAAAAAAATAATATGAACGTTAAAATTAAATCACCAGTACACGTGAACCTGGCACACACCATGGAGAAGGTGTGCTGTCGCAAAGAGGAGACAGGAAAATAGCCACCTTGTAACCAACCTTCCCAATCTTCCACAGGGAAATCCTAGCCCAGCACCCAATACAGGGCCAGGCACAGAGCCAGCACCCAGTACTGCGGAAAACTGGCCGTAAGGGATTTGCTTTTAGTAACATCTTGTCATTAACATCCTGACATGCTAAATGAGGTGGAATGTCATGGCAATTTTCTGGATAATTCCATTGAAATTACCTTTATGTGTGAAACGACAGAGTTTTATTTCCCTACCCCTGGTAGAGTCATTTCACTAGATAGGGACACAACCAAGGAATGACCTTACAGTTTTGCTACAACATCACTGTACCTATAACTATAACAATATCACTGTCCTATAACTATTACAACGTCACTGTACCTATAACTGTAACAATATCACTGTCCTATAACTATATCACTGTCCTATAACTATAACAATATCACTGTACCTATATCACTGTAACTACATCACTGTCCTATAACTATAACAATATCACTGTCCTATAACTATAACAATATCACTGTACCTTTAACTATAACTATACCACGGTAACTATAAGAATATCACTGTCCTATAACTATAACAGTATCACTGTCCTATATCACTGTACCTATAACTCTAACAGTATCACTGTACTAGTTTCCTATAACTATAACAATATCACTGTCCTACAACTATAACAGTATCACTGTACTAGTTTCCTATAACTATAACAATATCACTGTCCTATATCACTGTACCTATAACTCTAACAGTATCACTGTACTAGTTTCCTATAACTATAACAATATCACTGTACCTATAACTATAACAGTATCACCGTACTAGTTTCCTATAACTATAACAATATCACTGTCCTATATCACTGTCCTATAACTATAACAGTATCACTGTACTAGTTTCCTATAACTATAACAATATCACTGTCCTATATCACTGTACCTATAACTCTAACAGTATCACTGTACTAGTTTCCTATAACTATAACAATATCACTGTCCTATAACTATAACAGTATCACTGTACTAGTTTCCTATAACTATAACAGTATCACTGTCCTATATCACTGTACCTATAACTCTAACAGTATCACTGTACTAGTTTCCTATAACTATAACAGTATCACTGTCCTATGTCACTGTACCTATAACTCTAACAGTATCACTGTACTAGTTTCCTATAACAGTATCACTGTCCTATATCACTGTACCTATAACAGTATCACTGTACTAGTTTCCTATAACTATAACAATATCACTGTACCTATAACTCTAACAGTATCACTGTACTAGTTTCCTATAACTATAACAATATCACTGTCCTATATCACTGTACCTATAACTCTAACAGTATCACTGTACTAGTTTCCTATAACTATAACAATATCACTGTCCTATATCACTGTCCTATAACTATAACAGTATCACTGTACTAGTTTTCTATAACTATAACAGTATCACTGTCCTATATCACTCTACCTATAACTCTAACAGTATCACTGTACTAGTTTCCTATAACTATAACAGTATCACTGTCCTATGTCACTGTACCTATAACTCTAACAGTATCACTGTACTAGTTTCCTATAACAGTATCACTGTCCTATATCACTGTACCTGTAACAGTATCACTGTACTAGTTTCCTATAACTATAACAATATCACTGTACCTATAACTCTAACAGTATCACTGTACTAGTTTCCTATAACTATAACAATATCACTGTCCTATATCACTGTCCTATAACTCTAACAGTATCACTGTACTAGTTTCCTATAACTATAACAGTATCACTGTCCTATATCACTGTCCTATAACTCTAACAGTATCACTGTACTAGTTTCCTATAACTGCTGCTCTAGGGGCATAACCACAAACTTAGTGGTTAAAAACAACACAAATTAATTATCTTACTGTTCTAGAGATTGGGTCTTACTGGGCTAAAATCAAGACATCAGCAGGGCTTCTTCCTCCAGGACGCTCCACAGGGAAACTCTTTCCTCGCCCTTTTCAACTTCTAGAGGCCGCCTGCATTCCTTGGCTCACGGACCTTCATCTTCAAAGCCAGCAGTGTAATACCTTCAAACCTCTCTCTCTGGCTCTGAGCCTTCCGCCTCTCTCTTTTTCTTATGAGCCTTGTGAGCACTCAACCCTGTGAGTACATTGGGCCCATTCAGAAAATCCAGAGTAAACTCCCCATCTCGAAGCCCGTAACTGCATGCCATTGACAGAAACGCTTTTGCCAGCTATGGGAACACACGCACAGGTCCCAGGGCTCAGCACAGGGACGTCTCTGGGGGCTCCTATTCCACCTACCACAATCACAAAGTGAAGTAGTCCTACAATTACCAATTTCTGAAAGGGCACAGGGCTTCAGTGAGAATCCAGATTCCACGTTACTCAGCACCTTTATAGCGGTAGGTGTTCCTCCGGGACTGTACTTTAATAGGCAATTGTTCCTGAATGGGAAGAAAAGAGGTTACTTTGCTTTCTGCACTTTGAGGGGCAGGGAGCAGTGCAGGTAACAGTTAGTATTAAAATGCACAGTGGAAAAACAATGACCCTGATAATGAGTGGGTTAGGGGTCTGCATTATTAACCTAATGGACATCCTTCCCCTCGCAAAGGGGTAAAGGAAAAGTTAGGGTGAGAATGAGGCAGGAGACTCCGTGACACTAAACCCTCATTCTATAAGCAAGGCCTATGTGTGGGGCAAACGGAACTTCAGGAAAAATGACACCAAAATTCGCTTCAGGAAAGCGAAAAATGACACAGACTTCAGAAAATGACTTCAGAAAAAATGACACCAAAATTTTGCTTCAGGAAAAAATGACACCAAAATTGAGTAGAGCATGGAGCGATAGACAGTAGAGACTGGGAAGGTGACAGAGAGGTGGGAAGGGGGCGGGCGTTGAAAAATAGCTTAGTGGGTACAATGTACATGACTCCAGTGATGGATATACCAAAAGCCCAGACTTTACCACTGTAAAATACATCAAAGTAACAAAATTACACTTGTACCCCATACATCTATGCAAATAAAAATAAGATTTAAAAATAAGGAAAAAAATCACAAGTTAATATCAAATTGTGATTAGCTCTATGAATGAAATAAACAGAGCTGAGTGTGACTTAAAAGAGAATGCTCAGAAATGGGCTTTTGGAGGGGACGGTATTTGAGGAAAGACCTGCAAGAATCAGCTTTGGAGAAGTAGGGGAAGAGGATGTCAGGCTTTGAAGATGCGGTACAATTACATGCCAGGGGAAAAGAGTAGAGAAACAAATGAAATTAAATGAATTATTTAATTAAAAAATGAAGGGCGAGGCGCAGTGGCTCATGCCTGTAATCCCAGCGCTTTGGGAGGCTGAGGTGGGTGGATCACAAGATCAGGAGTTCGAGACCAGCCTGACCAACATAGTAAAACCCCGACTCTACTAAAAATACAAAAATTAGCCAGGCATGGTGGCGGACGCCTGTAATCCCAGCTACTCGGGAGGCTGAGGCAGGAGAATCGCTTGAACCCGGGAAGCGGAGGTTGTAGTGAGTCGAGATTACGCCACTGCACTCTAGCCTGGGCGACAGAGCGCGACTCCATCTCAATAAATAAATAAATAAATAAAAGATAAAAAAATAAAATAGAGTAAGTAAATGAGGAAAGTGGTTAGAATAAAAGCCCTGTTTGGTTTTTAGTTTGGGAACAAAAGAGGTTAAGAAGAATACAGTGAAATCCTGGAGGCACCAATACAAAGAACACACACCTTGAATTGTACTCACCGGTACTCTGCCTTGTGAAATGTTTGCGTGGCATATGAAAAAAACTGGCAGCGAATGTTACTGGTGCACCTTTTTTGGCATTCTTCAACACTGCTAACCTTAGACACATTAAAATTGACTCCTCTCATATCAACTCCTTTATAAATGTCTCGATGGCAAGCTGTACAAGAAAAATACATAGAGCAAATACAGTCCATTTTCTTTCTAGAGGTAGATTAGATACCCACTACCATTTGGGTTGGTAGTTTAGAATGATAATAGCCCAGTTTTGGCAACTGCTATATTAACTAAGGGATTTAAAATTTTTATTATGTACATAAATTATCGAACTCTGCTTGAAGTAAATACAATCCAATATTTTCCCTAAAGCACTAGCTTTGAAATTGGGTTACTTCACTTCTTAAACTGCAAGATGCATGCAGCAATACAGGTAAATTTCACGTTGAAATTATCAATGAGCAGTGGGAAATAAACAAGGCAATAATAATGAGGACACTGATAATGTGTGCTGAGGTTTGCATTATTAAAGAAACTGATGTGCCTTTGACCTTTCGCATTGAATGAAAGAGCTTCTCTATCTCCCAGTGTTATTTCTTTGCTTTCGACTTCTCCTGTCTGATGACAAATTGCATCCAGATCAATCATTACAAAATGTGGAGAGTTGTTGTTTACGCATGATGAAACCACTTCCATTCTTGCTTTAAAATAGTGTTAACTTCTATTTAAGCACCCTTTTCATTGAGATTTGTCTTACATGCAAAAGATACAGATAATTCTTTTCACAGACAGTGAAGCAAAATTAGGCTCTTTTTTTTTTTTTTTTTTTTGAGACGGAGTCTCGCTCTGTCGCCCAGGCTGGAGCGCAGTGGCGCGATCTCGACTCACTGCAAGCTCCGCCTCCCGGGTTCACGCCATTCTCCTGCCTCAGCCTCCCGAGTAGCTGGGACTACAGGCGCGCGCCACCACGCCCGGCTAATTTTTGTATTTTTAGTAGAGACGGGGTTTCACCGTGTCAGCCAGGATGGTCTCGATCTCCTGACCTCGTGATCCGCCCGTCTCGGCCTCCCAAAGTGCTGGGATTACAGGCGTGAGCCACCGCGCCCGGCCTCTTTTTTTTTTAAAGATTCAAATTTCTTGGTTAGACTTTTGGTTAAGGAAGTAATGTAACCAGAAGTATAAACTGTATACTTTTTTAAAGTTTTATTCCCCAAGATTATGTGGAATAAACCATAATCTACTACAGATACCTTTCCACTCCTAAGAAGTATGGTTGAAGTCATAAAACTAAATTTAAGGGTGGGAAAGACAGAAAATACACAAACTGTCAGGAAAACTATATGACAGTACGATGAGTTGGGCAGGGAGGTGGATTATTCACTGTGGTTCTTAAACACAGGAATTTGCAGACTGTGGAAACGAAGTCTCTTTCCTATTTTTCTGCATGTGAGAAAAGAACAGGCTAAGAGTTGGGATGCGACTCTTACAAATAAAAACTCTTTAAGTGTTCATACGGAAGCTCTAAATGCTTTTGACTAGAATTGTTCTTGAGTGTAGAGATTTTATGTACTTGGGAACAATTTTTCACTTTAAAAAACATTAAAAGCAAGCTAAGTGAGTAACAGTGAGTTTTAGAATACATGAACAATAACAGGAATATTGAGAAAGGCACAAATTACTTTTTCTTTAAATTTTGCTACAAGATACAACAATCAGAAATAGCACTTACTCGAATAATTTATACCAAATTGGATTAACATAAAAATTGATCTTTTAAAATAGGAAATGTACTCCACCTCACGTAGACTACACCTATTATACTGGCTAAGTCAGGCCCACATTTATAATGAAGGCATTGCCATCCTTTGATAACTGGTTAAAATGCAAACAGCAGGCTCAAAGTGTGTACGTATTGAAGAGGTGATATCAATGAGGGAGGAAAGGATGACAAATTTAAAAACATCTGAAATTTGAACCTACAAAATTAATTGTGCATAATGAAAATAAAATAGTAATGATATATAGTCATACATAGAATAACAGCAGTTATTTTAAGATTCTGACAACCCATCAGTTGAATCTTTTCAGCACTTTTCACTTTCTTATCAGTCCCAGTCATGTTTGAGAAATAGTTCATTTGTCTTAAATTTATTAGGATAGCATTGGAAACTGTTTCCCAAGACATCAGTAGCTTCAGATGTCAGAATCAAAGTTCTCTAGCATCCTAGTCCTCAAGTTTCCTTTAGGAAGTATTATTCTTAGCAAGATTTGCAGAACTCAGTTCTTCAATTTGGGCCTAGTGGTATATCACAGAGTTTCTTGATGTCAGCACTGTTGACGTTTTGGGCCAGAAAATTATTTGCTGTGGACGACTGCCCTGTGCCTTGTAGAATGTTGGTCAGCATTCAAACATTCTGGCCTCTACTTAGTAAATGCTAATAGCATCCTCCCTAGTTGTAGCCACCAAAAATGTCTCCAGACATTGTCAAATGTCCCCAGTGGAAGAGACAAAATCACTGCTGGTTGAGAATCACTGATGTAAAAATTACCCTCAAGTGAACTTGAGAGAGATGTTCCCTTGTGTTTTCTTAAAAATTCTTATCTGGAAACGAGACACAATTATTTGGATTCATTTTCTGCAAATCTTACACTTGAGCGCTAACCTCATAAATAATAGAGGCTCATTAAGTATGTGTTGATTTATAAAGACAATAGAAGTGTCCAGATGAATATGGGTCCCTCTTTTGTGTCCAGAATACTGCCCCATCTCCTATCTTTATGAGTGATGCCTTCCAAAAAGCTGTAGCAGTACAAACTTTGAGCAAAAGCTGTTCTAAGCGAGATCCAATATTAACTCAAATGTAGCTAAGAAATTCACAACTTACCACTTATTTGATGACCACATTGCTTCAAGGAATGTCCAGAAACTGCACCTGTTCGATGTACTTTTGGCAGGGTTCCTGTAACACTATCTTTCAAGAAGCAACCAAACCTATTTTAAAAGTAGCTTTACTTAGGAAGTAGAATAATAAACATACATTGAGGAAATGTCTAGCATTTTCTACACACTAACAAATAAAACCAGGAATAAGGAAAATAATATAGCTTCCCCAATACTTGCTGGAAAGAACACTCTTAGAGCTAATTTTATAACACCCCATAATATCTAACTCCATCACTGCGTTTTCTTTACACTCACATTTTTTAAGTACAGGAAATCAACCATATTAAAGAGTTAATGATTTTTCCTGTGTTCTTAAACTTTCAGGCAACTATGTTCTCAATTGGTAATTATTTTTGCAAATACTTTCATTTACTTAAAAAGTTAACTTAGTGATAAGAGCTGGATTTGTATATCGTGTTCATCTTGCTTATTAACTCCTTGTAGTCTGCACTTAATGGAAGACTTCCCTCTGTCTTAGATGTCCACCTTCATGTTAATTTCATTATTTATAAGAATTCTAGAACCTTCCTCCACTTTTAATATGATGATCCTCACATACAATCTGAGTTTTCTCTACAAGTTTAACATGTGGGATCAGAGAATGACTATCCAATTTCTAGTTGGTAAACTCACATAGAGTGAAGATGAGTAAAGAGTTATGAACATGGAAATGGGAACAACAAAGAAAAGCTTACTCTGGATATTAATCAAAAGGAAAAATCATTAAGATGAAACTGTGGCTCGTGATTAATAAGCATCTCTCTGACCTAATAAAAATTGTAATTACCGCTGGGTGCGGTGGCTCATGCCTGTAATCCCAGCACATTAGGAGGTAGAGGCAGGTGGATCACGAGGTCAGGAGTTCAAGGCCAGCCTGGCCAATGTGGTGAAACCCCGTCTCTACTAAAACTACAAAAATTAGCTGGACGTGGTGGTGCGTGCCTGTAATCCCAGCTACTTGGGAGGCTGAGGCAGGAGAATCGCTTGAACCTGGGAGGTGGAAGTTGCAGTGAGCCGAGATCACGCCACTGCACTCCAGCCTGGGCTACAAAGCGAGACTCCATCACACACACACACAAAATCGTAAGTACTATTTTTCCAATACTTTTACAAATTTCCAGTTAATAATACATATTCACACAAGCACAAGCACACATACACACACACACCATACATAGCATCATGCCACAGGTGCCCAAACTGGCTCACTATAGGCCCCATTTAGAACTGCCCTGTCCCAAAATCACAAGTTCTAGATCTTTCTCAATTACATTCTCAGCAAAATGCTTGTCTTATGTTATTTTCTTTGGACTGTGCTATCCGCTAATGTGATCATGGGTCACACAGTTAAATCTGTTTCTTTATTCAGATGAAATGTGCACCTGTTAGACTCTTTCTTGAGACAATCCCTTAGCCCAATGATATTCAAGCATTTTGAGGCTTTGAATAGAAAATGACTAGCTTCTACTACTTTAAAGAAACACAGTGATTGTTTAAAATGCAGATTCCTGGTCACAAGAAACTTTGGTTCAGCAGATCTGGGTTGTGGCCTAGGAATCTGCATTTGTAAGAACCACTTGACGGGATTTTGCTGAAGCTGGTCCTTGAACCCCGTGTGAGGAAGAACTCTCAGTTATACTACACCTTTCTGCACAAAACTGATTCAGTTTTGAAAAACAGCTTCTCCAATAATGAAATACCAACTTTTACCTTTTCTCCATGTCATTGATTGAACTTGCTGGAAGAAAACTGAATAGCAAACACCTTGGGTGGAATGTGCACCTCATCTGGCAGTATTGGGCATTTGGGGTGTACATGGAAGCTACATCCCCACCTCTGAAGAAGGCGTTTTCATAGAGTTGAGTCAGACATCCTGTGACAGAACCATAAAAATTAATTTGCGATAATTCATATAATAATTTTAATAAAAAGATATCTGTTGTCTTAACTTCTCCCACTGACTGACTACTCAAAGACCTGTATAATACAACTCTAATTATGCTGAGAAAATAAAATATATTAAGGCAACTATTTGAACAATGTATAGTGTTATTTAATTTTCTGGGTACTTCTGTATAAAACATTGGCTTATTTTCATTAAATTGCACAATAATTTGCACATAAATTCCCCACAATAAAATAAAATCCTAACTTAGTTTTTTCCTGTTGCCTGACATGCTATGAAAACATCATGCCTTAAAAAGAATAATATTTGCTCTATTTTCAAAACACTTTTGTAACAAACATCTCCACCAGCTTCTCACAATTCTGTAAGGGAAATTAGAGGCAGGCTTTGTTATCTGCATCTGGACTATGTTTTTTAAAAGAAAGTTAAATAACTGAGTCTCAGGGCACACAGACTTGCCCAAGATCCACACAGTTAGTGAAAGTCCTGTGACGGTCACCCAGCCCTGACTCCCAATCCTGTGTCCTTTTCTAGCATGCAATGCTAAACATTGTTCCTCATCTCAGTATGATTGAAACAAACTGACAGTATTTTTTACTCATTTTTAAGACAGTTTAAGCAAATGCATGCATATGCTAAATTGAAAATAAATTTTGAACTATTTGCTGTTTGGAATTATTCCCAGCTCTAAAATATACTGCACCCCACATATTATTAGAGAATTCGGTGTCTTTACTGGCTTTAATTTGTAAATTTGGATTTACCGGGAAAGACTGTCTTTGAAATCTGGTTAATAAGCTTTCCTGTTCAGGTAGCACATTCATTTCAGTTGTCAACTGGGACCATTAACCATGGCTATTCCAATGACAACCTGTCCATTCCCTGGGGCAGTAGTTACTCTTCAATTTAAATAGTACCTATTTTTTATTGCCTTTGAGGGAGTGGGCAGCTTAGACCACGTGCATTTTATTAAGCACTGGAGAGTGCCATCTTCTCTGCACTATCCTACCCCCTGGGGATTTGGCCCTGAGCCCCATTATGACCACCCAACCCAACAAGACTGCCTCTCTCCCTCTCTGAGGTGTGGCCAAGATGACCACCTCTCGGGTAAGGTTTATATTTGGAAAGAGCACAGATCTCTTCAAGTGGAAGCTTTTGGGAATACAAGTGTATTGCCTAGATTTCATGTATGCACAAAACATGGAGGAGTTGGTTTAGTGACAATACTAGTTACAAAAAGGCCTATTTTTTTCAGACAGTTGGTGGTTTTGACTGACTCATAATTATCAAGCAGTCACTCCTCTTCCAGCCCCCAGTTCCCATGCAAGGATGCATACAATGGCAGGTCCTGGCCCAGAGCTTCTCATTCTGCAACTGAGCCTCTGTGAACTGCTATGTGACAGTCAGGGAAGGGAGTGACTAGAAAGACACCAATTTTGTTGCTGAATGGAAAGAAACTTCTAGTAGGTGTTCTTGCTTATCCTCATAAGTTGGTGATCATGATGATAATGATGACCATGACAATGATAGCTGTGTCTGTGCTGTATTTTGGAGCCTATGTAAAGTACTATTATATAATTTATCTCATAATGATGGTGGCTTTCAAAGCTTTTACATGGGCCCCCATGTCCATGGACTTTGGGCAGATTATTCAGTCTTGTTTAACAATTCCACAAACAATAATGAGAATTAAAGTACTCAAATTTTAAAGAATTAGATAACAAATATGAAAAGATAATTTACAAAAGAAATAGAAGTGATTAGTAAGTATATGAAAATGGGAAGAATCACAAATATAGCCAAGTTAAAACAACTAGAAGCCATTTTATCCCTGAGATTAGCAAAAATGAAAAATTAAATAACCAGTGTTTGTATACTGGTTTTGATTGCAAATGATGGAAAACCTAGTACAAAGTGGCTTGAAAACAAATGAAATCTATTGGTTCAGGAGCCAAAAAGCCCATGGTGAATCTGGCTTAAAAAGTAACTGCACATTGTGCTCAACTGATAGCATCAGTGGACAATATGTCTCCTTCCACTTGCTCCAGTCTTGGTGTTACCATTACTCTCAAGCTCCACGTAGTAGCAAAATAGTACCAACAACTCAGGCCTGTGTATTGTCTTAAGTTTCAAGTCAAATTGGAAAAAAAAAACATAAGAGTCTTATTTCTAGATGTCTAAAGAAAAGCTTCATTGCAAGACGTTGGCTCTGATTGGGTCACCACAGCCAGGAGGATGTGTGCACTTTCTGGTTCAGCAGAAGAATCAGGGTCACCAGAACCACATGGACCAAAACTGAGAGGCAGTAGCTCTGCAGAAATAAATTAGGACACTGTTTCCAGAAAGATAAATATGTCAGGATGCAAAGCAACAGAAGCCTGTTAGAGTTGGCCTAAGTGGGGTAAATGAGCACTCTTATTAGCTGGTAGAAAAAGTCAACTATGGAGTAAACTTTCTGAAACCTAATTTCATGATACCACACCACAAAACCTTCAAAAATATTCACACCTTTGAATCTAGTATTTTTATTTCAAAAATTGTATTCTACAGAAATAACTGAATAAGAGCATAAGAATGTGCACACAAAAATACCATAAAAAGAGAAGAATAGCAAGCTCCAAAATATATTACTTATTTGCACCAAAAGATAGCTATAAGTGGAAAATGCAAGTCAAAGAGTGTCCACAGTTAATAACTCTTTTTTGTGAAATGTGCAAATAGGTATATGTAGAAAAATATCTGAAAGACTAAATAAAAGATGTTTAACGATGACTGTTTCTGAATTTGGGGACTACATGCAATATGTAGTTTCTAAATTTTTGCTTACTTACATCCCTGATTTTCCTAGCCATAATCATGATTTATTTTGCCAAAAAACAAAACAAAACAAAAAAATGAAAAACCCCCTGTAGTTGGCTGTGGTTCCCAGTGTCTCTGGCTTATGCTCCTTCTCACCTTTCAGTGGGTTTGCACATGGGTTTGTAAATTACGGTTTAGAAGAGAAATCAGGGTTGAGGGACAGACACAGGGGAGTTGTGATTTAGGGGGAATAAAAGTCTTTTTTCCTGGAAAAAAAAAGGTCTCTTTATGAATGTAAACCTTACCTATAGATGTTTATTGTAGCCATACATCTGAGGAAAATTAAATACTCATTGTTGTGTGGCCCTCTTAAGTCACCATAGACCCAGAATCATGCCTTGTGGGGACACAGAGAAAACTCCCTCTGTAATGATTAATGAAATGTCCAGAATCATTTTTATTCTCCAAAAATTAATGAAATTAATAGAGAAATGAGATCTAAATCTGGTGTTGAAAGCTATTCACCTAGAACTATCCAAATGCATGGTTTGCTAAGTTAAATTTAAACCAGTTACTTTCATTTTTGAAATGGTTCCCTAGCGGTCCAGAGTAAAACTATGTATGGTGTTCCTAACAGATACTTGGATTGGACCCAGACACTATAAAATGCCTAGCACTCTTTTGAATTTTCAGATAAAGTTTAATTTTTTACTGTTGATAATAAAAATAGAGGACTAATTTTTTTTTGTTTCAAGTTTTGCTTTGCAGAGTGTCATCTGCGAACAGAAGTTTTTGTTAACACAAGTCCCAAGACATTCCTACTTCTGAGCTCCTTCCTCTGGTCTGCAACATATGTCTACAGCAATATACCTGACAAGTGGTCCTTGTTGTGGAACATTAAATAGACACGTGTCCTGAATCATCAGGGACAATCTCCACCCCCGAAGCTGTATGTTCAATAGCTTTCTCCAGGGGTGGTGCCACTTGCTTGGCTACTCCTGTCTTAGCCTGAATTCCATGTTTTATAGATAATTCACTTACCACAGGAAACTGTAGCAAACAAGGAAATGAAATAAGTTGCTTGCTTGAATAAAATCATTCTAAAAAAGAAAACAATACATAACTCTGCTGGTTTTAGACCACATTTAACATAAATCTTAATTTAAGGTGATTTAGATTTTCTTGTAAATGTCTGAATTGCAAGACAAAGCACACAATTACTGGTATAGAAAACAAGGGTTTTTTTTTGGTACATTTGTGTCTAGGGAGTTGGAAAATTTATAATGCTTCCCAAGATACAAATTGAGACCTCCAGACTACTGTTGTGTTTATTGTTCATTGGCCAACTCTGTGGCTAGTAATGTTGGAAAGGGAATTGGTAGAGAGAGAGTAAACAATTATGAAACCTCTTGATTTGGGCAAAAACAAAATTAATAAATAATGGCAATAATGTCAGTCCAAAAATCCCTAAGTAAAGAAAACCTCTGAAAATATTAAAGCCCATTTAAAAATTTTAAATCAATCAAATATTCTTTCTGATTTAAAATCATCTTACATTTAAATATTTCTACATAAAGGAACATTATCTATACTCTCTACATACTCAGGAAATTAGAATATAAATGATTAATTTTCTCATAAAGTAAAAAATTATACTTAAAAATTATAGTTTATTTGGAAACAATCAGAATAATAAAAATTTGCTACCTGAAAACACAATTGCTTCTTGGAGGTGAGTCTCTTGTCACTTAAAAATGAACGGTCTTCAAGCTGTTCTAATGTGGCACTGCAGGCAATATTTTGCTTGGCTTCAATATTGACTTTGGGTTTCTGCCAACAGTTTCAACTTTTTGTCCTGTCAACATATTCCATGAACATCCTATCCGTGTTCAGCTGTTAAGTATATTAACTATTTCAGGGAGTGATGTCAGCAAGAATAGGAATAGGAGTTTGTCAGAACAGGAGTTTCTAGCGCTCATCCCTTGCAGAAACATCAATTCGAACAAGTATCCATGCACGAAAATAACTTCACTAGAGCTAAGGAATCAGGTGAGAGGTTATGCCACCTGGTTGCAGCACAGAAATAAGAAAAGACACATAGAAGTGTATAGGAAGGACAATTTCACATTACCGGTGTCATCTCACCTTCAAGCCTGGGCAGCACAGTATGGAGAGAGATGCCCTCTTGCATGGAGGAGGGACAGTTAAGATAGAACCTAACTTCACCACAGATCCCAAGCACCAAGCCCACTCCAGTAAACCCCAGCACCAGGATTCAGGCCTGCCACAGGCCAGACCAGCCTCTGTGGCCTCAGCCCCATGCTCACCCCAGACCAGGTCAGCCCCTGGGGCTTCAGGCTCCAAGATGGCCACACAAAACCTAGACTTCAGGCCTGCTCCAGCTCTAGCCTGGCCCCCAAGACTCTATCTAGCCTCCACGTTAGCCCCAGCAACCCCAGGCTCCAAGTTGGCACCCATGGGCCTAGAATCCAGGCCATCCCCTGCAGATCCAGCACCAGGTCAGCCTCCAGAGATCTTGGCTCCATGCTGGGCCATGTGGACCCAGATGCTGGGCTCACCCCAGTGGACCTTGTTCCCAGGACAGCCTGAATAAACTCAGGAACAGGCCTATCCCCATGAACTCAGGTGCCAGGTGATCCCCATGTTAGGCTGGCCCCTGCAGACGCAGGCTTAAGGCTCATTTCAGTGCCAAGTCAGCCCCCAAGGATCCATGCTTCAAGCCAGTCCTTGTGCACAGAATACAGACAACCACAGTGAATGAACCCAGAATCCAGCCCTTCCCACCTTAGAACTCCAGCAGAAATCCTGTGCATAGACCCCAACAGACAGCCCACCAACAATCTCTGGTCAATCTGACTAGTGAATGGCTTTCTCTGCTGAAGCTAGTATGTAAAGACTGAAATAGGTGCCTACTTCAGTGCAAGGCCACACTGATCACAAATAATCGGGGAAACAAGAAACCACCAAAGGAAGGAAATAAAGCAGCAGGAGGTGACCCTAAAGAAATGGAGATCTTTACTGCATGACAAGAGCTAAAAATAATTGCCTTAAGAAAGCTCAATAAGCTACAAAACAATATAGATAGACAGTAAACAAAATCAGGAAAACAATACATGAGCAAAATTAGAAGTTCAACAAAAAGATAGATAGGAACCATAAAAAAGAATGAAACAGAAATTCTGGAGCTAAAGAACAAAATGACTGAATTGAAAAAATTCACAAACAGCTTCAGCAGCAGACTAGATCAAGCAGGAGAAAGAATCAGCATGCTCAGATACAGGTCATTTGAAATTACCCAGTCAGAGTAATAAAAGGAATGATAAAAATTGCAGAAAGCTGACAAGACTTATAGGACACTGTTAAGAAAATTAATATGCATTAGAAGAGTTCCAGAAGAAGTAGAGAAAGAGAAAGTTGCAGAAACTTATTTAAAAAAATAAGAATAGAAAACTCTCAAAATTTGGAGACATAAATGAAATAAACATCCAGATTTATGAAGCCCAAAAGAACTCCAAATAGATTAAATATAAAGAGATCCTCGGCCAGGTGCAGTGGCTCATGCCTGTAATCCCAGCACTTTGGGAGGCCAAGATGGGTGGATCATGAGGTCAGGAGATCGAGACCATCCTGGCTAACACAGTGAAACCCCATCTCTACTAAAAATACAAAAAAAATTTAGCCAGGCGTGGTGGTGGGCACCTGTAGTCTCAGCTACTCCAGAGGCTGAGACAGGAAAATGGTGTGAACCCAGGAGACGGAGCTTGCAGTGAGCCGAGATTGCGCCACTGCACACTGCACTCCAGCCTGGACAACAGAGCTAGACTCCATCTAAAAAAAAAAAAAAAAAAAAGAAATCCTCACCATGACAAAGAGAGAATTTTCAAAGAAGCAAGAGAAAAGCAATTCTTCACATACAAGGGAAGCTTCATAAGATTATTGGTGGATTTCTCAGCAGAAATCATGTAGGCCAAGAGAGAGTGGGATGATATATTCAAAGTATTGAAAGTACAAAACCTGGCAACCAAGAATATAATATCAGGCAAAGCTGTCCTTCAGAAAGGAAGGAGACAAAAAGAATTTCCCAGATGTATTAGTCCAGTTTCACACTGCTGTAAAGATACTACCTGAGACTGGGTAATTTATAAACAAAAGAGGTTTAACTGACTCACAGTTACCCATGGCTGGGGAGGCCTCAGGAAACTTATAATCACGATGGAAGGCAGAGGGGAAGCAGACACCTTCTTCACAAGGTGATACGAGAGAGAGAGTGTGTATGTGCAGGGGAAACTGTCACTTTTAAATCCCTCACTATCATGAGATCACAGCACAGGGGAAACCACCTCCATGATCCAATCACCTCTCACCAGGCCCCTCCCATGTAATCCCATGTGGGGATTACAATTCAAGACGAGATTTGGATGAGGACACAGAGCCAAACCATATCATTCTTCCCCTGGCCTTTCCCAAATCTCATGTCCTTTTCAGATTTCAAAACCAATGATGTCTTTCCAACAGTCCCCCAAAGTCTTAACTCATTCCACAGTAACCCAAAAGTCCGAGTCCAAAGTC
This sequence comes from Homo sapiens, assembly GCF_000001405.40. Classification (NCBI taxonomy): domain Eukaryota; kingdom Metazoa; phylum Chordata; class Mammalia; order Primates; family Hominidae; genus Homo; species Homo sapiens. The sequence goes on along the minus strand of NC_000004.12, from coordinate 186,224,704 downwards.
TCATTTGAGACAAGGCAAGTCCCTTCCCTCAATGAGCCTTTAAAATAAAAAACAAGTTAGTTACTTCCAAAACACAATGTGGGTACAGGAATTGGGTAAATGTTCCCATTCCAAATGGGAGAAATTGGCCAAAATAAAGGGGCCACAGGTCCCAAGCATATGCAAAACCTAGCAGGGAAGTCATTAAATTTTAAAGCTCCAAAATAATCTCCTTGGAGCCCCTGTCTCACACCCAGGGCATGCTGATGCAAGGTGTGGGCTGTTAAGGCCTTGGGCAGCTCTGTCCCTGTGGCTTTGCAGGGTACAGCCCCTACGGCTGCCTTCATGGGCCGGCACTGAGTGCCTGCAACTTTCCAGTCAGTGGATCTACCATTCTGGCATCTGGAAGATGGGGGAACTCTTTTCACAGCTCCACTGGGCAGTGCTCCAGTGGGGTCTCTGTGTGTGGGCTCCAACCCCACAGTTCACCTCTGCACTGCCCTAATAGAGGTTCTCCATGAGGGCTGGGTCCCTGCAGCAGGCTTCTGCCTGGACAGCCAGGTGTTTCCACACATCCTGTGAAATCTAGGCAGAGGCTCTCAAAGCTCAGCTCTTGTTTTCTGTGAACTCGCAGACCCAAGAGCACGTGGAAGCCACCAAGGCTTGGGGCTTGCACCCTTGAAGCGACAGCCTGAGCTATGGACCCTTTTAGTCACAGCTGGAGCTGGAGTGGCTGGGGCACAGGGCACCAAGTCCCAAGGCTGCACAGAGCAGCAGGGCCCATGAAACCATTTTTCCCTCCTAGGCCTCTGGGCTTGTAATGGGAGGGGCTGCCTTGAAGACCTCTGAAATGCCCTGGAGACATTTCCCCATTGTTTGGCAATTAACATTCAGCTCCTGATTACTTATGTAAATTTCTGCAGCCGGCTTGAATTCCTCCTCAGAAAATTGGTTTTTCTTTTCTACCACATGGTCAGGCTGCAAAATTTCCAAACTTTTATGCTTTGCTTCCCTTTTAAACATAAGTTCCAATTTCATACCATCTCTTTGTGAACGCATATGACTTGACTGTATGCTTTCAGAAAAAGCCAGGTTATATTTGAATGCTTTTCTGCTTAGAAATTTATTCTGACAGATACCCTAAATCATCTCTCTCAAGTTCAAAGCTCCACAGATCTCTAGGGCAGGGGCAAAATGCTGCCAGTCTCTGCTAAAGCATAGCAAGAATGGCCTTTGCTCCAGTTCCCAATAGTTTCTCGTCTCCATCTGAGACCATCTCAGCCTGGACTTCATTGTCAATACGACTATCAGCATTTTGGTCAAAACCATTCAACAAGTCTCTAGGAAGTTTCAAACTTTCCCACATCTTCCTATCTTCTAAGCCCTCCAAACTGTTCCAACCTCTGCCTGTTACCCAGTTTCAAAGTTGCCTTCACATTTTCAGGTTGTCTTTATAGCAGTACCTCACTCTGCCAGTACCAATTCTCTGTATTGTTTATTTTCACACTGCTAAAAGATATCACCTGAGACTGGGTAATTTATAAACAAAAGAGGTCTAAATGACTCACAGTTCCTCATGGCTGGGGAGGCCTCAGGAAACTTACAATTATGGTGGAAGGTGAAGGGGAAGCAGGTACCTTCTTCACAAGGCAGCAGGAGAGAGAGAGAGCATGTGCGCACGGGTAACCACCACTTTTAAACCATCAGATCTCATGAGAACACCCTCACTATCATGAGAACATAATGGGGGAAAACACCTCGTGATCCAATCATCTCCCAACAGGTCCCTCCTTTGACACCTGGGGATTGCAATTCGAGATGAGATTTGGGTGGAAGTTCAGGAACAAATCATATCACCAGACAAATAAAAGCTGTGGGATTTCAACACCATTAAACCTGCCTTACAAAAAATGCTAAAGGGAATTCTCAAGTTTAAACAAAAGGACACTAACTAACATGAAAACAAATGAAAGAATAAAACTCTATTAAAGGTATTCTTATACAGTCAAATACAGAATACTCCAATACTGTTATTGTGCAACAGTCACTTTTAACTCTAGTATAAAAGTTAAAAAACAAAAGTATTAACAAATAACTATAACTACAACAATTTGCTAATGAATACACAACATACAAAAGATATAAACTATGGCATGAATAATAAAATGTGGGAGGAGGAGAAGTTAAAATACAGTATTTTTAAATGCAGTCAAAGTTGTTACCAGATTAAAATGGATGGTTATAACTATGAAATATTTTATGTAAACCTCATGATAACCACAAAGAAAAAGTCTGTAGTAGATATACAAAACATAAAGAGAAAGGAACCAAAGCAAATTGCTCCAAAAAAGTTATTAAGTCACAAAGGAAGACAGTGAGACAAAAAGAAGCAACAAAGGAACTACAAAACAATCAGAAAACAATTAACAACATGATAGTAGTAAGCCTTTACCTACCAATAATTACTTTAGATGTAAATGTATTAAATTATCCAATCAAAAGAGAGAGTGGATGAGTGAATAAAAAACAAGATCTAACTATATGCTGCCTGTAAGAGACTAACTTTAGCTTTAAGGACAGACATAAGCTGGAAGTGAAGGGATGAAAAAGAGATTGCATTCACATGATAACCAAACGAAAGCAGAGGTGGCTATCCTTATAACAGATGAGATAGAGTTTAAGTCAAATACTGTCACAAGAGACAGAGAAGGTCATTATATAATGGTAAAAGGGTGAATTCATTAAGAGGATATAACAATTGTAAATACACATGTACCCAAAATCAGTGCATCTAAATCTATAAAGCAAATATTAACATAACTAAAGGAGAAATAAATAGCAACATGCTTTCAACAATGAATAGATCACCTGGACAGAAAATCAACAAGGAAACTGTGGATTTCAAAATGCTATAAACCAATAGACCTAACGGACATGTGCAGAACATTCCTTTCAAAAGCAGCAGAATGCACATTCTTTTTAAGTGCACACAGAACACTCTCCAGGATAGGTTATATGTTAGGCCATGGAAAACATCTTAACAAATTTAAGGATTGAAATCATATCAAGTATCTTTTCCAACCATAATGGCATAAAAGTAGAACTCAGTAACAGAAGGAAAAATGGAAAATTCACAAATACATGAAAATTAACATACTCCTGAACAACCAATGAGTCAAAGAAGAAATCAAAAGGAAAATCAAAAAATGTCTTGAGAAAAATGAAAAGAGAAACAAAATTTGTGGCATTGAAAATTTATGGGATGCAGCAAAAGCAGTTCTAAGAAGGAAGTTTATAGCGATAAATACCTACCTTAAGAAAATGGAAAGATCTGAAATATCCTAACTTTACACCTGAAGCAATAAGAAAGTAAAAAAAAAAAACTAAGCCCAAAGACAGAGGAAGAAAGAAAATAATAAAGATCAGAGCAGAGATAAATGAAATAGAGACTAGAAAAACAACAGAAAAGGTCAATGACACTGTTATTGTTTTTAAAAAGATAAATCAAGAAATCTTTAGCCTAATTAGGAGAAAAAGAAAAAAAACTCAAATAAAATTATAAATGAAGGAGGAAAGATTACAATGGATACCACAGAAATACAGAAAATCATGAGACTACTATGAAAAACAGTACATCAACTAATTAAATAATGTAGAAGAAATAGATAAATTCCTAGGAACATACAACCTACCAAGACTGAATCAGGAAGAAATAGAAAATCTGAACAAACCAATAATGAGTAAGGAGGTTGAATCAGAAATAAAAACTCTCAACTAAGAAAAGCTCAGCACCTGATGTCTTCATTGGTGAAGTCTATAAACATTTAAAGAATTAACACCAATCCTTCTCAAACTCTTTCAAATAATTGAAAAGGAGGAAACACTTCCAATCTCATTTAATGAGGCCAGCATTACTTTGATAGCAGAGCCAAACAAGGACATCACAATAAAATAAAATTAAAATTATAGATCAATATTCCTGATGAACATAGATCCAGAAATCCTGAAGAAAATATTAGCCAGACTAAATTCAACAACACATTAAAAGGATCATGATCAACTGAGCCTAGGATGCAAGGATGGTTCAACATATGCAACTCAATAAATGCTATATACCACATTCACAAAATGAAGGATAAAAATCATATGATCATCTGAAGAGAGGCACTTACAACTACATGCAGAATCTAAAAAAGTCAAAGTCATGCTAACAGAGAGTAGAATGGTGGTAGCCAGAGTATGGGGAGTGCCAGCTATGGGGTGGTTTTGGTCAAAAGGTCCAAAGTTCCAATTATGCAGTGTGAATAAGTTGGAGGATCTAATGTACAACATTGTTTCCCGTCATCCTGAAGCAGCTGTATTGATAGAACGGTGGAATGGCCTTTTGAAGTCACAATTACAATGCCAACTAGGGGACAATACTTTGCAGGGCTGGGGCAAAATTCTCCAGAAGGCTATGTATGCTCTGAATCAACATCCAATATATGGCACCGTTTCTCCCATAGCCAGGATTCACAGGTCTAGGAATCAAGGGGCAGAAGTGGAAGTGGCACCACTCACCATCACCCCTAGCTATCCACTAGCAAAATTTTTGCTTCCTGTTCCCAATACATTACCTTCTGCTTGCTTAGTTGTGTTAGTTTCAGAGGGAAAAATGCTGCCACCAGAAGACACAACAAGGATTCCATTAAACTGGAAGTTAAGCTTGCCACCTGGACACTTTGAGATCCTTTTACCTCTAAGTCAACAGGCTCAGAAGGGAGTTGCAGTGTTGGCTGTGGTGATTGACCTGGACTATCAAGATGAAGTTAGTCTATTACTCCACAGTGGAGGTAAGGAAGAGTATGCAAGGAATACAGGAGATCCCTTCAGGCAACTCTTAGTATTACCATGCCCTGTGATTAAGGTCAATGGGAAACTACAACAGCCCAATCCAGGCAGTGCTACATAAGGCCCAGACCCCTTAGGAATGAATGTTTGGGTCACTCCACCAGGTAAAAAACCACAACCTGCTGAGATGCTTGCTGAAGGCAAAAGGAATACAGAATGGGTAGTAGAAGAAGGTAGTCATCAATACCGGCTATGCCCACGTGACCAGCTGCAGAAATGAGGACTGTAATTGTCATATTTCCTCCTTATTTTGTTAGGAACATGTTTGTGTATGTATACACTTGTACTAAGAAAATATCTTCATTTTATTTCCTTTCTTTTTCCTTTATCATGTGACATAAGATTTATTTACTTCAAATCAGCATTTAAATGTTGTTAACTTTATGTAACAGCATTTGGGTTGGGGATTGGTACACTTCTGGTTGTACGAAGGATAGCTGTATTATGTATTACCTAACATAATTATGACCTTATTATTATCTTTATTTGAAGATTATATATGATTTCAGGAGATGCGTATGGGTTCAAGTAGACAAGGGGTGGACTTGTGATGGTTAATATTGAGTGTCGGCTTGACTGGATTGAAGGATGCCAAGTATTGTTCCTGGATGTGTCTGTGAGGGTGTTGCCAAAGGAGATTAATATTTGAGTCAGTTGACTGGGAGAGGCAGACCCACCCTCAATCTGGGTGGGCACCATCTCAGCTGCCAGCCGGGCTAGGATAAAAGCAGGCAGAGGAACGTGGAAGGACTAGACTGGCTAAGTCTTCTGGCCCTCATCTTTCTCCTGTGCTGGATGTTTCCTGCCCTTGAACATTGTACTCCAAGTTCTTCAGCTTTTGGACTCTTGGAGTTACACCAGTGGTTTGCCAAGGGCTCTTGGACCTTTGACCACAGACTGAAGGCTGCACTGTTGACTTTCTTGCTTTTGAGGTTTTGGGACTTAGACTGGCTTCCTTGCTCCTCAGCCTGCAGGCAGACTATTGTGGGACTTCACCTTGTGATCGTGTGAGTCAATACTCTTTAATAAACTCCCCTTTATATGTACATCTATCCTATTAGTTCTGTCCTTCTAGAGAACCCTGACTAATGCAAACATGGTGACTATAGTTCATAATACTGTATCGTATACATGAACTTCACTAGAGAATAGATCTGATGGGTTCTCAGCACACACACATGCGCACACACACACACACACACACACTATGTAAAATAATGGACATGTTAATTAGCTTGACTATGGTAATCATTTCACAATGTACATGTATATCAAAACACTATCTTGTACACAGTAGATATATATAATTTTTATTTGTAAATGATACATAAAAAAAGGTAGAAAAATGCTGCACTCAAAAGGACCCTAATTTCATTTTAGGGTCACACAGTTTATGCACAGGTTTCCATTTTAAAAAATGCTTATAACATTCCCAGTATTTAGTGGCATGTAGTTGAAACCTCATCTAACAGAACTTTTTTTTATTAGAGTTGCTTGCAGGCACAGTGAATAATGGATGGGTATGGATAGCTCCTCCTAGAGGGATATTTTAGCAAATGATATCTATGCCTTCCTACACCCTACCAAAGAATCATATAACACTGAAATCTTAGATTTGGAAGGGACTGGCTTGATGTTTAGGTCCTATTCCCACCCAATTCAGGAAATGCAATATATCAGGCTTGACAAACCACAGTTCACAGACCACATTTGGCTTTGCACCTGTTTTTGTAAATAAAGTTTTATTGAAACACAGCCATGGCCATTCATTCACTTGCTGTCTATGCCTGCTTTCACCTTACAATGGCAGAGTTAAGAAGTTGCTACAGAGGCAGCATGGCCTCAAAAGCCAAGAAGATTTACTATCTGACTCTACAGATAAGGTTGGCTGAAATCTGCTGGATAACACTTCTGACATAGACTTTAGACCTTCCTGTCAAAATACTTCGACTGAGGAGAAACTGGTTTCCTAAGCAGCCTGCTCCAACTCAGGGAGCTCTATTTTAATTTTATTTTATTTCAGAGCTCAGGGAGCTCTATTTTAATTTTATTTTTAAGAAAAGAAAAAAACTTCCTGTATACTGAAATACACCTCCTTGCAAACTTCTATCCTTCAGTCCTAGATTTACGTACTAGACCCACACAAAACAACTGATTCTCCTTTTTCTGCTTTTAAAATATTTAAAGACCACAATGACCTGCCCACTAAATCTCCTTTGTTTTCTATTCTTTGAAATTACAGTATATCATCTTGATTAGTACATTAGAGTTTTTGGAGTCGATTCTTAAATAAATATTTTATGTATATTACTGGAATGCAGAACTACATTTATTAGAAATGTAGGATAATGTTGCCAATAAAATATTTTCTGGTGAGAAGGAAGTAGCATATTTTAAATATGCATGTTGTGCTGTCTTTTAGGATATCAAGTGGTGCAGCAGTAGTCAACAAATCTCTCCACTTTGTGCAGTAGAAAAGAGTTTATATTTTAGATTTCATCAGCTACCAGGCTCAGCAGAAAACAAGAACAACAACAACAACAACAAAACAACTGGGACAAAAGCACCCTGCCTTCACATCACAGCAGAAACCCTCAGGGTTTGTTTTTCTAAAAGGTGAGATTACAGACTTTTAACCTATTTAAATATGCTTCTAGGTTTAGTTGGAGTTTTCTTACAGTGAAACATGTTACATTCTAGTAGCACAATAAAACTAAAAAAACCTCTGTAGATTCAGGTGAACCAAATCAGAACTAAATTGAAAAGAGGCGTGGTAAGTAGAATTCTAAAACATTCTCCCAAATCTCCCACTCAAATCCTGGGGACAGTGAATAAAACGAGATATCACATCTGCCCATGATTATGTTACATGAGAAAAGCAATTCTGCAGATGGGGTTAAGATTACTAAACACTTGGCTTTGTGCCAATCAAAATGGAGTCAATCAGAGTGGGCCAAATCTTATTACATGAGCCCATTAAAAGCAGAGTTTTCCTCTGCGGTCAGCATAAGGAGATGTCAGAGAGATTCAGAGCGTTAAGAGGGATTGACAGCAGGGAAGTGCTCCAGCGCTGGCTTTGAGATGGGTCACGGGGAAGGACCTGAGAGTCATCTCTGGACAAGAGCCAAAAAGAACATGGGGATTTCACCCCTACCATCCCAAAGCACTGAATATTCCAACAAACTGCACGTGCTTGAAAGAGGATTTTTCTCCAGAACCTCCCCTTAGACACGTGCCAGGATGGAGCCCTCTCCACCTCCCCTTGTCCCAGATCCCCACGTGACTCACTTCAATCAGACCACTGCTCAAACATCATCTCCTCAGGATACCATCCTCCAGCAAGCATCTCATCTGAAAAGGCACCTTCCATCTCTTCCACCTCCTGTCTCTTCACCATTCTTTGTCTTTCTGCGTAACGCTTCTCACTCCCTGCCATTCTGTTACCTCCTTGTCCATTTCTCTGTTGTTTTTCAGACGCCCACTGTCTGTAACACCTTGCTGGTAGGACTGGGGCTTGCTTGCTGTCTTTCCCCAGCTCCCTCAATAGAACTTGGCAGACTTTTATGAATGAAAGAGTAAAACGATAAATAAATAAGCACATGAATAAGGAATGAAATATCTTTTAAAAACAAGAGATTGAGGACAGGAAGGTTGCTTTCCCCGCAGTTGTGGACCATCTCATCCTCACATGAAAGTCACAATCGCACATGTAAGCTATTACCTGCCAGTCTTAGATGACACTGAAAATGATTGTTGGATGAATTCTGATTGGTCCTTGTTCTGCTGAATGCCCTTTGCTGGGAGCAAATGTCGTCTTGAGGTTCCGTCCAATTGCATCATATGAGACACTGCAGTCCTTGCCTTTCCAGAACAGCATTGCTTTTGGTAATAATAAACCAACACTGGCTACAACATCAAGCATTATTGATGGGAGTCAAAATTAAGGCATAGACAGCTGAAAAAACTGAAGCACAATCCCACTCCTAGGAAGATGTGGCAATATGAAAAAATTAGTTGTGCCTGAGTGATTTAAATGTCTTAATTTAGCCTGGGAAACATGGCCAAACCCCAACTGTACAAGAAAAATTACAAAAATTAGCCAGGCACGGTGGCATGCACCTGTAGTCCTAGCTACTCAGCAGACTGAGGTGGGATGATCCCTTGAGCGCAGTAGGTGAAGGTTGCAGTGAGCCACAATTGCGCCACTGCACTCCGGCCTAGGTGACCCTGTCTCAAAAAATAGATAGATAGATAAATAAATAAATAAATAAATAAATGTCTTAATTTACTGTATTTCCATAAGCATAAAACTTAAAACTTGGGCTTGACTTGCGCAAGCAAGGACGCAAAGCCTAGAGGTAGAATATAGAAAAAAAAAAAGGAAAGCAAGCAAGCAAGGAGAGAGAGAGAGAAAGCAAGAGAGAAAGCAAGGAAAGAAAGAAGAAAGCAAGGAAAGAAGGAAGGAAGGAAGGAAGGAAAGAAAGAAGGAAAGAAAGAGAAAGAAAGAGAAAGAAAGAGAAAGAAAGGCTACTCTCCTTCCCAGGAGTGCCCAATAGATACTCCTGTGCCTACATATTTTTTTTTTTTTTTACTATTCAGCTAAAACATGTATTTTAAAACTATATATGGAATCTGAAAGTAAACTGAAAACATTTTTAAAATAAGACAGTCATGTCTAAATATTGTGATAATTTTTCTTCCCGATAAGATCTATAATGTCTGTATGACCCTTACTGAAGGAACAAAGTTATCCCAACATTTTTATATAGGAATCTGAGTTTCATTTAAGTACAGCCGTTATTTCTGTGAAACATAAATTGAGTAGTATCAGGAAAGGCAGAGATCAATAAATGCAAACCACAACAGAAAGAAAGTGACGGGTAAAGAGGAGAGATAATGATGGGAAGGAGAAAGAACGTGCCAAAAACTTATCTACTAGGATAAAGAGAACAAGATCAACAGCTAAATGCTGGAGTTAATTCCAAAACTGAATTCAGCCCAAGGAAATAACCATTTGGTGAACTTCTGGACAAGAAACTGAGGCAAGGATGCAACGAGTCCATTTTAGTAATTAGAGATGAGAGATTTATCCCTGAAATGTGGCATACAGCTAGCCAGCAGGAAAATGAACCTGGTTTAATTAGAGGAGAAAAATGACTAATTAGTCCAGAAAGTCATCATGGCAGAACCAAAAAACTAGACTGATGTGTTAGGTTAAGCCTAGCTGTCTTCTAAAACAATGCAGTGTAACTTTAACTTTCCTACTATCTAGAAAAGAGAAAACTCTGCATTTTCTTAAATGGTATTGCATTTAAAGGACTGGTGGGCATATATGCTGATGATCCAATACAGAGAATTATTGAACAGCACAAAGAAAATAGGGTGAAGACCTAAGATCATATCCAGAGAATGGGGGCCCTTCCTTCATCCTTCGGCTGACCTGACACACACTAACTCGCTTTTGGTCATAAATGAAAGACAGTCCTTTTAAGCAAACGGCAATATACTGGCTCTTGGGTTCCCAAGTAGGGTGGACCCACTGAAGAGTGAGCAGGGCAGACATGCAGTGAGCCTCAGCATCACCTGCCATGTGGGACTCAGGTTCCTCCAGGATTCTGTCCATTTCTTCTGCCTGCTTCTTCTCATCACCCAGCAGCTGCTCCAGAGGTTCTATTGCTGATTGATCTTGAGTTTCACAACCTGGAGTTTCCACCACAGAGATGGACTGTATCTCTTCTTCAATTGCAGCTGGGAAAACTCGTTGGGGAGAACTCGAATTTAACCTTGCTTGGGTCACTCAACAAAGGTTGAGAAAGTGGGATTGCCTAAGAATATGGCACATATTTACAGTGTGTGTATGCTGGGGAAGGAAAAAGATGAGAACAGAAGAAAAGCCGGTAATTCATTGTAGGATAATTTCAAAAATAAAAAGTGCTGCTCCTAGAAAAAGAGGGTGCCCACGCAGACTAAAAATTTTTAAATGTATCACTCAGGCATTAGATGCTGGAAGGAAAAAGGTTTTGATCTTCTAGAAACATTCCAGATAAAAATGGATTTTTACGACCAGCATCTCTTATTGGGTCATTTGGTCCAGAAACTGATATCCCCAGCTGTCTGTGACAATGCATAGAGCCCCAAATCAACAGTCCATCACCTGGAGAGGTTTCTGGACTCTAAATCCCTGGGACCAGTGATGCCTGTGGTTTTTGCTGATTCCCAGTAACTGAGTTTACTTTGTGCTTTCAGCTGAGCAAAATGTTCTGGTGATTCTACTTCTTCTAGTTGATTCTTCAGAGTCAGAGAAATTCACAATCTCTCTATGACAACAGTAAAGGAACCTTTTGTTAGAAAATCCAAGAGTCACTGACGACATCAGCTCGAAAGTGCTATTTATTTTATTACCCATTATGAATCAGCCATCTCCTGATTTATCTTTTACAGTTTTCTATGTTTTGAATTGATATCAATTCTTAGAATAAAATGCAGTACCTGCATCTAAAATAGAATTTATTTTTCTTGAGACACGTCTTTCAGGCAGAGGAAAGGTAATGGGCACACAAACCTTGATCATCTTCTTATAAAACAAGGCAGCATCCACATTTCAATACTGTAGCATATGAAATAATTTCTCAATTCCTACTCTGTCATAGCTTAAATGACTTACTGATTAAAATATGAGTAACAATAATTCTGGAGCTGAAAGACATTCTCAAGCCAAAAGGTAACATTAAACAATGTTTTACTTTAAATTTAATGTCATGTAGGGTCACTAAAAACAAAATGTAAGGGATAAATGTAAGTGCATAAAACAGAGATAATACCAATTTCCACAAATACAACTTTTATTATCCAAAATCATCTTGGAAGGACTTTTTCTAATATGCCCATTTTCTAAATAAGATTAACCATTTGATGGGAATATTTCCAATTGTATCACCTCCTTCCTTGACTTTTTCTTCATCAACTTAGGGCCTGGGTTGTAGGCACTGTGGCTCTTTGGGATAGTTAAATGGGTGCAATTTGGCTGAGACCGCCCCTGTCTTAAATGGCCCAGGCTACAGGGCTTGCCAAATGGCTTTGGTTTGCAACCTCTTCCTTTGATATCCATTGAAGAACACATGTCCTACCCTCTTGATTGCAAGCTTCTATCTGCTATTGGCTATCAGGAGCATAACAGATAAGTTCTAAGGTCCTTCCAGTTCCAAAAGCCATTGACCAACCCTGTGAGGCACTATGAGAGATTGGAGATTACTGAGGAATCTCTTCCAATAACATATGATATATAAAGGTAATTGTGATTCTATGAAGAGTGAATAAAAATTGAAAACAAAACCAATCTTGTTTAAACTATTAAATGAAGTTTTAAAAAATAATGGAGTGGGTAGATGTATTGCCTATCAAATTAAAATTCAGTGAACACGTGTCAGTTATCACCTTCATAAGTATGATCTATAAGGTTGAATTAACTAAAGATCTAACCCTAAACTAAGTGAGATATTACTGGGTTACTAAATATAGATGAATGGCTTCCTTTTTCCTTTAAAGATGGAAGAATCCCAAAAGTATGCCTGAATCAGAAGCAGAGGACTCATGTTCTAATGACACGTCTGATCATCACCCTGAGTTCCATAAAGCTATAGCATATTGTAGTAGAAAGTATATCAGCATGTGAGTGGAGAGATTTAAGGGTATAGATCTCTACGTATTTCCAGCTCTGTCACCAACTGGTAACATGACTTTGGGCAGAAACTGTCTTATTGATTCTATTCCCTTACTTATAATATAAAGGAGCATAACTAGATAAGTTCTAAAGTCCTTCTAGCTCCAAAAGGCATGATTAACTCTGTGAGGCACTGTGAAAAAACTGGAGATTATGAAGATGAATCTCTTCCAATAATATGATATATAAAGGTGACTGGGATTCTATGAGGAATTAAATGAAGACTATAAGTGCACGATCAAAAGAAAAACTGTAACAGAACCTACTAATCAACTTAAAATAATCTGCTCCAGGTTATAAAATCTGAAAAGTACTATAATGATTATTCTTGTCATAACTGGTCCCACTAATATAATTTTTAAAACCTGAGAGCTGAAGTCAGAGTACATACTCACCTCTTTCAAATTATATGTGTGTATGTGTGTGTGTGTGTGTGTGTGTGTGTGTGTGTATGTGTGTATTCCTGAGTCACCATGAATACCTTTAAAAAATTCTAGAACTTTGGGCCAGGCATGGTGGCTCATGCCTGTAATGCCAGCACTTTGGGAGGCCGAGGCAGGCAGATCACGAGGTCAAGAGATCAAGACCATCCTGGCCAACATGGTGAAACCCCATCTCTACTAAAAATACAAAAATTAGCTGGGCGTGGTGGCAGGCGCCTGTAGTCCCAGCTACTCAGGAGGCTGAGGCAGGAGAATCACTTGAACCTGGGAGGTGGAGGTTGCAGTGAGCCGAGATGTCACCACTGCGTTCCAGCCTGGGCGACAGAGCAAGACTCCATCTCAAACAAACAAACAAAAACTCTAGAACTTTGATTAAATTATATTTTTTGGGTCTATCAATTGAAGTGGAATTGGACTGTGGATTCCTCTGTTGAGAAACCTGTTAGATGTTTATTTGGGTGCTGACACAATTAACTACTTTTGTGACCACAGCCAACTGTAACATCTATGGTGGTGATAAAAATAAAAAACTCTGGCCAGGCGTGGTGGCTCACGACTATAATCCCAGCACTTTGGGAGGCTGAGGCAGGTGGATCACTTGAGGTCAGGAGTTTGAGACCAGTCTGGCCAACATGGTGACACCCTGTTTCTACTAAAAATACAAAAAAATTAGCCAGGCATGGTGGCAGGCACCTGTAATCCCAGCTACTTGGGAGGCTGAGGCAGAAGAATTGCTTGAACCTGGGAGGTGGAGGTTGCAGTGAGCTGAGATCACACCACTGCACTCCTCCAGCCTGGGCGACAGAGTGAGACACGGTTTCAAAAAAAAAAAATAAAGAAAAAAGAAAAAAGAAAATACAAAACTCAAAACTTTTTCTTTGTTAGACTTGATGTCAAGATCAGTGGGATCAAGGAAAAATTAGGTCTAGGGGATTCAAGCATATTGAACTCATGATCTGTAAATTGTAAATGACAAGGATCTCTTAAAATAAAGACCTTTCTCATGATAAAGGCACAACCCAATAATATAGTTAGCGTTCATCTGCATTTCTCCTCTTCAACTTGATCCAGATGCCATTACTTGGACGAAGAATCAACTGTCCTTCTAGACCAAGCTCTTCTCTTTTCTGGTTGGATTCTATCCAAAAGTGCCTCAGGATGCACGAAAGAATGGTCTTTTCTTCCATCACAGCAAACTTTTGACCTTCAAATTAATGTAGATACCATCGCTTTAGTTATAGATTTACCCCAAATGTGAGAAACAAGAGGTCCTGTCATAGGAAGCGAGCCACTTTACATTTTCGCAGTAGGTGGAAGGAGAACCAGAATGGCTTGGAACACCTGTTAAAGATGAAGAGTCTTGAGTTTCCCTCCCTGATCCCACCTTGCACATCTATAGCTGGGGAGGATCAGAGAATTTGTACTCCAGCTGATCCAGATAAATCCTGAGCTCCTTCAAGCTTGAGACTCACTACCCTAGATTATGTCTTAGTGGGTCTTTCATTTACTATGGATTCACCAAAAAAGCTTCAGATTCACCCGTTTCACTCTGGCCTCATTTTACCGATGTCTGCATTTACATAAATGACAAAATGCTAGAGATACTAAAACCAAAAGGGTTTATAATGCAGGGTGGTGATGTGCATTCATTTTGCTTAAGTACTAGCTGGCCATATGGCAAGCATTTGCTGTTTTGATTTGCAAAATGAAATTCTTAAAAGCAATAAACACAAAAATTAGGTTAACCATAAGTAATCATTAATAAAGTTTTTACCACAATAAGTTATATTCTACTGTAATTAAAACTCTACAACATTTTGAAACTCTACCATGAAGCTAATTATGTTTTATGTTATGGGTAATTGTGTCTCTCTCCAAATTCTAAGCCCCCCCCATACCTTAGAATATGACTGTATTTGGAGACAGGTAATCGAAAGAGGTCAGTAAGTATAAGTGAGGTCATTGGGGTAGGCCCTAGTGTAGTCTGACTGGAGAGAAGATCAGGACACAGACCCACACAGAGGAAAGACCAAGTGAAGACATAAGGAGAAAATGGCATCTACAAGCCACGGAGAGAGGCCTCAGGAGAAACCAGCCCTGCCAACACCTTGTTCTTGAACTTCCAGCCTCCAGAACTGTGAGAAAATAAATTTCTGCTGTTTAAGCCACCCAGTCTGTGGTATTTTGCTATGGAAGCCCATGCAGGCGAATATACTAATATACCTTTTGACCGTAATATTTTAAAACTACAAAGCACAGTGAGGGAAAAAAGAAACCACCTATTTTTTTTTTAAGGCTGTTGCATATGGGCAATGTCACATCACATCTCAAAGAAATCACTGTGAGAAACCCACCATCAAGTGGGCCTGAAAGGTCAAACCAATTCAGATGGATACAAACCTATACAGTTCCTGGGGCCAGCAGAGAAGGGCACGTAGGCATATGGATGGCGCCCTTGTGCATTCTCGGGGAAGAACCGCTCAGGCTGGAACTCCTCGGGGTTGGGGAAGTATCTCGGATCTCTGTGCAATGCATAGGGAATGATGACGGCTTCAGTGCCTTTTAGAACTCTGTAACCTGCTGTCAAGAAGTAGTCAATACATTATGAGACCGGAGCAAGGTAGACATTAGAAAGTTTCCCTCTCCCTTCTACTTTAGGTATAGCATACTTACCCACTTCACAATCTTCACTAACACTACGGGCAAATAAAGGAACAGAAGGAAAAAGGCGAAGGGTCTCCTTAATAACACATTCCAGATACCGAAGTTTCTTCAGGTCTTCTACTGTAGCGGGACGGTCAGACTTCCCTGATGAAAGCAAGTAGATAAGATGACCTGAAAGAGCAGTGGGGGCTGGGGGTGCAGACATCTAAAAAGAACAGGTGGATCAAGGCATGGCATGCTAAATACCCATCAAATACCCAACAAAGAAGAACACGTGGATCAAGGCAGGGGATGCTAAATACCCATCAAATGCCCATCAAAGAAGAACATGTGGATCAAGGTACTGGATGCTAAATACCCATCAAATACCCTTCAAAGAAAAACACGTGGACCAAGGCAGGGGATGCTAAATACCCATCAAATACCCTTCAAAGAAGAACATGTGGATCAAGGTACTGGATGCTAAATACCCATCAAATACCCATCAAAGAACACGTGGATCAAGGTACTAGATGCTAAATACGCATCAAATACCCTTCAAAGAAGAACATGTGGATCAAGGCAGGGGATGCTAAATACCCATCAAATGCCCATCAAAGAAGAACACTTGGATCAAGGTACTGGATGCTAAATACCCATCAAATACCCTTCAAAGAAGAACACGTGGATCAAGGTACTGGATGCTAAATACCCATCAAATACCCTTCAAAGAAGAACACGTGGATCAAGGCAGGGGATGCTAAATACCCATCAAATACGCATCAAATACCCTTCAAAGAAGAACATGTGGATCAAGGCAGGGGATGCTAAATACCCATCAAATACCCATCAAAGAAGAACATGTGGATCAAGGTACTGGATGCTAAATACCCATCAAATACCCTTCAAAGAAGAACACGTGGATCAAGGTACTGGATGCTAAATATCCATCAAATACCCTTCAAAGAAGAACACGTGGATCAAGGCAGGGGATGCTAAATACCCATCAAAGAAGAACATGTGGATCAAGGCAGGGGATGCTAAATAGCCACAGCTAAAGCAGAATTTCTAACATTATGCATTATCAAAATAAAATGGACAATGTGCCAAGTAAAATAAACAGACACTAAAGGTCACATATTGTACGAATCCATATATAGGAAGTACTCGGAATAGGTAAATCCAGAGAGACAGAAAGTAAATCACAGGCTTCCAGGGCCAGGGGAAGGAGGAATCAAGAGGGACTGCTTAATCCTACCAGGTTTCCTTTCGAGGTGCTGAAAATGTTCCGGAATTAGGTAGACATAACTATCGTACAACATGGTGAAGGTACTAAATGCTGCTGAAATGTACATTTTAAAATGGTAGATTTTATGTTATGTGACATTTACCTCAGTAAAAAAAAAAATAACATTTAAGGAATTAATACTTGCAAAGTATTAATTATTAATTATTTAATATTTTTATATATTTTAATATATTTTATATATTATATAATTTTTAATATAAATATAATTTAATAATTAATTATTAATTAATAATGCAAAGTAATAACTCACTACACAAAGAATAGTTGCTCAAATGTTTTTTTCTTTCTTTCTTTCTTTTTTTTTTTTTGGAGACAGAGTCTTGCTCTGCTGCCCAGGCTGGAATGCAGTGGTGCAATCTCTGCTCACTGTAAGCTCCGCCCCCTGAGGGGTTCATGTCATTCTCCTGCCTCAGCCTCCCGAGTAGCTGGGACTACAGGCACCTGCCACCATGCCCGGCTAATTTTTTTGTATTTTTAATAGAGACAGGGTTTCACTGTGTTAGCCAGGATGGTCTCGATCTCCTGACCTCGTGATCCGCCCACCTCGGCCTCCCAAAGTGCTGGGATTACAGGCGTGAGCCACCGAGCCCAGCTTAGTTGCTCAAAAATTCTAGAACTAGGATTGGGGGTAGAAGAAAAAGTGAGGCACAATGAGCAGAAAACACAAGAATCACAGAGCAAAGCTTCTAGTAATGATGACTGTGTCACTCATTCTGCAGGACCACAAAGCTTTGTGAAACTGGTAATGAGCTAAACTTTGTAGGGGATACAAAAGATTGAAGCCTATTCCAAAAGAACTTGTGAGCTTTTGGAAGACCAAATTTATCCACTCAAGGCAATCTAAGCAAAACTAAAATCAGTGTTAAAAAGATAAAATGATGACAAAAATGTTGCCAAAAGTGTTAGATGGTGTCCATTCTGCAAAATAAAAGCTTGCCTCTTAATATGAAATTCCAGTCCCAGCACAATCTGCACACAAAACTGCTTTTCCATCCTCATCTCCCAGTGAATGAGAGATGAGTTCTCGCGGTCTCTCACTCTCCACTATTGCCCTCCATGCCAGAAACCTTTCCACTTCTGTGCCGTTGCTCATCTGCTTCCTCTCTTTCTAGAATGCCTTCTCTCTCCAGCTTTATTCCTTTAGTTTTCTTTCCCTGCTTCTCACTGTAAAACTGCATCAGATACCACTTGTTGCTTGGCTAACTCAACTTTATTCCTTTTCACCTTGCAGCTATTGGGGGCCATATGACACGTGATTTTTAACAAGGATAAAATCTATGGAAGCCTCTTTGTGGCAGACTGATAATGGGCCCCAAAATATCAGGTCTTAATCCCTGCAATCTGTAAATGTTACCCTATTTGGAAGAAGAGAACTCTTGGCAGATTTGATTAAATTAAAGATCTTACAGTGGGTAGATTATCCAGGTGAGCCCTGAACGCCATCACAAGTATGTCACAAGTATGCTTGTGAAAGACACACAAGCACACACATGCACACACACACACACCACACATGCATGCACGTGCGTGCACACACTCACACCCAGAGAAAAGAGAAGGCGATGCAGAGACTGGCAGAGATAGCAGTGATGCGGCTGTCAGCCAAGAAATGCTGGCAGCCACCGGAAGCTGAAGAGACAAGGAGTGGATATTTTCCCAGTGGGCCACAGCCCTGCCCACATGGTGATGTGGGCTCAATGACACTGATCTTTGACTCGGGTGTCCAGAACTGTGAGGGAACAGACGTCGCTGCTGTGAACCTCCCTGTCTGTGGATTTGTCACAGCAGCAGCCACAGGACACCAACACACCCGGTACCCCCACCTCCCCTGTCTTCCTGCCTTGAAGATGAACGTGATGCTTGGAACGTCAATCATGAGGACAAAAGCCAAGATGGTAGGGATGGCTGGGAGCAAAAGGGCAAGTCTGGGACCCTGGACATCCTACTGGCAGGACTTTTCCTCCGGGCTGCTTGCTGTGTAATAGAAATGTATCTCCTCGAAGCTTAATCCACCTTTTTAATCCACATTTTCTCTCCTTTGTGGTGAGAGGCAATCTGCGAAACAGCTTTCCTGTACCTTTCTAAATAGTTTCACCAGCTCCTCCTTTCTCCCAAATAGCACCTTCTTCACTCAAATGCACGACCCATGACTCAAAGCCTCTGTTTCGCCTGGGTAGCAGTGAGACCCTTGAGGACAGCAGCACGCATCAGTGCACCCCAGCATCCGGCCTAGTACAGTCACTTGCCAGGCGACTGGCAGAGGCCTGTGAGTGAATGGACGAGGCCTTGCAAAGGGGATGGTACTGGAAAGGATCCCGTGGGGGAGCCTTCCTGCTCATTACACTGTGTTTACAACACAGTGACATCTCTGCAGCAGACTTAGTACCACAATATAACCAGTGAAGGGGCCAAACATACCAAACACGTCATCCAATTCATGATCCACTTTTTTCTGGACTTCTGGGTTAGAACCCAACAGGTATAAGGACCAGTTTATTGCAGCTGCAGTTGTATCGTGCCCCTACAAATGCAGAAAACAATAGCTTAAAAAGCAGAGTTATGCTGCGATGATTAGGAGTGACCAGAAACCTCTTTTGAATTGTCTCTGGATTTGATGACTGCACTGTGACTGCAAACATAAGAAATGAATTCTGTGCAGCACCTTGCCTCGGTGACAAACAAGGAAACAAGCCTGCAAAGCGGAGGTTCATGCCTAGAGATGGCAGTTCCACGCCGCACGGTGTTGCACGCTGGTGGGACGTGCCTGTGCTGTGTTAATAAAGGCGGCGTTCCATGGGCACGAGGTGAGCTGCGCCTTTGTGAACAGAACAAAGTCTGATTTTCACGAGCCTGCTTGTCAGGGCTGTACTTCTCTGCCTTCCCCCATCTGTCAGGTGGGCCTCACCTGTTGATGACGGGCACCAGGGGGTAGAGGTGTGGTTCTAAGTCATATCCTCTGCAGTAAAAATTGACAACAACCTCATTTCATACTTGCTGAGTTTTAGGCAAAATACTAAGCACTTTGCAGAAACTGAATTAATCTGCACAAAAACTCCATGAAAGACTCATTACTGTTCTTTACAATTCAGAGATTAAAAACTGAGGCCAAAGATGTGGTTAAATAACTTCTTCTGTGCTAAACAGCTTAGTGGGAAACAGAGGCAGAAACTGAGCCTGCGGCGTGTCCGATGACAAAGCCAGCTGAGCCCACGCCATTCCCTCCACACCCTGTGCAGTAAGGACGCTCCACCTCCACCTCTTACGCCAGCGTAACGTCTCCACCTCCACCTCTTACGCCAGCGAAACGTCTCCACCGCCACCTCTTACGCCAGCGTAGCGCCTCCACCGCCGCCTCTTACGCCAGCGTAGCGCCTCCACCGCCGCCTCTTACGCCAGCGTAGCGTCTCCACCGCCGCCTCTTACGCCAGCGTAGCGTCTCCACCGCCGCGTCTTACGCCAGCGTAGCGTCTCCACCGCCACCTCTTACGCCAGCGTAACGTCTCCACCTCCACCTCTTAGCGGTAGCGTAACGTCTCCGCCTCCACCTCTTAAGCTAGTGTAATGTCTCGGGCAACCTTCTTTCCCACCCATTTGATATTTCAGGACCTGGCTTCTTATCTACCTCCTCATCTCCCTAGCACATTTCCATATGCAAAAGTGGTGAGTTCTTCAGAAAAAAAAAAAATGTATCTGGAAAGTCAATAACAGTAATCTACCTCTCTGAAACTTTGAGGACAAAAAGAAAAAACAAATTATTTCCTCTATAAAAGATCTCACTTTTCCATTTTTCCTATGTGGCACAAGTGATTTTTGTAATATTTCATTCTCTGTGCAGAAATCTTCAAAGTACTTGTTTTATAAAACAGCTCCTAAAATGAATTGCTCGGGGCTTATTCTGCAATTCTTAAAAGACACAGCCTACAGGTCCTGAGGTCGGCGCCTCTGCATTTTCCTAGCACTTGCAGTTACAAAACCTACTCGGAACTCCAGATGAGCTCCGGCCCGTTGTGCTCAGTTGTCTAAGTACGGAAGGAAGTATTCTGGCTAAACAATTTTAATAGCTTTCCTTGAATTTATGAGCGGAAGCCTGATCCAAATGCATAAGAGGAGTCTGCTGAACTTCCGATTTCATTTCATCTGCCAACTGCAGAAAGCATGATAAGGCAAACGTAAAGCACCGAGGCACACTGGTGGAGCAGGGGAGGACGCCCACTTTTAGCTCACAGCTGGAACCTGGGCAGTTGCAGCCTGCACCAGCCTGTGGAGGAGGCCACAGTATCACACTCACAGCCTGCACCGGCCTGTGGAGGAGGCCACAGTGTCACTCACAGCCTGCACCGACCTGTGGAGGAGGCCACAGTATCACACTCACACCTGGTATGCTGCCTCCCTTTCAATGCAAAGAAGAAAACAATTAGAATGTCAAGGAATGTTAGAGTTGGAAGAAAAATCATTAGTCTGGTTCTGATTGTTTACGTGAGATTGAGAGGTTCCTGGTAGGAGATGGATGTGTGTGTGCACATGTGTGTACATATGTGTATGGGGTTGTGCACATATATGAATGTGTGTACGTGGATATGTACATGTATTTGTGTGTGCCTTTGTGCTTATGTACACGAGTGTACATAGCTGTGTGCATTTATGTGTGCATGTGTGTATATATGTGCATCTATGTATGTGTATATGCGCATGTGTGTATGTAGGTGTGTACATGTGTTTTTGTATGATTGCATAAATGTACATGAATGTGTGCCTCTGTGGGGGGTGGTGTGTGCATGTATGTGTATGCATGCATGTGTGCATGTGGGTATATGTGTGCATGCATGTGTATGCATGCATGTGTGCATGTGGGTATATGTGTGCATGTGTGTGTATGTGCATGAGTATCTGGGTGTGTGTGTATATTTGTGTGTGAGTGTATGCACGTGTGTGCGCATGTGGATATACATATGTTTGTGTGTGCATGTATGTGCATGAGTGTATGTAGGTGTGTGCATGTGTTTGTGTATGTGTGTATATGTGAATGTGTGTATGTTGGTATATACATGTGTCTGTGCATGTGTATGTGCATGAGCATATGTGTGTGTGTAAGTGTGTGCATGTGTGTGCATGGGTTTACATGAGTGTATGCGTGTGTGTGTGTAGTACATGGGCAAGGTGAAGATGTGAGATCTCTCTACTCCGACATGCAATAATAACACCCGGTATGTGCCGCATACTTATGGGCCAATCACGATTCTCAGAGCACCTTTACAAATCTAATCATCATAACTATTCCATGAGGCTTGTGCTATTAAAATAAGAATATTCAGGCCCAGAACGGCTAGGTGAGGTGCTTGAGGTCATGGTCCCAGCATGTTAGCTGGGATTTGATCTTAGAGCCCACACACTTAACACCTCTCTACTTTTCAGCTAATTTAGATGTCCATTTTCTGCTTAAGATTTATTTTCAGTAAAGTTTTCTGCTTAAAAAAGTTTAAAACCACCAACGTAGTCCATCTCTCGCTTTACACATAGGAAAATTGTGACAGAACTCTGGAATGATCAGAACTATCTTATTTGGCTAATCAGCACAGAGCCTGAACTGGAACTCGGATCGAAAGACCCATCACACAACCTTCTTCTACCGTGTCGTGGAGCCTCACACCAGAGTGCAGGACACTGGCACTGCCGCCAGAGGCTGCCGCAGAGCAGCTCACACGTGGGTGGCAGGCAGAGCCATTAAAAACTCAGGTGCCTTTCACTCTGCCCCATGTGGACGATATTACTACATGGCTTCTAAAAACCATGTTTTATTTATTTTGCAATCCACATATAGAGAAAGTCCCTCTTTGTAGGATTTAATATTTAGGCTATCTTGCTAAAATGTACTTCACATATGTATGTATAAATTTGAGATCAGAGATCTTTTTAGAATCATGAACTGGCTGATTCTCTGTTGGAGGGCTCTTAACTGTCCTCTAGGTAGAGTAGCTCATGGCAGCAGCTAAGTGCTCATCTGCTGGAACCTCAGAAAGCAGGTGGTGAGGAAGTGGACTTGCATGTCTGGGAGGTTAGAAGGAAGCCTGAAGCCACATGGAGAACTGAGAGCAATCTCTGGCTGCTCTTCTGCTTGGGAAAACTCTGACAAATCTTAGGTTTTCTTGAGGAAAAACAAATGTGTCTACTGCTGTGCCCAGCACTAGTCAAAATCGTTTTCTGAAGAAGTTGAGCTGGTACTTAATCAGTTTCTTAAATTTTGTAATTTCTAATTAAAATATAATGAATCTTCTTTAGTTAAACTACTTTAAAATTTGATTGTTTTAAAAAATAATGCTAAAGATTCTAACAATAACTGAAATTTGTTTAATGATATCTGAACCTAACAATATACAATACCTCAAACATGAAGGTGTCAACTTCTTCTCGAATATCTTCATGACTTAGCCTGTTCCCTTCGTCATCAGTCACACTTAAAAGCAAGTCAAGAAAGGCCCTGCGTTTATTTTTGGAGGGGGCAGAGCCCCTGCCATCACCTCTACAGTCTTCATTGGCGTTCATTTCATTGGCCCGTTCAGCGATGACCTGTATGATTTGAATGATAATCACATGCTTCTGTTTGGACTTGGATGCACCCTAGTTAACACATTTTCTTATAAAATATGCTAGTTTCTTTCATTTATTTTTCTAAGCCTATTTCAACATTTCGACAACATAGGCTCTTGTGAAAATACAGTAAAGCCTCATTAATATTTTGGGGATTATCTGGTGAAACTTTTAAAAACAAATTTAATGTCACGCAAATTCCTAATTTTCAAGTGCTATTTTTGCAGTCTTTCCAACACAAGAATAGAATCATAGTCTACTAGATAGTACCCTAGAGATTGGATTGCGCTAATGAGAAAAAGTTTAAGTGGTAGAGTGAATGCAATCATTATACAACAGTCTAATTATAGACTTAATTACATGTTGTAGAGGAGAAAAGAAACAGCAAGCAGATTAGTGAATTCACCCTCTATGCTTGCGATTTCTGCTGCCTGAAATGCTTTCCTCAGAGGCCTGCACGGCTGCCCCCTCCCTTCTTCCAGATCTCTGCTCATTGTCACACGATCAGAGAGACCTCCCTCATCCCTGCTACCCCTGTCCCTAGCACTGCGACGCCTCCTAACAATGCTTTTTCTCCATTTCCCTTGCCACCTGACATTATGTGATACTTCTGTCATACTTATTATTATAATGTGATATTATACTTACGTTATACTTATTATTTAGCATCTTTCTCTTACAACTCAAACACTGCCATGCTTGTGCATGTCTTTGTTCATTGATACATTTCCAACCTCTAGAGCACTGCTTGGCATTTAACAAATACTCACTAGATATTTCTTGGATGGATAAAAGAATGAAGGCCAATACACTTAATTTGGTTGTACATTTCAACCTTCTTTTCCTACCAGGTAATTGACCAAACCTGCTACTAAGTGGCCTGAATAGATTCTAAGCAATTTGAGGGCAAAACACCATGTCTTTTTTTATTCTTGGTGGAATTCCTAGAGCCCAGGCCTCAGTAGGCAATTCTCAATGTTTATTCAATGAATAAAATTGTCTATTCAGTCTGGAATTCATTTAATTATTGCTATTAAATATTAATGCACAAAATTTAAGGAAAAATATAATTATGAAATATAACCTGCTGGCTATTCTCCTATAACCAGGTGATCACACTCCACTGTGGCCAGCTCAGCCAACATTGCATTCATGGAACATCTACTGATTTATTCATCATTTGCTCTCTTGGGGGTAGGGTGTACTTCACCACAAGGACATAACTCCAATAGATTTTAACCAAAATTTACAGCAAAGAAAGGACATATTTAAACAGGCAGTTTTTTAATACACTGAAATTATAATTTGATGTATATTTTCAATTAAGTCTTGCTTTTTCAAAACACATTATTAACACAAAGATTGACATCCTATATTCAAAACAACATCACTATCTTCTGGTTATTTTTGAATTGGAAATAGAATACTAATATCTAGTTAGTTTTAATGTTTTCCATGTTAAGATACTGCTATCAATGCCCTCTGCCTTTGAAAATGACTGCCGAATCCAAACATTTTCCAGAAAACTCCTATACATAGATCTTTGTTCCTTTATTCTTTTACACAGCACCCTGTTTGTTCATAAGTGTTCACAGCTCATATCACATGTTGTAATTATGTGTTGATAGATCACCTCTCCTACTAGAATAACTTCCTTTCAGGTACGGACCATATACACATGTCCTACTCATTACTACATTTCCAACATTTGGTATGGTGGTTAGCACTTAGCGAGTACTTAATTAATATTTGTTGACTACATAATTGAAGTATACATTTTTATACTTAAGTATAATTTTTTATATGAAAAATTGTTTTCTATTATTATTCAAGTTTTATTTTCTGAGACATAGGCTCCATAGTCCTACACCGGGTATGTTAACAAAACATCAACATCATGGACTTACCAAAAGTTCTGGAAATGAACGGTGGGGATGGTTGCACAACATCGTGAATGCACTTAATACCACCAAACTGTACAGTTAAAATGGTTATAAAGGGAAATTTTATGTTATGTCTATTTTACCACAATTGTAAAAGTCAGGGACTTACACTGTTGGTAAAAGTATGTAGGATCTGAAGGCTCTTTTTGTGTTCCCATCCTTCTTTAAACATAAGGTACCAGAGATCAAGCCAAAGCCAGGGCATCTTTATTCTTCGAAATATCATCTCACTCATTCTATAAATGGGATAAAAATACATCAGCTGTTGTATCAGAAATGTGTATTTCTTGAGCACTTCTTTAGTACCTGGCCTTGATGAAGGCAATCGTGGGAATGACGATGATTGTCTTAGAGGCTACTAAGAGCTCCATGTTTTATGCTTAGCAGTGAAGGCATGGGCTATTACGCATCCCATGAAGCCTCAGAAAATAATGGGCTCTTTAAAGGAATGAAGGATTCATTATAAAACATCCTTACTAGATAGCCATTTGGTCTCTGCTTCTGCTTCTCCAGGGCAAGTTTCCCACTCTGCCTAGGACCTCTGCACCAGGGTTTGAGATGAAATCGGCCTCTTTTTAAGGTCCATCATTGGTCTGACCACTCCTCTGGAGTGACAGAAGACAACTGGCTGCCCTCTTCTACAAGCGAGGGCTCTCTAAGTACCCATCTGTCACTTGGCTGTCCCAGCACCTCCCTTTCATGTCCAGCCATAGAGCAGAAAGACCCCTATGTGATCTCCTGCAGGACCAGCTTAGGTGCCGGTTCTTCAGAAAGACCTTTCCTGGCCTCTCACTCTGTAGGACACTTTCTTGTTTTGCTCTCTGGTATCAATTTGATCTTTTCTTCCTGAGCAATTATTACAGTTCATGAATTTCTTTGTCCGTTGCCTGCCTCCTGTGTTATTCTGTTTTGTGTACTACTACAAAACCAGTCAGTACCCTGTGCAGTGATTGGAAAATCACAGATGCCTAATAAATATTGGTTAAAATGAAGTGAAATGAGCAGGAGACTTAAATATACTCAGCTCAATGCACTTCTCTGTACTTCATCAAGTCCTTGCCCTGCCTTTTAACAGGTGAATAATTGCAAGCAATTTTAGAGTAAAATTGACTGTTTCGATGACTAAAACAATACCTACTTGGTGCAGAAAATATGGGAAGAAGAATAACAACAAAAGGAAAGCACAAGAATGAGAAACACATACACGAGACAATGAGAAACACTGCTAACATTCTGTTATAATATCTGCTAGTTTTTTTCTATGAATAATTTTTAAATATAACAATTATCATGGTACAGAAAACTGTTTATATCTTTCTTTTCTCAGCATCATAATGTAAGCATCATTATGTACAATATAATGTAATCTCAATGTTAGAGAATAATCATTTTAAATTACTACATAATCTAGATGTGCCATAATTTACATAACCTTTACTGCTTAAACACATGCTTACATGATGAGGTTAACTTCTAGTTTAATGTTTAATTTTGAAACCATAAAAAGATACAACGCAGAAATTGTTAGCAATAATTTTTAAAGCCTAAATCAATAATAATTGTTAAAATAACTGAAAGGACTCCATTTACCTATAAACTGCACGGACATACTCGGAATCATCATTACTTTGAGCACCAATATTCTTCCCCATAGCTGTTTCTATAAAATATGGGTGAGAAGCAACCATTCAATTCACGCACGTTAGTTATCTCGTGTTTATTTTGCAGCGGCAGACACTAAAGACGTACATCCTGCTTTGTCCTTGTATATTTCAGAATTCTTCTTCCTCCCTTTACCCTCTTCTCTTGTACGGTCCACTTCTACTCCCTGTTCCTGTTCTTCCTTCCCTTCGCCTCCCTGGGCAGTTGCTCCATGCCTGCCCCACTCACAGCCCTGGGCGTGGCTGCTGCTCCTCAGAAGGCCAGTGCGGTCGTAGAACCGCGCTGAAGAGCCCGTCACCCTTTCCCGTCCCCCCATTTGCCTTCCCGGTGGAGTGTGATTTCCTGTTTGGGCCATTTTCTCTTTATGCCATAAATTTAGAAACAGATCGATGAGACTCACCACAGATGATATCTAAGGCACAAAGAGTGATGTAAAAAAAGCAGTTAAATGCTTCTTGGTTAATGTGTTTTTCAAGTTTCTTAACCAATATATTTGCTTGTTCATTCATGATATCTAAGAAATCTTCCAGAATGGTAAAATGGAAAGTGGGTGTTAACATCTTTCTCCTGGAGCGCCATTTGTTTCCAGTACTAGAAATAAAATATGTGGTTACAAAAAATATATCTACAGAGAGAGAGAGAGAAAGAGAAAAGTAACATCCAAAACGATTAAAGCATAAATATAGCAAGTCAACAAAATTCTCCTGAAACAGCTTCATCTACAGGTTCTCAAATGCTTTTGGCAGAATGACAAAGATATACACATATCTATAAAATATTCATCTATAGTTACAAAATATGAGTATTTTGGACATTGTTCTATACATGTTTAAAATAGCATTCATAAAATTGAAAAATTTAAGAATTTTTCTCAATTTCTAAGTTCCGAGTTTCTAATAATAAATTTATTTCTCCTTCCATCAATACCTCAGTCCTCAGATGATCCTCACACTCCATGGTTCTACCTTGATCTCTCCCCTCTCCAGTTCTCCAAAGTCCCTGCTAGGCTCCTGCCTTGCTCTTGTGGGGCCCTCTCTCAGAGGATGGAGCCCTGTTTCTAGATACCAGCTCACTGTACTTCTCTGGGGCTGACCATCTTTTTGATTGGATTTTCAAGATTTCCCTGCTCCAGACACTCCTTTGCTTTACTGTGTCCTCCATCCCGTCCACTCCCGTCCATCAGGACCTCCTGAGTCTTCCTGAACACTGGCGACAGTCGCTATTGAATACCACAGCTGAAGATAACTGTTCACCTGGACTCTTGGCCTCTTGACGGGCAAAGGCCAGCTGCCAGCTGGACCTTCCTTTCCAGCCTTTCTCCTCCTTTCTGAGAGAACAGTCCTGCTACAGAAAAAGCTACCCTGTGTTAATTCTTGAAATAACAAGTTGCACGTAGAAGTAACCATTTCTATAGACAGCTTTACAAAGGTACACTGGCATACCTTGTAAGAAGTCCTAGGCCAAGCCATGGTTCTAAAAACTTGTACATAGAGGATTTGTCAATTTGCTTTGAACTAGTTAAAATTACCTTAGGAAGAGAAAAACATACTTTAGAGACATACAGACATCAAACAACCTTCCTGTAATTATAGGAATACTGGCTAGAATACAGCTAGTTTTTAGGGCATTCACAACATTTATTTTCTCCGTCGTTCATTTTCAGTCCTGTGCCTCAAAGACATTCAGTTAGAGTTTTGAACATAAAACTGGCATTCAGTCTTGGGGACTCAATGGAGTTGGGGGGAAGAAAGATGTCCCAGATGATTCTCTGGTTCCCGCCATAAACCAGGAACCAAGTGGAGTTATTTAATGTGGGGAGGGGGACAGTGAGGTGGGAGGAGGCGAATCTGGAGGGTGGGCACATGTGGGGAGATGGAAATCATAGGTGTATTTTCAGGTGATGGTAACTTTGAGGCCTTCAGGTTGCTGTGGTCTGAAAGCAAGTGAGACAGCCAAGATAAGGCCTGAGCTGGAGATGCCTGTTCGGAGTGTCCCCAGCATAGAGGCAGCAATGGAAGCCATGAACGTGATCGGATCACCCAGAGTCCACGTGAAGTGGGAGGAGGGATGGGGTCTAGGGCTGAGCACAGGGTGCCCACCAGGCTTCTTGCTCAAGTCCCCTACTCTGGACAGATCTCCATCTGCATCCACCACACCAACTTCTATTAACACTAGGCCAACAGCGGCAGAAATCCTGTCTGCCCTTCTTGCTCTCTTCTCTGAGCCAGGATTCTGGAGAAGCAAGAGAAACTCCAACATTTTCACCATAATTAGAAAGACATGTCCTGGCACTACTTCCTAGGAAATTCAGTCTTTAATTTTGGTCGATGAAGAGAAGCTCTGTTTACCCCATCTTTGTTTCCTGACCCAAATCCTTTTCTCACCATACTACAAGATGATTTCCCCAGACCTTTCAACAAGTAAAAAGACTACAGCTTTTTGGAGGACTAATTTCAACAGCATGGGTTTGTAATATTTATCCCATAAATATCAAATTTGCATTGTCTTTTAAATTTGGACTAAGTTTATCATTGATATGAGACCCTGAGCAACTTGAGGGAAACATATTTTATTAGTCATATATTTTTGAAGTCTTAAAATAGCGTCTGGTGGATAACAAGTGCTTGCCTTGCGGAATAATTTATTTGTGTTTCTAAAAAACGATATCCTTTCAAAAAAAGAATAAATATAAAGGGACCTGATAGCAGTTGTGCACTTATATCTGGAGAATGTTAATCTCCCAGGATTCGGGCTATACCTGGAAAGCATTAAATTGCACCTATATAGTCTAAAATACTTAGTGGAATGTTTTTTGTGCTGAAATGGCTGAAATATAAGGACACGTTATATTGATTCTGGTGAGATTCTCACACTGTCAGATACACAGTACAATACTGATCATATTCACATGTACCCACCTCCACATTTTCTGCATTATAAAGGGCCACCATGGGCACTGGCCCGACCCAGAGCTTCAGCAGCGGCATGTGGCGGTATTCCTCTGTGTACTCAATGATCTGCTGAAAAAATTCTGGGGAAAAACATCAAATTTGAAATTCAATCAAGATGAGAAAGTTGTGACCAGTATTGGACAAAGGTTTGTTTTCTCATTTTGATGAATATACTAATTCTGTAATATGTTACTGTTAGAGGAAGCCAGGTAGAGAGCATGTGTGAACTGCCTGTAATACTGCAACTTTTCTGTAAGTCTAAAGTTTTTTTCAACATAGTATTTGCCACAGCAAATAAACACACATAATGCATGTTAGCTATTAGAGAATAATAATTATTAGGTTTTGATGTCCCAGAACGGGCATTCTTTCTAACGACTGCCCAGTATCACAGAGCTAGTAAATGGTGGAAACTGGCTTGTACCGAGCGAGACTCCAGAACTTCACCATAAACTATGCTGCTTCCAAATG